>NC_000024.10:20998667-21369104 GCF_000001405.40 Homo sapiens
TCTATGAGCTAAGTTTAGTAATGAATCAAGATCTCAACTTTCACATATAACAGACAAAATTTCAACTGTGGACTGCATTCACACATGAGATTCTGGGCCTCACCAATGAGCTGTATTCATGGGATAGAATGACAGTATTAAAGGTTGGTGTGGTGTGCATATGAGAAAATTTCACCTGTGTTCTCTCTCTTTATAAAACTCTCTGTACCACCCTAGAACTTTACAAAATGTGCAAGAGAGTAGCAATCCTCTATGGCAATTTTACAAACAGGAGACTCTGGATGTTACTGGTTTCCCCAAACCTAGCTATAAGAGAGAGTATCTCTCCTATTGCCTGACTTTAGCTATGAGAGTCATCATCACACCTTTGAGCTGGGCCAAGGTATGTGTTACAATCTTACTTGTTAGTAGGGAGTAA
Organism: Homo sapiens; assembly: GCF_000001405.40. Lineage (NCBI taxonomy): Eukaryota > Metazoa > Chordata > Mammalia > Primates > Hominidae > Homo > Homo sapiens. The sequence goes on from NC_000024.10 coordinate 20,999,086, forward strand.
GCAGAAGAGCCACATCACCTCGGTGTTAGGCCAGATATATGTCACAATCTTCCCTGATGGCAGGGACCTGGCTGGAGAGCCACATCACTCAAGTGTTCAGCCAGGGATATGTTAAATTCCCTCTTGAAAGCAAAGCACAAGAAGTAGTCACATAACTTATGTTCTGGGCTCAGCAATATATTACCATCTCTTCTGTGAGCAAAACCCATGTTGAAGAGACTCATTACTTGGCTTTTGGGCACAGTGATATGTCACAGTTTTTCCTGTGAGAAGGATGCAGGAAGAAGAGGAGAGACGTGTCTCCTGGGTGTTAGATGCAGAAATATCTCACAAGGTTCTCTGTGAGCAAGGCACTGGCAGATGCCTACCACCTTCTAGGTGTCATATTCAGTGATATGTAACAATATACAAAATACACAGTCAAAATACAAAATGGATGCAGGCTCAGGTAGGAGATGGGAGTCACATTACCTAGTTGCTGGGCCCAGCAATACATGAATCTTTCCAATTCCTCATTGGCAAAAGCCCAAGCAGTAGAGGAAATTCAAATTATCTTAGTGCAGGGACCAGCAATATTGCAATACCTGCTGAATCCAGAACCCAAAGAAAGATGTCACGTCAGCTAGGTAAGAGCCCAAAGAAAAATTACAATGACCCCTGCGGGTAGCAAAAAATCATGGAAGTAGAATAACATCTCTTGGTTCAGTCATATGTCACAATGCTTTCTGTGAGCAGAAACCAGCTGCGTAGAGACAGTCACATCGCCTGTGTGATTGGTGTAGAGGTATGTCACAATGTGTGAAAATCTTGTCATTGAAGTGTGCATATGAGACACTCAATCTCACCTGGCTTCTGGGTTCTGTTATGACACTCACCAGAGGGCTTTATAGGATATGTGAGAGACAGGTAATCTTGTTACCTGTGTAGAATTAGAAGACGCAATACTTTACCCTTTTTTCTAATCTTAGCTGTGAGAGACAATATCTCTCTTATTGGCTGGTTCAAGGTATCAGAGTCAGCATCATGTCTGTGAGCTATGCAATGGTATATGTAAGAATCCCACCTATGGATAGGGGTCATGCAGGAGAGTCACATCACCTGAGTGCTAGGATAGAGATATGTAAAACTCTCCCTTTTTAACAGGACCCTGGAAGAAGAGGAGTGTCACATCACAGAGGTGATACATGAAGATGTATATCATTAAATTTTCTGGGCAGGGCTAAGAAGGAAAAGTCAAATCACCTAGGTGTTGAACCCAGTGAAATGTCATAATATCCAATGTATGCAGATCCCTGGCAGGAGGGGAGAGTAAGTTTACCTATGAGCTGGACCTATCAATATATTACAATCCCTGTTGTGGGTGTGAACCATGAAATAAAGAAGAGCCACATCACTCAGGTTCTTAATCCAGCAATACCCTCTGAGAGAACGGCCCAGGTAGGAGATTCACATAACTTTGGCACTAAGCCTAGCAATATACCATAATTCTTTACTAAGGAAAGGTCAAAGGAAAACAGTAACTCTTCCTTGTTCTTGGGCCCAGCAATATGTCACAATTTTCCTTTGGGCAGAACCTAGAAAGAGAAGATTCACATCAGCTAATTATTGGTCCCATTTAATATGTCAGAATTCTCCATGTAAGAAGGGACCAGGAAGAAGATGAGAAGAATTATATCACCTGTGTAATTGCTGCAGAGATACTTCACAATCCTTTTTGTTGTTAGGGATCAAGAGAGATACATTACCTGAATGCTGAGCCTAGCAAAATGTCACAATGTCTGTGGCAGGGCTCAGGTAACAGAGTCAGGTTACCTAGGTAAAAGGGTCCAATATGTTACAATGACACTGTAGGCATCACCAAGAAAAGGAGGAGACTCATTACTTGGGTGCATGGCCAGGGGATTATTTACAATTCTGCCTGTGCCCAACTTTTGGATACCTCTGGGTGTGAGATTCAATACCTCAACAGTGGGCTCTATTCTTGTGACAGAAGACAATCTTTACCTGGATTTGCATAGAAGTGTCACAATCTTACCCTTGTGTTAGATCCTGAGTACCACCTGAGGGCTTGAGAGTATGCATGAGAGTCACAAACTTTTCTGACATCTTCCTTCTAATATGGACTTGTGATATTACATACCTTAGTCCAGGTATGAGAGGCAACATCTCTCTAATTGACTGGGTCCAGATATAAGAGTTCTCACCCTGCCTATGAGCTAGGTTAGAAATGACACACCATCCCTCCTGTTGCTACATTCACATATGACAGTCACAATTCTAACTGTGGACTTCACCTGCTTGTAAGATTCAGTACCTCACCAGTGGATTCTGTACAAATGTGAAAGTAACAATTCTAACTCTTAGTAGGGTGTGCATACAAGTTACAAAATTTCACCTCTTTCTCTAAATTTAGCTATGATAAACAGTATCTCTCTTAATGGCTCATTTAAGGTATAAGCATCATCATCATGCCTGTGAGCTGAGTGTAGTCATATGCCCCAATTCCACCTGTGTGAAGGGAGTGAGGAGAGTGACATTACTTGAGTGTTGGACTAGGGATATGTCACAATCTTCTCTGTGGATGAGGTAAAGGCAGAAGACATTTAGATCACCAAGTGCTAAGTCCAGAAATATTTCAAAATTATTTCTTTTTGCAGGCCCTAGGCAAAATATAAGAGTCACATAACCTAGGTAATGGATGAAAAGATATGTCATAATACTTCTGAGGGCAGAGCTGGAAAAAATTGTTGCATCACCGAGGATTTGGACTCAGCTATATGTAACAATACCCAATGTATGGAAAGGTCCAGGAAAAGTAGGAGAATAACATTACTTAAATGTTGAGCCCTGTGATATGTTACACACTCTTTTCAAGGTAGGTCCCATGTCGAAGAGTTACATCTAGCTGATGCTAGATGAGGGGCTGGAAATATATTGAAATGCTTTCTTTAGGTAGGGCTCAGAAAGAAGAGGATAATCACATAACCTAGGGGCTGTACCTAGAAATATATTACAATTACCCTTTTGAATGGAAACCAGTCACTGGGAGAGTGTCGCATCACTTAGGTGCCGGGCTAAGTGATTTGTAATGATTTCCACTGTGGAAAGGGCCCACTTAGAAAAAGAGAGTCAGATCACCCAAGTGATGGGCTCACAGATATTTCACAATAATACCTTAAGGTAGTTCCCAGCAGAATAATTATATCATCTATTTCCTGGTTCTAGCAATAAGTCACTCTCCCTTCAAGGGTCAGGCAAATTTAAGAAAGTCAAATCACATCGGCGCTGAGAACAGAAATATCAGAATTCCTCTTATGTACAAAGTCCAGGTATGAAAAGAGAATAATGTAAAATAGGTTGTGGGCCATGAGACATATTACTATGCTGTGTGAGCTGGGTCCAGACAGGACACCAACATCACCTTTGTTCTGGGCTTAACAATATGTCACAATGCCTTCTGAGGGTAGGGCCAAGCCAAAAGAGTAACATCACTTCGGTGTTGAACCAAGTGATATGTTACAATATCTTCTGGGAGCACAACCTAGGAAGAAAAGAAAAGTAACATCAGCTAGGCTCTGGATCCAATGATGTGTTACAGGTTGTGTGTGTGTGTGCGTGTGTGTGCAGAAATCAGGAAAAGAAGTAAGTCACATCATCTGGACATCATAATGTCATTTGTAGATAGGCCTCAATTGGGAGAGTTATTAATATATTACATACATGGTGGACCCCGCAATATTTTACAATAGTCCTGTGGGCAGAACCTTGCTAGGAGAGTCATATAACCTGTATGCAGTATTCAGTGATATATCCTAATGCTCTTTGAAGGTGGCACCAAGGAAGAAGACTCATAGTCACATCACACAGTTGCTAACCCAAGTGATATGTGACTATGCCTCTAGTGGATGGCAACAAGGTAGGTGAATAAAGTCACTTCAGCTACCTATGTTCTGGCTCCAGCAATATATCAGAATACCATCTGTGGACTGGGCCGAGGCAGGAGAGCAAATGCACTCAGAGGCTGAAAAACACTATATGTCACAATTGCAACTAATGGAAAATAGAGATAAAATTAAGAATCCTACATATATCTCAGTTATAGATAGGAAAGTCAATGCTTCCTGTATGCTGGGTAAGTACATGAGTCACAGTCTATGCAGTGCACAGGTTCCATGCATGAAAGCGTCAATCACAACTCCTGACTGTGCTTCTTTGTGACTGTGTAGAGTCACAGCTTCAGTGTGTTAAATCTTGGTCTGAGGTCACAATCTCACCTGTGAACTGGATTCACATGTGAGAGACAATTTTGCAACTTTCCACAGCCTCTTGGTAAGACATTTAGAACCTCAACAGTGGGATGTGTTCATACAAAAAGATAACAATCTTTGCTATCTGCTGGGTGTGCATAGGAGAGTCACAATCCTGCCTCTGTATTGTGTTCTGTTAGGATGCTTTTTGTACCACTTGAGAACTTTATATGGTATTCATGAGAGTCCAAATTTGCTCTGATACTTTGGTGCTGTTATGAATGCATAATCTTACCTGCTGATCTAAGCCCAGATATGAGACTCAACAGCTCTCCAGTTGCCTTTATTTGAGAGTTCCTCAACATGCGTATGAGCAGAGTTAGTCACGATCTCAACCAAATGTTCACATGTGACTACCGTAATTTTCTACTGTGGACTATGTTTTATGTAATTCAGGATTTCACCAGTGATCTCTGTCTACATGTGAGGGGACAATCCTAACGGTTGATGGGTTTTGTCTATGAAAGACACATTCTCACCTATGTGCTGAGCCCTGTGATGATACATTTTACCACCATGGGCTTTATAACATATGAGAAAGTGGTAATTTTCTGTGACCTTCACAGAAATAGGAGGTCCAGGTTCTTACATGCTTTTCTCAGCTAAATATGAGAGATAGTATCTCTTGCATTGCCTGGTTCAAGGCAAAAAAATCATCTGTGATGATGCCATGGTATATGTTAAAATTCCACCTGTGGGCAAAAAGTGAGCAGGAGAGTCACCTGAGTGGTGAGCCAGGGATATATCCAAATCTTTCCTGAGGACAGGGACAAGGTAAAAAAGTCAAATCACCTGGGTGTTTGGCCAGAGATTTTTTACAATCCTTTCCTGAAAGTAAGTCACAGGCAGCAGAATCACATTACCCTAATCCTGGGACTAGTGATGTTATAATGTTCACTGTAGACAAGACCCAGGTAGGGGAGTCACATCACTTGGTTGCTGGGGCCAGCAAATATATCGCAATTGTTCTTGTGTGTGGAAATGCAGGCAGAATAGGAGAGTCACATCATCTAGATGTTGGGTGAAGAGATATATCATAAAGCTTTCTGTGTGCAAGGCAGAGGCAAGAGCATTTCATCCTTTAGGTGCTGGATCAAATGATATGTCACAATTTGCTCAATGTATTTCAGACCCAGCCAAGGGAAAATAGTCACATCACCTAGGTGCTGGGTCCAGTGATATAGCACAATACTCATCACCCCTTGGCTTTATTTAAACAGAATCCAGACAAAAGAGAACAAACACATCATTTTGGTAATGAACAAAAAAGGTATTTTATAACACTCCTGTAGGCAGGATTTGGGCAGGAGAGTCACATAAACTAGATGCAGGGCCAAATGATATGTCACAAAGTACTCTATGGGCAGCACCAAAACAGGAGAAAAACTTGTATCACATGGATAAAATGTCTAGCAATATGTCACAATCCTTCCTTTTGCCATGGCCCAGGCAGAAGATGAAAGCCACATCAAATAAATGATGGATCAGCAGATACATCATAATATACCTTTAGGAGGGCCAGGCAACAGAGGAACATTGCTCAGGTGTCATACCCAGCAATATGTCACAGTACCTTGTGTATTCAGGCCACAAGCAAGAGGAGAGAGTCACATTACTTACATTCTGAGACACGTGATAGATTCCAATTTTTCTTGTGGTCAGGGCCCAGCAGTAGAGAGTCACATCATGTAAGTGCTGGGTTTGCCATATTTTTACCATTTAAGAGCAGGACCCAGTTAGGAATGTTACATGTCCTAGATGACAGGCCCAAAAATATGTTGCAATTTCACCTATTGATAAAACTTAGGGAAAAAAAGGAGGGTCATATTATGAGCTCTATACCTAGTTATATGTCACAATGCCGTCTCTTGGAAGGGCACAAGCAGAAGAGGAGAGTAACATTACCTAGGTTCTGGGTTCAGTGATACATCACAGTCCATCTTGTGGGAAGAGCCCAGGTAGGAAAGGAGAGTCAAATCACTTTGGTATTGGGCCACAGATCATCATAATGTAATTGTAGGCAGGATCAAAGCAGAAAAGTCACAACACCTTGTTACTGAGTCCAGCAATATATCACATTGACCCATGAAAACAAGGATTAATGTGACCTCATTGTGACATAAACTAGGAGCTGGACACAGCTATTTTTCACAATCATATCTATGAGCAGTGCACAGAAATGAAAGGAGTATATATTACCTCAGTTCTGGAACAATGCAATATGTCACAATCCTGACTGTGGACAGGGCCAAGGTGGAGCAGGAGAGTCACATCACCTAGGTGGTGGGCCCAAAGATACATCACAAAAACTCCTGTGGGCTAAACTCAGGCAAGAGAGTCACATCACATGTGTGCTGTGCTCAGCAATTAGTCACTATCCCTTCTGTGGGAAAACCCCAAGCAAAAGAGAAGTGTTAAATCACTTACTTGCTGGGCCCAGAAATATATCAAAATTTCTTTATTTCTTTCTTTCTTTATTTTTTTTCAAGTTCTTTTCTTTTAATTTTCTTTTTTATTTTTCCACTTTTTTTTTTATTATACTTTAAGTTCTAGGGTACATGTGCACATTGTGCAGGTTAGTTACATATGTATACATGTGCCATGCTGGTGCGCTGCACCCACTAATGTGTCATCTAGCATTAGGTATATCTCCCATTGCTATCCCTCCCCCCTCCCCCGACCCCACCACAGTCCCCAGAGTGTGATATTCCCCTTCCTGTGTCCATGTGATCTCACTGTTCAATTCCCACCTATGAGTGAGAATATGTGGTGTTTGCTTTTTTGTTCTTGCGATAGTTTACTGAGAATGATGATTTCCAATTTCATCCATGTCCCTACAAAGGACATGAACTCATCATTTTTTATGGCTGCGTAGTATTCCATGGTTTATATGTGCCACATTTTCTTAATCCAGTCTATCATTGTTGGACATTTCGGTTGGTTCCAAGTCTTTGCTATTGTGAATAGTGCCACAATAAACATACGTGTGCATGTGTCTTTATAGCAGCATGATTTATAAACCTTTGGGTATATACCCAGTAATGGGATGGCTGGGTCAAATGGTATTTCCAGTTCTAGATCCCTGAGGAATTGCCACACTGACTTCCACAATGGTTGAACTAGTTTACAGTCCCACCAACAGTGTAAAAGTGTTCCTACTTCTCCACATCCTCTCCAGCACCAGTTGTTCCCTGACTTTTTAATGATGGCCATTCTAAGTGGTGTGAGATGGTATCTCATTGTGGATTTGATTTGTATTTCTCTGATGGCCAGTGATGATGAGCATTTTTTCATGTGTTTTTTTGCTGCATAAATATCTTCTTTTGAGAAGTGTCTGTTCATATCCTTCACCCAGTTTTTGATGGGGTTGTTTGTTTTTTTCTTTTAAATTTGTTTGAGTTCATTGTAGATTCTGGATATTAGCCCTTTTTCAGATGAGTAGGTTGCGAAAATTTTCTCCCATTTTGTAGGTTGCCTGTTCACTCTGATGGTAGTTTCCTTTGTTGTGAAGAAGCTCTTTAGTTTAATTAGATCCCATTTGTCAATTTTGGCTTTTGTTGCCATTGCTTTTGGTGTTTTAGACATGAAGACCTTGCCCATGCCTATGTCCTGAATGGTACTGCCTAGGTTTTCTTCTGTGGTTTTTATGGTTTTAGATCTAACGTTTAACTCTTTAATCCATCTTGAATTAACTTTTGTATAAGGTGTAAGAAAGGGATCCAGTTTCAGCTTTCTACATATGACTAGCTAGTTTTCCCAGCACCATTTATTAAATAGGAAATCCTTTCCCCATTGTTTGCTTTTCTCAGGTTTGTCAAAGATCAGATAGTTGTAGATATGTGGCATTATTTCTGAGGGCTCTGTTCTGTTCCATTGATCTATATTTCTGTTTTGGTACCAGTACCATGCTGTTTTGGTTACTGTAGCCTTGTAGTACTGTTTGAAGTCAGGTAGTGTGATGCCTCCAGCTTTGTCCTTTTGGCTTGGGATTGACTTGGTGATGCAGGCTCTTTTTTGGTTCCATATGAACTTTAAAGTAGTTTTTTCCAATTCTGTGAAGAAAGGCATTGGTAGCTTGATGGGGATGGAATTGAATCTTTAAATTACCTTGGGCAGTATGGCCATTTTCACAATATTGATTCTTCCTACCCATGAGCATGGAATGTTCTTCCATTTCTTTGTATCCTCTTTTATTTCCTTGAGCAATGGTTTGTAGTTCTCCTTGAAGAGGTCCTTCACATCCCTTGTAAGTTGGATTCCTAGGTATTTTATTCTCTTTGAAGCAATTGTGAATGGGAGTTCACTCATGATTTGGCTCTCTGTTTGTCTGTTGTTGGTGTATAAGAATGCTTACGATTTCTGTACTTTGATTTTGTATCCTGAGACTTTGCTGAAGTTGCTTATCAGTTTAAGGAGATTTTGGGCTGAGACAATGGGGTTTTCTAGATATACAATCATGTCGTCTGCAAACGGGCAATTTGACTTCCTCTTTTCTTAACTAAATATCCTTCATTTCCTTCTCCTGCCTAATTGCCCTGGCCAGAACTTCCAACACTATGTTGAATAGGAGTGGTGAGAGAGGGCGTCCCTGTCTTGTGCAAGTTTTCAAAGGGAATGCTTCCAGTTTTTGCCCATTCAGTATGATATTGGCTGTGGGTTTTTCATAGATAACTCTTATTATTTTGAAATACATCCCATCAATACCTAATTTATTGAGAGTTTTTAACATGAAGTCTTGTTGAATTTTTTCAAAGGTCTTTTCTACATCTATTGAGATAATCATGTGGTTTTTGTCTTTGGCTCTGTTTATATGCTGGATTACATTTATTGATTTGCATATATTGAACCAGCCTTGCATCCCAGGGATGAAGCCCACTTGATCATGGTGGATAAGCTTTTTGATGTGCTGCTGGATTCCTTTTGCCAGTATTTTATTGAGGATTTTTGCATCAATGTTCATCAAGGATATTGGTCTAAAATTCTCTTTTTTGGTTGTGTCTCTGCCCAGCTTTGGTATCAGAATGGTGCTGGCATCATAACATGAGATAGTGAGGATTCCCTCTTTTTCTATTGATTGGAATAGTTTCAGAGGGAATGGTACCAGTTCCTCCTTGTACCTCTGGAAGAATTCGGCTGTGAATCCGTCTGTTCCTTGACTCTTTTTGGTTGATAAGCTATTGATTATAGCCACAATTTCAGATCCTTTTATCAGTCTATTCAGAGATTCAACTTCTTCCTGGTTTAGTCTTGGGAGAGTGTATGTGTCAAGGAATTTATCAATTTCTTCTAGATTATCTAGTTTATTTGCATAGAGGTGTTTGTAGTATTCTCTGATGGTAGTTTGTATTTCTGTGAGATCAGTGGTGATATCCCCTTTATCATTTTTATTGCGTCTATTTGATTCTTCTCTCTCTTTTTCTTTATTAGTCTTGCTAGCGGTTTATCTATTTTGTTGATCCTTTCAAAAAACCAGCTCCTGGATCCATTAATTTTTTGAAGGGTTTTTTGTGTCTCTATTTCCTTCAGTTCTGCTCTGATTTTAGTTATTTCTTGCCTTCTGCTAGCTTTTGAATGTGTTTGCTCTTGCTTTTCTAGTTCTTTTACTTGTGATGTTAGGGTGACAATTTTGGATCTTTCCTGCTTTCTCTTGTGGGCATTTAGTGCTATAAATTTCCCTCTACACACTGCTTTGAATGCGTCCCAGAGATTCTGGTGTGTTGTGTCTTTGTTCTTGTTGGTTTCAAAGAACGTCTTTATTTCTGCCTTCATTTCGTTATGTACCCAGTAGTCATTCAGGAGCAGGTTGTTCAGTTTCCATGTAGTTGAGGAGTTTTGAGTGAGATTCTTAATCCTGAGTTCTAGCTTGATTACACTGTGGTCTGAGAGTTAGTTATAATTTCTGTTCTTTTACATTTGCTGAGGAGAGCTTTACTTCCAAGTGTGTGGTCAATTTTGGAATAGGTGTGGTGTGGTGCTGAAAAAAAGTATATTCTGTTGATTCGGGGTGGAGAGTTCTGTAGATGTCTATTAGGTCCACTTGGTGCAGAGCTGAGTTCAATTCCTGGGTATCCTTGTTGACTTTCTGTCTCATTGATCTGTCTAATATTGACAGTGGGGTGTTAAAATCTCCCATTATTAATGTGTAGGAGTCTAAGTCTCTTTGTAGGTCACTCAGGACTTGCTTTATGAATCTGGGTGCTCCTGTATTGGGTGCATATATATTTAGGATAGTTAGCTCTTCTTGTTGAATTGATCACTTTACCATTATGTAATGGCCTTCTTTGTCTCTCTTGATCTTTGTTGGTTTAAAGTCTATTTTATCAGAGACTAGGATTGCAACTCCTGTCTTTTTTTGTTTTCCATTTGGTTGGTAGATCTTCCTCCATCCTTTTATTTTGAGTCTGTGTGTGTTTCTGCACGTGAATTGGGTTTCCTGAATACAGCACACAGATGGGTCTTGACTCTTTATCCAATTTGCCAGTCTGTGTCTTTTAATTGGAGCATTTAGTCCATTTACATTTAAAGTTAATATTGTTGTGTGTGAATTTGATGCTGTCATTATGATGTTAGCTGGCCATTTTGCGCATTAGTTGATGCAGTTTCTTCCTAGTCTCGATGGTCTTTACATTTTGGCATGATTTTGTAGCGGCTGGTACCGGTTGTTCCTTTCCATGTTTAGCACTTCCTTCAGGAGCTCTTTTAGGGCAGGCCTGGTGGTGACAAAATCTCTCAGCATTTGCTTGTCTGTAAAGTATTTTACTTCTCCTTCACTTATGAAGCTTAGTTTGGCTGGATATGAAATTCTGGGTTGAAAATTCTTTTCTTTAAGAATGTTGAATATTGACCCCCACTCTCTTCTGGCTTGTAGGGTTTCTGCCGAGAGATCCGCTGTTAGTCTGATGGGCTTCCCTTTGAGGGTAACCCGACCTTTCTCTCTGGCTGCCCTTAACATTTTTTCCTTCTTTTCAACTTTGGTGCATCTGACAATTATGTGTCTTGGAGTTGCTCTTCTCGAGGAGTATCTTTGTGGCGTTCTCTGTATTTCCTGAATCTGAACGTTGGCCTGCCTTGCTAGATTGGGGAAGTTCTCCTGGATAATATCCTGCAGAGTGTTTTCCAACTTGGTTCCATTCTCCCCATCACTTTCAGGTACACCAATCAGACATAGATTTGGTCTTTTCACATAGTCCCATATTTCTTGGAGGCTTTGCTCATTTCTTTCTATTCTTTTTTCTCTAAACTTCCCTTCTCACTTCTTTTCATTCATTTCATCTTCCATCGCTGATACCCTTTCTTCCAGTTGATCGCATTGGCTCCTGAGGCTTCTGCATTCTTCTAGTAGTTCTGGAGCCTTGGTTTTCAGCTCCATCAGCTCCTTTAAGCACTTCTCTGTATTGGTTATTCTAGTTGTACATTCTTCTGAATTTTTTTCAAAGTTTTCAACTTCTTTGCCTTTGGTTTGAATGTCCTTCCGTAGCTCAGAGTAATTTGATCGTCTGAAGACTTCTTCACTCAGTTCGTCAAAGTCATTCTCCATCCAGCTTTGTTCCGTTGCTGGTGAGGAACTGCGTTCCTTTAGAGGAGGAGAGGCGCTCTGCTTTTTAGAGTTTCTAGTTTTTCTGTTCTGTTTTTTTCCCCATCTTTGTGGTTTTATCTACTTTTGGTCTTTGATGATGGTGATGTACAGATGGGTTTTTGGTGTGGATGTCCTTTCTGTTTGTTAGTTTTCCTTCCAACAGACAGGACCCTCAGCTGCAGGTCTGTTGGAGTACCCTGCCGTGAGAAGTGTCAGTGTGCCCCTGCTGGGGGGTGCCTCCCAGTTAGGCTGCTCGGGAGTCAGGGGTCAGGGACCCACTTGAGGAGGCAGTCTGCCCATTCTCAGATCTCCAGCTCTGTACTGGGAGAACCGCTGCTCTCTTCAAAGCTGTCAGACAGGGCCATTTAAGTCTGCAGAGGTTAATGCTGTCTTTTTGTTTGTCTGTGCCCTGCCCCCAGAGGTGGAGCCTACAGAGGCAGGCAGGCCTCCTTGAGCTGTGGTGGGCTCCACCCCGTTGGAGCTTCCGGGCTGCTTTGTTTACCTAAGCAAGCCTGGGCAATGGTGGGCGCCCCTCCCCTAGCCTCGCTGCTGCCTTGCAGTTTGATCTCAGACTGCTGTGCTAGCAATCAGCGAGACTCCGTCGGCATAGGACCCTCGGAGCCAGGTGCGGGATTTAATCTCGTGGTGCGCCGTTTTTTAAGCCTGTCGGAAAAGCGCAGTATTAGGGTGGGAGTGACCCGATTTTCCAGGTGCCGTCTATCACCCCTTTCTTTGACTAGGAAAGGGAACTCCCTGACCCCTTGTGCTTCCCGAGTGAGGCAATGCCTCACCCTGCTTCGGCTCATGCAAGGTGTGTGCACCCACTGACTTGTGCCCACTCTCTGGCACTCCCTAGTGAGATGAACCCGGTACCTCAGAGGCAAATGCAGAAATCACCCTTCTTCTGGGTCGCTCATGCTGGGAGCTGTAGACCGGAGCTCTTCGTATTCGGCCATCTTGGCTCCTCCCTGGCTCAGTTTTTTTTAAAAGACAAAACCCTTTACTTATTAAAGGGAAGAGTGAGCTTTCCAAATGATCTGTCTCTTGTTTTTTTCTTCACTTCTTGATAGTCTGTTCACAAAGCAAACAAAAATTTTTTATTATTTATATATTTATTTACTTATTTATTTTTGAGACAGGATCTCTCTCTGTCACCCAGGCTGGAGTGCAGTGGCATGATCTTGGCTCACTGTAATCTTCACTTCCTGGGTTCAAGCAATTCTCCTGCCTCAGCCTCCTGAGTAGCTGAGACTACAGGTGACCACCGCCATGCCTGGCTAATTTTTGTACTTTCATTAGAGATGAGGTTTCACCATATTGGCCAGACTGGTCTCAGACTCCCAACCTCAGGTGATCTGCCCACCTCGGCCTCCCAAAGTGTTGGGATTACAGGTGTTAACATTACATGAAAATATTGCTGAGAGAGAACAAAATTTTATCCATCCATTAGTCTATTATTCATGTCATCCCATTTTTTTAAATGAAACGTTATATGCAAATGTATTCAATTTTTATCCGTTTGACAGTGAGGTGAAATTCTTACAAGCCTTTTATAAACCTGTAGAAATATTCGTTAAAAAGCAGATCAGTGCAATAAGAAATGCTTGGCTTCCAATGTTCAATGTATGGGAAAACCAAATAATATCTTTTTGAATTTAGTCAGTATGTTTATACACATAATTTATTTTACAAGATTAAGTTTTACAAGCCATCCACTACTTGTTTTCACTTTTGCTTTATCTTATCTAATTTAACATAATCCTTTAGCTTCAAACTAGGCAAAAATTTATATTCCCATGCCATCTTATAATGTTTTACTAAAAACATATTTACTTTCCTTGTACACATTGCATGTAAATTTACTTTCAGTAGTCTCAGTTATATGTTATAATGGTAACTCTTAGCAATTTTTAATTTTGATGTAAAACCTGATAAGTTACTTTAAGTATGTAGTAGATGCAGATAAGGCCAGACTATTTCCAGCATAGTTAGGGTGTTGTTAACTTCATATGTCCCCAGGCCTTACCCAAACTGTAAAGAAAACAAGTTAAAAATTTTCAAAAGACAAAGAAGCCCCTTTGACCTCAAAGCACTTAGCAAACCTAGTTTCTGACCTGCATAATTTATACCACATGTGCACATTATGAGACATTCTTATTTTACCGATAATCTTAAATTCAAAGATCAAAGTCATATGAGCTAAAAGCATTATAGCTTTATTTTCTTTAAAAATATTTTATTTAGGTTATTATTTTCTCCTTAAGCCAATCAATTAAAACTCATTTTAATATAAACATTATACATAGAACACACATATAACTACACAAACAGACAAGAGATAATACAGTCATTGCAAGACCTTTTTTTTATTGCCAATCTCCTGAATGGACTACTGGTTACAGGGTGGATCTCTCCAAGAAACAAAAGCTGATTTTGAGAGGAATCTTCTCCTTTTAATTTCTGGGGTTCTGGAGTTCTATGAAAAACACCCTCATGTGGCACCCTTTTGTCCAAAACTTTGGTTTGAAAACCTAAAAGGCAAAGCTGAATCTGAGTGACCCAGAGGCAGATGATGGTGTAGGCCTCGGGCCACTTTCGTGGAACAAGAGGGACCAGGGAGATCTTTACTTTGAGGTAAAAGCAGGAGGATTAATGAGTGCACTCAGATGCAGTGGACTTAACATCCAAACACTGGGCCCAGAACAAAGACAGCACTTGACTTTTACATACATTTTAAAAGGGGGTGTGGGCTAGCTTGCAGTAGGCTTACAGTGGCATGAAAGCAAGCATACAGAAACAGAACAAAGACAGTTAATCAAATTGTGACAGTTTCATAACTCAGAATTACACATGACAGTTCCTAGGGAGAGAAAAGAAGTTTTGAAATTGGGGAACTGCCAAAAAAAACCCACCTGTACCCTCACATGGAAAAACTACGTTGAATCCTGACATGGTGGAGGAAAAAAGCACTTAACTGCAGGGGTGCTCTTCCAAGGCAGCCCCCTTTTTAGCAGCAGTCAGTATTTGATTAAAAGGTAATATAACATTCTTTCCAGGAGAGTTCAAATACTTAGATTAAATTCTGGAAGGCTTCCATATACCTGTCAAGGTCATCTGAAAACTTGTTGAGTTCACACCTAATTTGCCTTAAGTCATATAGAGTAAAGGAGACCTTGATTTTAGTGGGTCCATATTCACCAGACATCTGTTGTAGGGACAGAAGACAAAGACCTGCCTAAAATGAGAATTTCTAGAATGGAACAAATTTGAGAGAAAACCTGAATAGGAAGGAATGGAGAGAGTTGACTACCCCACTGAAGGTACCTCTTGGGTTTGCTTCCCTAAGTCCCTGAATTTTTCCCTTGCAGCCTCTCCTGATGTGGCCACCAGGAGGGCCAAATTAATCCTACAATGTTGGCAAAGGTCTAGATAACCCTGCAAGGTAAAGAAAGTCTGCACGTATGGGATCTTGGACCATTTGCCTTCACATTTACAGAGAAAGTCCAGCTTCAGGATGGTATTTAAATTAATGCTTTTTTCCTGAGGTCTTACTTCTTTTCTGTGCCTGAAGGTGCTTGGCAATATAGCTGCAGGATGGTATTGAAATTAATGCTTTTTTCTTGAGGCCATGCTTCTTATCTGTGTCTGAAGGTGCTTGGAAAAATTTGACAACCAAGGAAATGACAAGAAAGTTTTCACCACAAACTTATGTATAAATACCAAGAAACACTTTTTTTAATCTGTGCTACTCTTAACCTTCCATTTTCTACTCCTGATGACTAAACCAAATTCTCATTCTATCGGGTAATGTACCTGTGGTTTGCAACAACATTCTTAAGATTGTAGGTAGAGAAGAAAATCACAGCCACAGCAGTCAAGGAAGGAAAGAACGAAGGAAGGAAGGAAGGAAGAAGGTAGGAAGGAAGGAAGGAAGGAAGGAAGGAAGAAGGAAGGAAGGAAGGAAGGAAGGAAGGAAGGAAGGAAGGAAGGAGGGAAGGAAGAAAATGGAGGGTGGGAGGGAGGTTAATAAAAAAGGCTGAAGGCAACAAGAAGGTGAGAAGGGCTGTGACCCTCTGGGGAGGGCCAACACATTGTATCAACACATTGAGGGGCTGTTTACTGGAGTCAGTCAAGGTATGGCCTTGGCCAGATGTATTCAGTTGCCCTAATACCTTATTCTGATTCCACACAATGGCTAGAACTCTGTAAAGGTAAACTGATTTGAAAAAAAGAGAAAAAAGCCAACATTCCCAACACCTGAGGGTTATGGGGGATTAACAGTGTTTTCCTCAGCAAGCCTGTCCTCCCTGTCTTAAGTCAGGCAGCTTTGCCAGTTGCTTTTAACTGACAAACAGAGGACCTGTATTTTTCTTTTATTTTTGGCTATTGTGATGTTTAGGACAGAAAGCAACAAGTTTGCTTTTATTTGCCATTCTACAAATCCCAGATGAGTCTGCCAAAGGATTTTTGGAGTGTTGCTTTATCATCTAGAAATCTCCGTGACTGGTGGTACCTTCTGCCTGAGTATCACTCAGGTACCTTCTGCCTGAGTATCACTCATGCCACTTGGCTTGTTCTGCCCATTAAGCCCAGCAGGCTGTGCTTAAGTTGCACTGCTGGCCCAGATTCCACACCTGCTACATCAATCCAGCCATGAAGTGGCAAGGGATATGTAAGTGAGCACACATGGGGTCCTGCTGTGGCAGGACAGGCAGCTCCTGGTGCTGGCACATGTGCCAGCTCTGTGCAAGGCTGTAGCTACATGTATTTACATGTAGTTACATGTATACTGCATGTAACTTTCACTGTGGGCACCCACGTTTAGACAAGGGGAACATGGCCACCAAAAGCTTGGAGATGCCAGAAACCACAGAGGCCAAAGAGATTTTACAGCCCTGGCTTGTGAAGACCCTTGGTCTGGGCTTCCCAGAGGGCCACCTATTTTCTCACCTTCTTGTTACCTGCAACATGGTGAGTGGAAGTGGATGTGTTTTAGTCATTTATGTTACAGCCGTTTTAATCCCACCACTCAGCGGGTCCCAGGTTCTTGTCCTGCATCCAGGAAGAGTAAGTAATGAGAATAACTGGAGAGTGAGCAAGGCAGTGAGGAGATTCACTGAGTAATGGAACAACTCTCCAGAGACCTGAAATGGATAGTTTCTTTCAGCAGGCAGGTCATCCTGACAGGTGTCCAGCTCTCAGCAGAGAGGAGACCCACAATATGTATATCCTTTTGGTGGGCATATTGTCCCAATGTCTGTTCTAGTCTGGTGGAGTCTGGGGTTTTTATGGGCTCAGCATGGAGAAAGTGCATGCTGACTGGTCCATGGATGGTCATGGGTGGGCCCAGAAAAAGCATCATAAGTTCTCACTCTGGGTTGCTGACTCCACCCAAAGTTTATAAGTAAGCCCAACCCCCCACTTCAGGCTGTTCCTTGTTTGAAGGTGGAGTTTCACGGGAGATCCACTCCTTTCCACCCAGTAACCCGTCTGCCTCCCATCATGAACATACCATTCCCGCCATGCAGGCTGTTCATGCCAACAGGTGCTTGTAGACCCACACCAAGCTGCCCTTAGCCTCCCTGGACTCTCTCTCATGCTTGTCAGTGCCCAAAGTTTGGAGGGTGTTAAGGCTACAAGAGTCTAGCATGTCAGCACCACCCTGTGTGTGCAAACTTGGCCAGGTTATAATGGCACCCAGCCGCAGCCACAATTTTCCTCCAAAATCAGAGCAGACACCAGGAGTGGAGAAATGCCAGACAGTGGGAGCAGGCCCTACTGAACCTGCAGGAAAAAAGAGGGAAACCCTCATCCCTCAAGAGTACCTGGATTCCTGGATCTGGATCTGTGGCTGGACAGCTGCAGCTGTGCCCAGGAGCATGGGACTTCCACCCCTCTAACTTGGTAAAAGGTGAGGTTCCCACATATCCTTGGCTCTCACTGGCTCCATGAAGCATGCAACCCCTGCCATACATCCTCATGAAGCTGGTGCCTTCACATAAACAACACCACATGGGCCACCACTGCCATCACTGGGTCCAGCAATATCTCACAACATCCCCTGAGTGGAGGGACCATGCAGATAGGTCACATTACCTAGGTAAACTCCTTACAGATATGACACAATGTCCTCCCTGGATAGGACCCAGAAAGAGGAGGAGAGTCACATATCTTAGGGGCTGGACCCAGCTCTATGCCACATTTTCCCACATGGGTGTGGCCCAGGCATGAGATGAGAATCATATAACCTATGTGCTAGGGTTGGCAATATGTCACAATACTCCCTGAGTAAAGGGCTCAGGCATGAGAGCCACATCACCTAGGTGAAGGCTCAGAGATATGTCACTATGTACTCTGTGGGCAGGGCTTAATAAGAAACGGACAGTCACATATCCTAGGGGCTAGGCCAAACAACACGTTATGATCCCCACTGTGAACAAGTCCTAAAAAGGAAATGAGAGTCATACCATCTAGGAAATGACCACACCAATAAGTGACAATGACCGCTGTGAGTAGGGACCAGGTGACATAGCACATCATCTGTGTGCAGGTCCCAGTGACAACTCATTGTCCTTTCCGTGGACATGGACTAAGCAACAGAGGAGAGTTGAATTATCTATCTAGGTGTTGGGCCAAGAGATATGTAACAATCTCTCCTATGGGGAAAGCCAAGTAAGAGAAAAGAGTTATGCCAAATAGTTTATGGGCCCAGGATATGTCACAATGCCCCATCTAAGCAGGGCCAGGCATCAGATTGACATTACCTTGGTGCTGAGCCCACATATATGTCACATTGCAATCAGAGAATAGGTTCCAGAAACAAGAGTAATGGTACCTTTCAGTTGAGCCCAGTGATATGTCACTGTCTGTCCTTAGAACAGAACCTAGGAAGAAGTCACATCAGCTAGGTGTTTGGCCAAATATGTCACAATTTCCCCTAGGCAGAAGAAGACAGTCAGATCACCTGGGTGATGGGTGCAGAGCTATGCCATAATGCCCTCTGTATGCAGGGTTCAGGCAGGAGGGTTATATTGTCTCAGAGCTGGACCAAGCAATATGACACAGTGGCCCATGGTGGCAAGACCAGGCAGGAGACTTACATTATCTGGGTGTGGAATGCAGAGATATGTCAAAATTCCACCAGTGAAGAGCACCAAGGCAGGAGAGGAGACTCATATCAACTAAAGAGTAAGCCCAGTGGTATGTCACAATGTCCTTTGTGGGCAATACCAACGAATAAAAACAGAGTCACATCCCCGAAGTGCTGGGCTCAGCGATTTGAAGCAAAACCATCTGTGGGCTTAGCCCACACAGGACACTCAAATCACTAAGGTGCTAGACAGAAGCATGTCACAATGGTACCTGCAGGAGGCTTTAAGTGATGGTACTAATGATCCCACAAATGTCTTGATTTCATGCATGAGGGTGAATTTTCTTGTATGTTGGATCTAAGTATACTAGTCACAATCTCAATAGTGGACTTAATCTGGCCATAAAAGCCTCAACCTCTCCTGCAGACTTTGTCTCCTTCAGGGAGCCACAGCCACACACAGCACACACAGTGTGCTGAATTTTTGTTTGAGGGTGACCAACCTAACCATGGACTGGAATGATGTATGAGAGTAAGTTTTTAAACTTTTGACTGCCTTTTGACTGCAAACTTTTGGCTGTTAGATATAAAACCTCATCAATGGGCCGCGTTCCCGTGGGAGAATGAAAATCTTTGCTGTTGGCTGGATGTGCATATGAATGCACAATTCCACCTGTGTGCTGGGTTCCATAAACTTTCTACACTATCTGAAAGCTTTATACAATATAAATGAGAGTCTGGGCTGGGTGCAGTGGCTCGTGCCTGTAATCCCAGCACTTTGGGAGGTCGAAGTGGATGGATCACCTGAGGTCAGTAGTTCAAGACCAGCCTGGCCATCATGGTGAAACTCCATCTCTACTAAACATACCAAAATTTAGCTAGGTGTAGTGTTGGGTGCCTGCAATCCCAACTACTCAGAAGGCTGAGACAGGAGAATCACTTGAACCCGGGAGGCAGAGGTTGCAGTGAGCCAAGATCATACCATTGCACCCGAGCCTGGGCAACAAGATTGAAACTCTGTCCTGAAAGAAAAGAAAAAATAAAAAAGAGTCTCGATGTGTTCTGAAGCCTTTTTACTGGTATGGACACATAAACTCAGCTGTGTCCAGCACAGATATGAGAGTCAACGTCTCTCCAATTGACTCGGTCCTCTCTCCAATTGACTTGGTCCAAATAAGAGGGTCTTTACCTGCCTGTGAGCTGGGTTTAGAAATAGGTTATATTTCAACTGTGGCTATATGTTCACATATGACAGTCACAGTTTTAACTGTGGACTCTTTCTGCATGTGATATTCAGAACCCCCACAATGGATTGTGAGAATGACTATTATAATGCCAACTTTATCAGTTGGCAATGTGCAAACATAAGAAACCCGATTGTGGCCAGGTGCAGTGGCTCACATCTGTAATCTCAGCACTTTGGGAGGCTGAGGCTGGCAGAGCATCTGAGTTCAGGAGTTTGAGACCAGCCTGGCCAATATGGTAAAACCCCGCCTCTACTAAAAATCCAAAAAAAAAAAAAAAAAAAAAAAAAAAAAAAAAATTAGCCAGGCATTTTGGTGTATGGCTGCAATCCCAGCTACTTGCAAAGCTGAGGCAGGAGAATCACTTGCAACATGGGAGTCAGAGTTTGCAGTGACCTGAGGTCACACCATTGCACTCT
This sequence comes from Homo sapiens, assembly GCF_000001405.40. NCBI lineage: Eukaryota > Metazoa > Chordata > Mammalia > Primates > Hominidae > Homo > Homo sapiens. The sequence goes on from NC_000024.10 coordinate 21,019,722, forward strand.
AGCCTGGGTGATAAGAGTGAAACTCCATCTCAAAAAGGAAAAGAAAATAAAAGAAAAAACACAATCTCAACTACGCACCAGGATTCATGATGACACTCTCTGTACCAAATAAGAACTTTATACTACGTACTAGAGAGTGGTAATCTTCTATGACCTTCATATATACATGCTCTCTGGTTATTTTCCAGACTTGTTGACCTCTCTTCATAGTGTTATTGGTCTCCATATTTCCATTTTCTTTCCTCAGTGGCTGATACTGATTAATCAGTAATCTCAGAACCTGTTTGGCATGTAGCATGCAGCATATGAGAATAAGTGTCTATTGTCAGTTCTGGGTCTAGCGTACCTTTAACTGTAGCAGTTTCTATGTGACCGACTACATTTACAACATAAGCTGAATTACAGACAATGTTGGTAGGATCTGCAGCTGTGAGCTGTAAAATCTGAATGACTGCAGTTAGCACTGAGAATTGAGCTGAAGCCCCAGAGGGCATTATTGTTTGAGTATGTTTAGGTCCATAGAGAGTGGCACGACCTTTAGAAGAGCCATCAGTAAAATAAGTCTGTCCACCTGGAATAGGCTTGTGATGAGTAATCACAGGAAGAATGAAAGAATGGAATTCATAAAACTACAAAATTTTGTCTGAGGGATAATGAAAGCAAAGGTTTCTGCAGGTGTAGCTGGGAGGCATGCCATTGCTAAAGCATTTGTTCTACAAGCTGCAACTCCAAATTCTGCCTCTTTGGCCAACTGCCATGGGAAATTTAGTGAAGAGTCTCCTGGCAGGGTTTAACCTTTCTTTCCAGTTATTGATATTGGGTTAGGGTTTCCTTGTAGGAATTTCTCTAAATATTTTCCACTCTGATGTCCCATGTCCTTCAACATTTTAAATCCTAGGTTATCAAAGTTTTCATTTGTAAGTCTCATATCCCATGCTGTAAGTAAGTCTTGACCCCATAAATTGATAGCTATATTTGCAACATAAGGCTGAAAAGTACACCATTGTCCGTCTGGACCAGGAAAAGGTAAAATCTCAGCACTCTGTTAAACACTTTGAGCTGTTCCTACTCCCGCTAAGGATGTAGAAGTTAATTGTAATGGCCAGGATGGGGGCCGATTGTCTTTAGATATTATTGACACATCAACTCCCGTATCCATAAGCCCCCAAATTTATTTCCTTTAATTTGCACTACACAGGTGGGCCTATCAGAGGCTATCGGTTGGGATGGATAGATTTCCCATGTAGTTGTGCTGCTAAACCGTTTATTCTCTTGTTTCTCCTTTCATGGAGGAGGGTGTAATTTGCAGGGAATAAACAATAATTGAGCAACATATTCTCCTGGTTCAAAAACCCAAAGATCTTGTTGTTGTACCCAAGCGAGTTAGAGGAACACCACACTTTGAGACAAATTTAAGAGTCCTTTATTAGCCAGTGAGAGAGAGACGGCTAACGTTTGGAATTCTCTTGGCCCCGAGGAAAAGGCTTGCTTTTCCTTTATACTTTGGTTTAGGAAGGGGAGGGGAGCTCAGTTGCAACAATTCTACAGAAGTGAAAACATGCGAAAAACTTAAAAAGACAAATGGTTACAGGGAAGACAACAGTTCCAGGTGCAGGGGCTCTAAATCTATCATAAGATGTTAGGTATGGGGGCTCTGCCAGACAGAAACTCAAGGCGTTATGGTGTTATCTCTTGAGCAAAATCCTGGGAACTTTGTACATTGCTTGCTTCAGTACCTTATCAGTTAATTGGACTCTTTGATATGTTGAGAGTCAGCTTACACAAGTGAACTCCTTGAGGAAGGGGGTGGGTAAGGAGTCCTTGACGTCTTGTAAATGAAGGAGCCAAATGGAGTTCATCAGGCTTTCTCAGCCAAGGGAGAGCTTATACATGTGGAAACAAGGCTAGGTGATTAAGGGAGAAAGGGAGAGTCTAAAAGCAAGGTTAGTAAAAACAAGGTTAGGTATTACATCGTGACATTAAAACTACTTGAATTTCTCCTTCATAATGAGAGTCAACAACTCCTGGGGGTACAGTATTGCCCTGTAAATTAAGATGGCTTTTGCCTAAAATTAGTCCCATACATCCTGTTGTTGAAGGTCCCCAAATGCCAGTGGAAATCTTGTTGGGTTTCTCTCGTCCCACTAATGTTACCCATTCTCTGACCAGGACATGTAATCCTACACTTCCTGGTCTTCCTGGGGTGAGGAAATCAATGTTTCTCCTGGGAACCATTCCTGAAATGGTGTTGTGGTCTGAACTGGGAATGCTCTCATTGTTTGAATGACCTTGGTCCAGGCCCCCATCTCATTCCCCAACAGCGGATGCCATTCTGTTGCAATCTTGAGTGGAACTTATTAGCCCAGTTGTTATAGCAACGGCAAAGTCCTGGAATTTTTCCAGTGGGTGGGACACTCCATTTTAAGTCTCTTTCTGTCCTCAGATCTGGCAGCATTCCTTTTTAAACTGTCCAGCTTTTCCACAATTATAATATTTTCCCATTTTAGGGTTTGTTCCTTGACTCCTTTTGTGTTTGGATTTCATGAGTTCTTGGTTTTAATGACTTCAAGAATGAAGACACAGACCCTCACAGTGAGTGTTACAATTCTTAAAGATGCTGTGTCTGGAGTGTGTTCCTGCAGATGTTCAGATGTGTCCAGAGTTTCTTCCTTCTGATGGGTTCTTGGTCTTCCTGACTTCAGGAGTGAAACCACAGACCTTTGCAGTGAGTGTTACAGCTGTTAAAGTTGGCACAGCCAGAGTTGTTTTTTCCTCTGTGGGTTTGTGGTCTCGCTGGCTTCAGGAGTGAAGCTGCAGACCTTTGTGGTTAGTGTTACAGTTCATAAAGGTGACACAGACCCAAAGAGTGAGCAACAGCAAGATTTATTGCAAAGAGTGAAAGAACAAGCCTCTACAGTGTGGAAGGAGACCCAAGCATGTTGCCGCTGCTGGCTCGGGTGGCCAGCTTTTATTCCCTTATTTTCCACTCCCACCCCACATCCCACTGATTGGTCCATTTTACAGAGCACTGATTGATCCATTTTACAGAGTGCTGATTAGTCTATCTTGACAGAGTGCTGATTGGTGCCTTTACAAACCTTTAGCTAGACACAGAGCACTGATTGTTGCATTTACTATCCTTTAGCTAGACAGTCCCCTACCCAATTAGCTAGACACAGAATGCCAATTGGTACATTTACAAGCTTTAGCTAGACACAGAGTGCTGACTGGTGCATTTACAATCCCTTAGCTAGACAGAAAATTTATCCAAGTCCCCACTGAACCCAGAAGCCCAGCCAGATTCACATATCAATCCCCCCTCTAAAGAGGACACTACAACTGTTGTTGGGAATTTGGCCAATAAGAGTTCTAGCTACTTCTTGCTGGATAGGGATGAAGAAGGGGTCCTGCAGTTGTAGTGTCCACCAGAGGGGAACTCTTTAGGCCAGTGGAAGGGCCAGTGGGACAGTCCAGGGGTTCTCAGTAGAAGTTGTTAGTTGAACTCATTTGGGTTTCCATTTTGAAAGACCATCTGTAGCTGTGATGGCCTCAATTCTAGAGGAAACAAATTTGAAAAGAAGCTTAAAAATACAGGTCCCAAAGCCTGGTAACAGCAAGATATCTGCCACGGAACCTAGAAAGGGGATAAAGCCATGCTGTCCAACTCCAGAGGCTGATATAAGAGTTTGAAAGGTGTTTTCTGATTTCAGAAGCCTTTTCCTGTAAATGTCAGGTGGCATCTCCTACTATCCCTGACTGGTTCGTGTAAAAACAACACTCTTCCCCTAAGAAGGTGCAGAGTCCTCGTTTCTCAGCAGTGAGGAGGTCTAGGCCTCAGTGGTTTTGGAGAGTCACTGTTGCCGAAGAGTCTATTTGGGATTGTAGAGTAAGGATAGATTTTGTTATTTTTTGCAAACTGTCTGAGAAATCCTTTGAGAGTGTGTGGTAGTAGGATAATGAAGTAGATAAACTGGCTATTCTGGTTCCTGTAGCAGTGGTCATTCCTAACACTATAAGTAGGGGTATTGGTTATATGGCTCTGTGCTGACAGACTTGAACTTTCAGGGACACTGATAGGGTCTGATTTCCATAAGATGAGAAGTTAGGATAATATATGTCACACTGTTAACTTTTAGCAAACTGTACTTTTGTTGAAAACCTTGTAAGTGTGGGATTTTAATTATTCTTTGCCATTAATAAGACCTCATTCATTCCATATTAACTTAAAATTGGTATAGATGGCTCCTTCCTGATTCTGTATGTACTTTAAGTTTTGGCTGAGTGCAAACAGGTCACATGTTTGAGCAGACCAATTATTGGGCAATTTTCCTATCTCTGCTTCTACAAGAGTTTTCTTATCACTTACTTGTGTCTTTTTTTTTTTTTAATTGCCTAGGAGGAATCATCTATCATCCTGTCCTGAAGGGAGTTCCTCCTATGTCTGGTCGGATTTTCCGATGTAGATACCCTGTCAGGAAGCCTGCTGGGTTAAGAATTTTTGATAGGAAGGCTATAGGTCATCAGTGGCCTCAGTACTTTTGGGCTATGCCCTTGTTTTCACTGACAACAAGGTCGTATTGGAGTGTTAGAGTTACAGAGAAAACCTTCAATTATCAATTATAGGTTTTAAATTTACCCTGGCTTTTAAACGAATAGGGTAGACTGTTTTTTCTTTACTACTTCTATTTCTTTCTCTCTCTTTGACTCCTTTCTCCTTTGTCTCTTCCTCTCTTTTCTTCTCTGCTTGACTTTCTGTCTCTCTGTCTCTTTCTCTCTATCTCCTTTTCTTTGACTTCCTATCTTTCTCTTTCTCTCTATCTTTGTCTCTCCCTCTCTCTGATTTTCTGTCTCTTTCTCTCTTTCCTTCTTTGACTTTGTCTTTCTCTTTCTCTCTGCTGGTCTTCTCCTGCCCCTGCCAGCTTCTTATGCTGCTGTTCTCTCCTCTCCTTCCCCTTATTGATGGCTTTGGCAGTGTAAGACTGCCACCTCCTTGGGTTTTTGCACTGAGTGCAATAACTCCATGATTTAATTGTGTTATTTAATGGGGGTTCTCACAGAGGTTAGGAACTCCTTTTCTTTCCATATTGCAGCATGGGCATGTAGGATTAGATAAGCGTACTTGCTATCTGTATTCACATTTATTCTTTTTCCCTTTCCCACTTCTAAGGCTTGGGTAAGTGCCGCTAGTTCTGTTAACTGGGCCTTGGTCCTGGGGGGAAGAGGCTTACTTTCAAGTACAGTTACATCACTAACTATGACATAACCCGTCTTTCAAATCTCATTTTCCACAAATGAATTTCCATCGCTATATATGTTAAGGTCAGGATTAGCCAAGGGGTATTCTAAGAGATCATCTCAGGTGGCAAAAATCTGGACTTCAACCTGTTGACAGCCATGCTCGACCAACTCCCCATCCTCTGCGAGAACACTGTGAGCCACTGCAGGGCTGAAGGCTGCATACATATGCACTTGAAACACCCATCCCTCAAGGAGTAGTACCTGGTGGTTGTCTGATAGTCACAAACTTCCTTTGGCACCTAGTATGCCATTTACATTATGAGTAGTCCAGACAGTGAGATACTTTCCTTGTATTATTTTGATAGCCTCTGATACTAAGACAGCCACTGCCACTACTACCTGTAAACAGTGAGGCCAGCCTTTTTCTACTATATCAATCTCCTTACTTAGGTATGCCACTGGTTGTGGGGTTGTCCCATGAGTCTGAGTAAGGACGCCAAGAGCTATTCCTGCTCTCTCTATGACATATAAAGAAAAGTTTCATCTTGTGAGAAGGCTTGAGACTGGGGCTTGAGTTTATTCCTTCCAATGCCCAGATTTCAGGGTTTATTCCCTCCTCAACAGAGGATGACAAATGGGTAACTTGTTCCCCATATTCATGTAGATAACACCTCTAGCTTTGGCTAATATATCCCTCCCTAGTAAGGGTGTGGGACTTTCAGACATGACAGGATAGGCAAGTGAAAAGAGCAAAGTCTCCCAATTACAACTGAGGAGGTTACAGAAATACTTGGTTACAGGCTGTCCCAGAATTCCTCAGATGGTAACAGACCTTGAGGACAGTCATCCAGGACAGGAGATTAACACTGAGAAGGCCATGCCAGTGTCCAGGAGGAATTCAATTTCCTGGCCCTCAATGGTTAAACATACCCAGGGCTCAGTGAAGGTGATGACATGAGCTGGTGCTTACCCCAGGCACCCTCACTCCTGTTGTTGGACCATCTGGTTGAGGGACACATGACCCAGATGACCTTTGTCCTCAAGGGCAGTGCAGCTTCCAGTGATTGTCTTGGTATAGTGGACATAGATCAGGGGGTGGCTCGTTTTTCACTGGACAACCTTTTTTAAAATGTCCTTGCAAATCACACTTGTAAAAGGCCTACAGGGTGATTGGCCTGCTCCATTTTCTGTCCTCTCTGAACCACCAAGGTTTGTTTGTCAGAGGGCCATGACTAAGGCTGTGACCTTTCTCTGATCTCAATTTTCCTTTTGAGCCTAATTCTCTTGGTCCCTATTATAGAATACTGAGGTTGTCAGGTTTAATAGTGCCTCCAGATTTTGTTCAGGGCCCAGGGCTTGCTTTTGCAGCTTTCTCCTGATATCCACAGCTGATTGGGTAATAAACTTGTCTTTTAGGATCAATTGAGGCTCAGGTGAGTCAGGTGACCGGGAGTATATTTTCTTAAGGCCTCCCTTAGCCACTTGAGGAAGGCAAAAGGATTTTCTTCCTTTCTCTGAGTTATGGTAGACATCATTGAATAATTCATGCTCTTTTTCCTAATTCTCATTAGTCCTTCTAGAACGCAGGTCAAGAGATGTTTATGACCACAGTCCCCATGATCTGAGTTGAGGTTTCAGTGGGGATCCATACTGGGGATGGCTTGCTGACTGGTAGGGAAGTTGTACCTTTGTTTGACTGTCATTCTATCATTTACTTGACTAAGATATCAAATATCTCAAAACTCTTGGACTGCAGCTAAAGCCACCTTCTTTTCATTAAAGGACATGGTTTGATCCAACAATAGCATGACATCTCTACAAGCGATTCCCTAGACCCTGTAGGACATCTATATACCTATCAAGATCATCTGAAAACTTCCCCAGGTCTGCCTTGATCTACTTTAAATCAGAGAGGGAGAAAGGGACATGTACCCTGGTTAGGCCAAATTCCCCTCCCCCTACAGCTTGAAGGGGACATAATAGATAGAGGGGGGTGGGGTTGTGGTCCTTTGGAGATTTCTTTGCTTATTTCCTCCTGGGCAGGGGAGGTTAGAGGAGGCTTATCATTAATAGGAAGTGGAGCTGTAGGGAGGCTAGGATGTGGGGGTAAGCTGAGAGGTCCTCCTGTGGGATGTAAATTGCAAGCTTTGTATAGTTGTATATTCTCCTTCAATGAGAAGAAAGCTTGGACATAAGGTATTTAACTCCATTTGCCTTCCCTCTTACAGAAAAGGTAAAGTTGCAGGATAATGTTGTAATTTGTAATTCCCACAGGTGGCCACTTTTCCTCATCAGAGAGAGAATATTGGGGCCAAGCTGTAGTGCAGAAAAAAATGAGCCACCTCTTTTTCAGGGTTTGTGGGTCAATTTGGTCCCAATGGCTTAGGATGCATTTCAAGAGTGAGCCTGTTGATGCCTGAGTGTTTTCTCTCCCTGCCCAAGAACGTGCAATGATCCCTGGACCCTGCTAACTGTAATAGATGCAGCAGCAGACACAACCCCTGCCCAAGAACCCACAATGGTCCCTGGACCCTGCTGATTGAAATATTTGTGCTCACCAACACAGCAGCAGAAACACTAGTTTTCCTCCCAGATCACAAGGAGGACCAAGGAAGGTCAGATTTAGTGGCCCTTACTGATGCATTCTCAAAAACCTGCACCCTTGCTTGTCCTCCTAGACCACAAAGAGGACTGAGAAAAATTGGATTTAGTGGCCCTTACCAACACATTCTCAAAAACCTGTTAGAGTCCTAAGCATTCTCTTTTTAGTATTGGGACCTTATCCATGTCCTATAAAGATGTTATACCCCAAAAATTAAGTGGAAGGCCATACCCTGAGGGATGGAAGGGATCTCCAGGGCTGGAAGAGTGACACATTTTGTCCTTACTCATATGAATAGGAGGGATACAATTTCTGAGTCTTCCCATATCCTAACTTTAGGAATAGCTTTTGTTAGGCCTGTTAGTCTGAGGAGGGATGCTAAAATTCCAGATAGTCCTCCCTGTGACTTGGATTTGGGAAAAAAAAAAAAAGTATGTCTTTTTGATTGGTGAGCCCAGCTACCTAAAGAAGGTAACAGAGTCCTGGAGTTTATACTAGAAATCATTCTTAAAGAGGAAACTAGAAAAGCACCAGAGAGAGGGAGTGGTTTTTAGAAGTAGGGATAGCCTTGGAGAAGAGAGGCAAAAGGAAGTTTGTCTGGCAGGCATTAGGACCCTGGGTGCAAGGGTCAGGATAGATAGGATAGATGAGCTATAGTCTTAGTTGGGCTACATGCCTTTGAAAGTTCCACTCATGGCTACAGGGTCAACCAACTTGTCACGACCCCGGGAGCTGAATGACTTTCCTCTCTGTTGACCCTTGGCTCAGCCCAGAATTACAGGAAAAGTGGAAGCAGGTTCTGGGCAAACCAACGCTCCCAACCCTGAAGAGTCAGGGATTGTTAGAGAGCCCTTTCCCAGAAAGCCCTGACACTTTTTTCTTTAGTCCAGTGGCTGTGCTAGTCACTTTTAACTGGCTGGCAGGTGCCCAGTATTTAGCCCCCAAATTCTAAAGAAAAATAAGACAGAATAGTAAGTGAAAGTGGTCCAATTGTACTCACCACTTGGTGATAGGTGATGGTCTCACTGCTTGGTGATAGGTGATGGTCTCTTCGAAATAGCCAAAATGTGTCCAGAATTGATGAGTTCTTGGTCTTGCTCACTTCAAGAATAAAGCCACGGATGCCTGTGGTGAGTGTTATAGCTCATAATGTTGGCACGGACCCAAACAGTTAGCAGCAGCATGATTTATTATGAAGAGCAAATGAAAAAAGCTTCCACAGAGTAGAAGGGGACCTGACTCAGGTGGCCAGCTTTTATTCTGTTATTTGGCCCCACCCACATCCTGCTGATTGGTCCATTTTACAGAGCACTGATTCATCCATTTTACAGAGTGCTGATTTGTCCATTTTGACATAGTGTTGATTGGTGCATTTACAAAACTTTATCTAGACACAGAGTGCTTATTGGTGCATTTACAATCCTTTAGATAGATAGAAAAGTTATCCCAGTCCCCACCCAAACCAGAAGCCCAGCTGCCTTCACATCTCACTGTTAGATTAGTCAGCAGTCAAATTAGCCATTGTTTTTGTTAACAGTGCAGATCAATGAAGCTCAGTTCCTACATCTTGACAAGCTCTGAAAAAATTTCCCAAGTTTTTGTACACCTCTCAGGCACCAGTGCACATTTACAAACTGTGATTCCATTCTCAAAAGCTAAAGTTAAGGTTAGCATTTCTGTGGCAGTGGCATGAGGAATGTGATGCTCACTGCCTTTTGTAATCTTGCAAGAAATTGCACATAGGGCTTCTTTGACACTTGCATGATATGTAAAAAGGATTGTACTGGGACTCCCTCTTCAGGAATTGGGACCTAGGCACATATAGCGGCCTATGCATGTTGTTGATAAGCAGTGTCTGGGAGTGCAATTTGACGTTCCAGGTCTGAATAAGTGCCATTACCCAATAGCATATCCTTTGTAATGTCTCTGTGTCCAGCAACACGATTCTATCTAGCCTTGTCTGCACACATTTCTTGCCAATTTAAATTCCATGTCATATATTCACTAGGAGACAAGCAAGTTTGTGCCAAGTGTTTCACATCAAAGGGTAAAAGACACATAGCACTGAACACAGATTCCAGCAATCCTAAGGTGAATGGGCTCTGTACATCATTATTTACTACAATCACTCCCCTAGGGGCAAGGTGCCATCTGACCCTTTCTTCCAAATATACTCATTTGTCTTTGTTTTTTATTCCCCCTTCTTGACCTCTCTCCTAACTATTCAGTTTTAACAGCTGACAGAAAGCTTTATGGAAGAACTATTGCTGATGGGGATTATTTTAATAAAAGGGGAAATTTTAACAAACATAGTTTGCAGGCAGACATTTAGAAAGAGCAAGGGGGAAAATTCTCTCAAACCAGTTTTTCTTCTAGGAACCATTCAATAAAAACAAATATCCAACTCTAAAAGCTGACAGCAAGGTCTATGCCAGAAGTGTTTATGATGGGTTAGTTTACTTTTGAAAAATGGAAGAGGTTGTTTGTTTTTTTCTTGTAAATTTGTTATAGTTCATTGTAGATTCTGGATATTAGCCCTTTTTCAGATGAGTAGGTTGCGAAAATTTTCTCCCATTTTGTAGGTTGCCTGTTCACTCTGATGGTAGTTTCTTTTGCTGTGCAGAAGCTCTTTAGTTTAATTAGATCCCATTTGTCAATTTTGTCTTTTGTTGCCATTGCTTTTGGTGTTTTAGACATGAAGCCCTTGCCCATGCCTATGTCCTGAATGGTAATGCCTAGGTTTTCTTCTAGGATTTTTATGGTTTTAGGTCTAACATTTAGGTCTTTAATCCATCTTGAATTGATTTTTGTATAAGGTGTAAGGAAGGGATCCAGTTTCAGCTTTCTACATATGGCTAGCCAGTTTTCCCAGCACCATTCATTAAATAGGGAATCCTTTCCCCATTGCTTGTTTTTCTCAGGTTTGTCAAAGATCAGATAGTTGTAGATATGTGGCATTATTTCTGAGGGCTCTGTTCTGTTCCATTGATCTATATCTCTGATCTGGTACCAGTGCCATGCTGTTTTGGTTACTGTAGCCTTGTAGTATAGTTTGAAGTTAGGTAGTGTGATGCCTCCATCAAAAAGTGGGTGAAGGACATGAACAGACACTTCTCAAAAGAAGACATTTATGCAGCCAAAAAACACATGAAAAAATGCTCATCATCACTGGCCATCAGAGAAATGCAAATCAAAACCACAATGAGATACCATCTCACACCAGTTAGAATAGCAATCATTAAAAAGTCAGGAAACAACAGGTGCTGGAGAGGATGTGGAGAAATAGGAACACTTTTACACTGTTGGTGGGACTGTAAACTAGTTCAACCATTGTGGAAGTCAGTGTGGTGATTCCTCAGGGATCTAGAACGGTAAATACCATTTGACCCAGCCATCCCATTACTGGATATATACCCAAAGGACTATAAATCATGCTGCTGTAAAGACACATGAACACCTATGTTTATTGTGGCATTATTTGCAATAGCAAAGACTTGGAACCAACCCAAATATCCAACAATGATAGAATGGATTAAGAAAATGTGGCACATATACACCATGGAATACTATGCAGCCATAAAAAATGATGAGTTCATGTCCTTTGTAGGGACATGGATGAAATTGGAAATCATCATTCTCAGTAAACTATCGCAAGAACAAAAAACCAAACACCGCATATTCTCACTCATAGGTGGGAATTGAACAATGAGATCACTTGGACACAGGAAGGGGAATATCACACTCTGGGGACTGTTGTGGGGTGGGGGAAGGGGGGAGGGATAACATCGGGACATATACCTAATGCTAGATGATGAGTTAGTGGGTGCAGCGCACCAGCATGGCACATGTATACATATGTAACTAACCTGCACAATGTGCACATGTACCCTAAAACTTAAAGTATAATAAAAAAAAAGAAAAGAAAAAAAAAAGAAAAATGGAAGAGGGTTACATAATGACAAGTTTGTAAACAGTTATCCAGAAATAAGCCTGAGGAGGCATTCTGGCTGGTGTGTCACAGCCAGTTTGTTGGGTTGTGGGGAACACATTTTGTGACTAAACCAGCCAGCCTCCCTGGCTCCAGCAGAAGAAAAACACAGCTTGGAGCTACAGAGATGCATGCCACATTTCCCTGACCCAAGGAGCTTAGCCGGTCAGGCAGTTGTGAGTCCTACCGCTGCCCCACTCCAAAGAAGGTAAAATGGCTTAGACAGTAGGTTGTTGAGAATCTGCAAAGCCCTGAGATTGGGATGCTAGGTGTCATTGCTGTAGGATCTCAAGTGGGACCTTTTGATCCATGGGTTGCAGAGTTTCATGAAAAAAGCACAGTTCCCCCAGCTGGGTAGCATGCTCTCTCACCACCTATTTTGGCTGGGGCATTGGGGCACCCCTGCTCCCTGTGGTTCTCAAGTGGACTGCTGCATAGCACTGCTCTTCCTTTCTCTTTGTGGATTATGTCATCTGCCTAGTCAGTTCTTATGAGAGAACATAGATACCTCAGTTTACTAGTGAAAGATTCACATAGTTATTTTGGATCTTTTTGATGGGAGCCTCTGATTGTCACTGTTTCTCATCTACCATCTTGACCCACTCTAACAATTCAGTTTTAACAGCTGACAGAAAGCTTTATGAAAGAACTACTGCTGATGAGGATTATTTTAATAAAGGGGTAAATTTTAACAAACATAGTTTGAAGGCAGACATTTAGAAAAAGCAAGGGGGGATATTCTCTCAAACCAGTTGTTCTTCTAGGAACCATTCAATAAAAACAATTATCCAACGCTAAAGGCTGACATCAAGGTCTATGCCAGAAGTGTTTATGATGGGTTAGTTTACTTTTGAAAAATGGAATATGGTTACATAATGACAAGTTTATAAACAGTTATTCAGAAATAGTAAGGTAAAAAATTCTCCTTCATCTCTGGTTCTTTTTTGGAACCATCAAAATGAATAAATATCTGACTCTGAAAAATGACAACAAGCTTTGTTCCAGAACTCTTGAAGATGAGTTTTCTTTCAAGGAAAGATAAATTTCAACACAAAAAATATTGCAGACAAGCATTTAGAAGGAGAAAGTAGAAAAATTATCTTATAGTCATGGCCCTTCCAGGGAAACTTCAGAACAAATAAATATCTGGTCTTGACAGCTGATGACAGGCTTTGTGCCAGAACTCTTGATGATGGCCAGCATTTTTTGTAGAGCTAAATACAGATGTTAACAGAAAGAGAACATTGCAGTTGTTTTAAAAGAGGTAGAAAGAGTATTCTCACATTCCAGTGGCTCTTCTAAAGATCAATTAATGCCAATAAATACGCAGCTTTGAAAGCTAACAATAAGTTTTGTGCCAAAACTCTTGGTGATGGGCAGCCTTTTTTTTTTTTTTTTTTTTTTTTAGGAAACAACGATGTAAATATGGGGAGAAGCTTGCAGGTAGGCTTCTAGAAGAAGTTAGCAAAAAATTTTCCTATTGCAGTGTTTCTTCTAGAAACCCATCAAGACCAATATATATCTGGCAGTTAATGCTAACAACAAACTTTTTTCCATGACTTGTGAACATGGTCAGTTTTAAGAGAAACGAAGATGTTAACATGAAGGAAGTTTGCAGAGAGGTATTTATAGGGAGAGAAAAAAATTGTACATCATTTGCCCCAATAGATACATATCAAAATCTTAAAAATATCTGCTCTAAAATCTGATAACAGTATTTGTTCCAGGGCTATTGATGATGGGTCATTTTTTATCAGGATAAGAAAGATGTAGATACAAAGAAAAGTTCTCAGACAGACATTTAGAGTAAGCAAGAAAAAGATTCTCTAACACAAATATCCTTCCTAGAAAACTGTCAAAACAAATAAATATCTGGTCTTGACAGTTGACAAGAAGCTTTGTGCCAGAACTATTAGTAATGTGTGTGTGTGTTTGTGTGTGTGTGTGTGTGTGTGTGTGTGTTTAAAGAAGGGAAGGTGTTTAACAAAAAAAGAGATATTTCTAGACAGAAACTAAGAAGGAGGAAGTAGGAGATTTCTCACACCAGTGGCTCTTCTAGGGAACCTAAAAATTAATGCATATGTCTGGCTCTGAAAGCTGAAAACAAATATTATGTTAGAACCCTTTCTGATGCGTGGTTTTGTTGCAAGCAAAAAAAAAAGTTCATATAAATAAAAGTTCGTGGATGATCACTTAAAAGAAGAAAGGAAGAGAGTGATGATAGCAACAGTGTCTCACCTAAAAAACCATCAAAATGAAAAAATATATCGTCCTGAAAGCTGGCAACACGTTTGTGCCATAACTTTTGCTGATGGATGGTTTTCTTTAAGAGAAAGGCAGACTTTAACATAAACAGAAGAATCCCTGATAAGTATTTAGAATAAGAAACAAGATAATTTTTTTAAAATAGTGACCTTTCTCATTACTTATCAATACAAACAAATATTTAGCTCTCAAAGATGAAGTTTTTGTGCCAGAACTCTTAAAGAAGAGCAGTTTTCTTTCAAGGGAAGGGTTTAGCTGAAGAGAGGTTTGCAGGCAGACATTTAAAAGAAACAAAGAGGGGAAACCTTTTACATCAGTGGTTCTTTTAGAAAACCATCAATACGAGCATATATCAAGCCCTGAAATCTAATATCTTTGTTCCACAACTCTGGATTACATGTGGTTTTCTTTGTATCAAAGTGAAGTTTGTAGAAAGGCATTTGCAAATGTAATAGTAAAGTTTTCTCACAACAGAGTTTTTTTTTTTTTTTTTTTTGAGATGACTCATTCTGTTGCTCAGGCTGGGGTACAGTGGTGTGATCTTGGCTCATTGCAACCTCTGTCTCCCAGGTTCAAGTAGTTCTCCTTCCTCAGCCCCCTGAGTAGCTGGGATTCCAGGCATGTGCCACTACACCCGGGCAATTTTTGTATTTTTAGTAGAGATGGGGTTTCTCCATGTTGACCAGAATGGTCTCCAACTCTCCAGGTGCTACAACTCCCTCGGCCTTACGAAGTGCTGGGCTTACAAATGTGAGCCACCACCCTTGTCCATAACAGAGGATCTTTTAGAGAACCTTCCTTTAAAATTAACAAATACCTGGTCCTGAAAGTTGACAAGATTTGTGCAATAACTATTAATAATGGTCCCTTTTATTTTTTTTTCAGGCAAAGAAAGAGGTTCAGTTAGACATTTAGATAGAACAATTTAAAAAAAAAAAAAAAAACACCAGTGGTTTTTCTAGGGAACTGATGAAAGAAGGGAACATCTGGCCCTGAATGCTGACAAATTTATGTCAGAATTCTTGAAAATGGGTGGTTTCTTTCTTGCTTTTTCTTCCTTTTATTTTTCTTTTGAAATGGAGTTTCACTGTTGTTACCCAGGCTGCAGTGCAGTGGCATGGTCTTGGCTCACTGCCATCTCCAACCTCCATGTTAAAGTGATTCTCCTGCCTCAGCCTCCTGAGTAGCTGGGATTACAGTCCCCTGCCACCAAGCCAAGCTAATTTTTTTATTATTATTTTTTTTTAGTAGAGATGGGATTTACCATGTTAACCAGGCTGGTCTCAAATTCCTGACCTCAGAAGATGCACCTGCCTTGCCCTCCCAAAGTGATGGGATTATATGGGTGAGCCACTGTGCCCTGTCTGGTGGTTTCTTTAAGAGAAAAAAATATTTGAACAGAGAAGCAGTTTCTTGACATGCATTTAAAAAGAGAAAGAAGAGAAAGTCTATTACACTCATGGCCCTTGTCGTTACTTGTCATTAGGAACTAATGCGAAGATCTCAAAGTTGAAAGTAAGTTTTGTTCCAGAACTTTTGAACAAGGGCAGCTTTTTTTTTAGGGAAATAAATATTTTTAACTGACAAAAAGTTTGCAGACAGGTATTTAAAAAAAGTAAAGAGGAGAATTGTTTTACCTCAGTGGCCCTTCCAGAGATCCAAAAAAAAAAAAAAAAAGATTTGTTGAGAAATATTAACACTGGGCCATTTTATTTCAGGAAAAGGAAGGTGTTTACATAAACAAGAGTTTGTAGTCATGCATTTTGAAACAAGGGAATAAAAGGAATTTTCTAACATCAGTGGCCATTCTAGTGAAGTATCAAAACAAATATACAGCCTTGAAAGCCTGCAACAACTATTGTGCCAGAACTCATGGTGACAGCTGGTTCTCTTTCGGGAAAGTAAAACGTTTTCAAAAAAAGAGTTTTTAGCTAGATATTTAGAAAAAACAAGAAGGAAATATTAAATTTTAGTGGCCTTCATAGAAAACCATCAAAACAAGCAAATATCTTACACTGAAAGCTGACAACAAGCTTTGTACCAGAACTCTTAAAAATGGGCACATTTATTTTTCAAAAAGATTAACATTTCAACACAAAGAAATTTCAGGCACGTCCATGTGAAGAGACCACCAAACAGGCTTTGTGAAAGAAATAAAGCTTTTAATCACCTTGGTGCAAGTGGGCCAAGTCTGAAAAGAGAGTCAGCAAAGGGAGATAAGCGTGGGGCCATTTTATAGGATTTGGGAAGATAAAGAAAAATTACTGTCAAAGTGGATTTGTTCTCTGCCGGGCAGGAATAGGGGTCGCAAGGTGCTCAGTGGGGAAGTTTTTGAGCCAGGTTGAGCCAGGAAAAGGACTTTCACAAGATAATGTCATCACTTAAGACAAGGACCAGCCATTTTCACTTCTTTTGTGGTGGAATGTCATCAGTTAAGGCAAAGACTGGCCATTTTCACTTCTTTTGTGGTGGAATGTCATCAGTAAAAGTGGGGCAGGGCATTTTCACTTCTTTTGTGATTCTTCAGTTACTTCAGGCCACCTGGTCATATACGTGCAAGTCACAGGGGATGCAATGGCTTGGCTTGGGCTTAGAGGCCTGACATTCCTGCCTTCTTATATTAATAAGAAAAATAAAACAAAATAGCGTTGAAGTGTTGGGGCGGTGAAAATTTTTGGGGGGTGGTATGGAGAGAGAATGGGTGATGTTTCTCAGGGCTGCTTCAAGTGGGATTAGGGGTGGCGTGGGAACCTAGAGTGGGAGATATTAAGCTGAAGGGAGATCTTGTGGTAAGGGCTGACATTTTGGGGATATTAGAAGAAACATTTGTCATATAGAATGATTGGTGATGGCCTGGATACGGTTTTGGATAAATTGAGAAACTAAACGGAAGATACAAGGTCCAAATAAAAGAAGGAGAAAAGTGGGTATTAAAGGACTAAGAATTGGGAGGACCCAGGACATCCAATTAAAGAGTACCCAAGGGGGTTCAGCATAATTACTTGCTTGGTTGGCAAATTTTTGTGCTCTATCCTTGAGTTTTTTTATGTTATCATACACCAGACCAGATTGATTTAGGTAAAAACAACACTCTTTATTTAAGAATATACACAGTCCTCCTTTTTCAGCAGTGAGTAAATCAAGGTCTTAGCAGTTTTGGAGGACAACTGCAGCTAAAGAGTCAACTTGGCCTTGGAGGACTGATAAACTTTGTGATATGTCTGTGATGCTAGCAGAGAAGTCATTAGACAGGCTACAGAAGGTAGTGACAGAGGTTGAAATGCCTGCTATTCTAGTACCGAGAGCAATAGTGGAGGCAGAAAGTCCTAAACTGACCAGCAAGGGCATTAGTGGAGCATTTTTGTCATTTTGGTGTCATGAGGGGATCAGGGAGCCCTTTGGTCCCATTTGCAAATTGAATTTTGGGGGTAAGGAAAACTAGTGTACATGTGCCTGTCCAATTAGCAGGTAGACACATGTAGTTAGAGGATCCATAGAGGAAGAGACCTTGTGCAAGGCAAAACTGGAGATAGAAAGTGAAAAGTTGAGGAGTGCTGAAAGAGGTGTCTTTTACCTAGACTCCTAGGGATTCAGCTAGGGCGGCAGCCATCAGAGGTTGTAATGGGGACTGATGGGGTAACTGCATAGAGGGGGAGGTTTGATTTTCATGGTTTTATGAGAAAACGTTGAGTATCTATGACTAACCTTTCACTGTTATTTTCAGGGCTGGGTATAAGTAAAAACAAGAATAGAGCCTGGGAGGAGAGTCTGACGAGCAAAGGGAAGGTAGCCAAAGATGGAGTGAAATAAAGGGTGAGTGTCTTCCTAAGCAATAATTGTCAGGCCTCTGAGCCCAAGCTAAGCCATCATATCCCCTGTGACCTGCACGTACACATCCAGATGGCTGGTTCCTGCCTTAACCGATGACATTCCACCACAAAAGAAGTGAAAATGGCCTGTTCCTGCTTTAACTGATGACATTGTCTGTGAAATTCCTTCTCCTGGCTCATCCTGGCTCAAAATCTCCCCCACTGAGTACCTTGTGACCCCCCCCCCCACTCCTGTCTGCCAGAGAACAACCCCCTTTTATCCTTTACCTACCCAAATCCTATAAAATGGCCCCACCCCATCTCCCTTCACTGACTCTCTTTTCGGACTCAGCCCTCCTGCACCCAGGTGTAATAAACAGCCATGTTACTCACACAAAGCGTGTTTGGTGGTCTCTTCACATGGACGCGCATGAAAATAATTACCGCTAATGTTTTTAATGTTTGTCAGTATTGATAGAGGGCTTTTCTGTAATACAGAGCTGGAAGGCTCCAGTTGTTTCAGTGATGTGTGTAGTTGGGCTTCGGAGATGAAGAGTAAAGTAACATTGAGAAGGTGAAAGATTACCTAGGGGAAATCTTGCCCAGTCTGTCTGTAAGGTGAGGACAGCTGTGTAGGCACTGGAAGACAGGGAAATGCAAAGCCAGCAGTTGTTCACTAAGGAGGGATTAGAAGTGGCTAGGAGAGAATGTGTAAGGTTGATAGTGTGGTGGAGATAGCTGGGGAGAGGTAGAGGGTGGCATAAGATTGGGAACGAGAATAAGAGTGAGTATAAAAGTAAAGAATAGAACTTCATCAGGATGGAAGTATAGGAGGATGCCCTGCCAGTAAAGATCATCTATCCACTCTAAGAGAGACTTAAGAGTGGTGGTGTGGGGATAGCACGAAGAGATATCAGCTGTGATGGCTTGAAGAAACAGTGTAAACCATCAGTGTAAATAAGAGTAGGGCATTTATAGGTAGTTGAGAATGGAGTATGACTAGATAGAAGACAGTAGGGATGAATAGTTTCTTTTTGGGGCTCAGCCCAATTGGTGGGGGTGATTTCATAAAGCTGTGCTGCAAAAAGTAGGGTAAGGATGGAGAGACCTAATAGAATAAAGGGATGTATTAGGCTCATAAGGGTTATTACTGTTCTTCAGAAATATGAGTGAGTTTAAGGGAAGTAGGGGAGAGTACTTGTGACTTCCAGGAGGAAGAGAGGGATTAGGCTGGCTGCCTGATGGACACAGCTTTATTCTGGAATGGTGAACCCAGTGTGGAAGATCCTGCAGGCAGACAGCAGTCAGGGTACTACAGATGACTAAGTAGGGTCTGGTCCATCGAGGTTGTAGAGTTTGAGGGTTCAGATTCTTAACAAGAACTGATCGTCCAGCTAGGGTGTCTTCATGTGGCTGGGGATCTGGAGAAGGCAAGAGAAGATTAACAGCTTGGTGAATTTCCTGTCTAGCCTGTTGGAGGACTGGAAGATAGTCGCCTAGAGGGCTGGTGTCTGGGAAGTGTTTGGGGCAAAGCAGGAAAGTGCGTCCATATAGAAGTTCAAATGCACTGTACCCTGTAGCAACTCGAGGACAGGTTTAATTCTGAGAAGGGCAAGAGGTAAAAGTACTGTCCAATACTTTTTAAGTTGGAGGCTGAGCTTGGTGAGGTGTGACTTTAAAATACCATTAGTCTGTTTTACCTTTCCTGAAGATTGAGGATGATAAGGAATATGAAGATTCCACTGAATATTAAGTGCATGAGAAACTGCTTGGATGATTTGACTAGTAAAGACTGGTCCATTATCAGACAGTATAGAGGTGGGAAGGTCAAACTGAGGAATTACGTCTGACAGAAGGGAAGAAATGACCATGGTGGCCATCTCAGACCCTGTTGGAAAGGCCTCTAACTATCCAGTGAAAGTGTCTACTCAGACTAAGAGATATTTTAGTTTTCTGACTCCAGGCATGTGAGTAAAGTCAATTTGCCAGTCCTGCACAGGGGCAAATCACTGAGCTTGATGTGTAGGAAAGGGAGGAGGCCTGAACAATCCATGAGGGGTAGTAGAATAGCAGATGGGAAACTGAGAAGTGATCTCCTTGAGGATAGATTTCCATGATGGAAAGGAAATGAGAGGTTCTAAGAGACAGGCTAGTGGCTTGTAACCTACATGGAAGAGGTTATGAAATGACGACAGAATAGAAGGGGCCTGTGAGGCTGGAAGGAGGTATTTTCCTAGATCTAAGAACCATTTGCCTTGTGTGAGAAGAGATTGATAGGTGGAGGTTTCAGCGGGGGAGTAGGTGGGAGTGGCCGATGTGAAGGAGAAAAACTGGCCGTCAGGGACAGAAGTTGGAGAGCTAGCTGCTTGTCTAGCCACCTTATCTGCATCAGAATTGCTGTGAGAGACAGAAGTTGGAAAGCTAGCTGCTTGCCTAGCCACCTTATCAGCACAAGCGTTGCCTAGAGCAATGGGATCTGACGCCTTTTGATGCCTCTTGCAGTGAATGACCCCAGCTTCCTTTGGAAGTAAAGCGGCCTCGAGCAGAGTTTTTATTAAAGAAGCATTAATGATGGAGGACCCTTGTGTAGTAAGGAAAATTCTTTCAGCCAATATGACTGCATGGTAGTGCAGAATATGGAAGGCATATTTAGAGTCAGTATAAATATTGACATGTAGTCCTTTTGCAAGAGTGAGGGCCTGAGATAAGGCAACTAGCTTGGCTTGCTGAGAGGTAGTGGAGCAGGGCAGAATGGTAGCCTCAATAACAGATGTGGAAGATACTATTGCATAGCCTGCCTTTGCTGGTGAGTGGCGATTAGGCCTTGTGGAACTGCCATCAATAAACCAAGTGTGATCAGAGTGAGAAACAGGGAAGAAGGAAATGTGGGGAGATGGGGTGAATGTCAGGTGGGTCAGAGAGATGCAGTCATGAGGGTCAGGTGTGGTATCCGGAATAATGTGGGAGGCAAGATTGAAGTCTGGGCCAGGAACAATGGTAATTGTGGGAGACTCAACAAAGAGTGAGTATAGCTGAAAGAGGCAGGGAGCAGAAAGTATATGCATCAGGTGTGAGGAAGAAAATAGATTTTGGAAATTATGAGAGTTGTAGAGAGTGAGTTGAGCATAGTTGATTTTGAAGGCCTCTAAAAGTATTAGGGTGGCAGCAGCCACTGCACAGAGACATGATGGCCAGCCTAAAACAGTAAGGTCAAGTTGTTTGGACAAAAAGTCTACAGGGTGTGGTCCCGGTCCTTGTGTAAGAATTCTGACTGAACAGCCCTGCACTTCAGCTGTGTGTAATGAAAAGGGTAAGGATGAGTCAGGGAGAGCTAGGGTGGGGCAGTCTCTAAAGCTGTCTTCAAGGAACAGAAAGAGGAGTGGGGAAAGGATTTATGATCTATGGGGTCAGCTAGGTTTCCTTTTGTGAGTTTATATAATGGTTTTTTAAGATGGTAAAACCAGGTATCCAAAGGCAAAAGTATCCAACTATGACCAGGAAGGAAAGGAGTAGTTGTTTTGTAGAAGGGGTTGTTGTTTGAGAGATTAGTCAGACATGATTGGCAGGGAGAGCAGGTGTGTTTTTATGAAGAATTATGCCAAGGGAGGTAAGGGATGGAGAAGAAATTTGAGCTTTGGAGGGGGATACCCGATATCCTTTGGAGAATAAATGCTGAAGGAGCAGAAGTTGTCTTGTTGAGAAGATTCAAAGGAGGGGCTACAAAGAAGAAGGTCATCAATATATTGAATATGATGAGAAGCGGAGGGGTGGAAAGAAAGTAAATCATGAGAAACAGCTTGGCTGAAGTAGTGAGGGCTGTCTCTGAAACTTTGTGGCAGCACAGCCCAGGTAAGCTGCTGGGACTGATAGGTGTTAGGGTCAGTCCAGGTGAAAGCAAAGAAAGGCTGGGATGCAGGGTGCAGAGGAATAGTGAAAAAAGCATCTTTAAGATCAAGAATGGAATAGTGAATTGTGGAGGAAGGTATTGAGGACAAAAAAATGTATGGGTGGGGCACCACATGCTGGATAGGCAAAACAACTTTGTCAATAAGGCACAGACCCTGAACTAATCTGTAAGACTTGTCCAGTTTTTGGACAGGTAAAACGGGGGAATTGTAAGGAGAGTTTATAGGTTTTAGAAGCCATGCTGTAGCAGAGAGTGATAACCGGCTTTAATCCTTTTAAATCGTGCTGCGGGATGGGATATTGGCATTGAGTAGGGTAAGGGTGATTAGGTTTTAATGGGACAATAATGGGCATGTGATTGGTTGCCAGGGAAGGACTAGAGATGTCCCATACTTGTGGGTTAAGGTGGAGGGATGTGAGAGGAAGAAGCAAAGGAGGCTTTGGATTGGGGAGAAGGGTGGCAATGAGATGCGGCTGAGTCCAGGAATACTCAGGGAAGCAGATAATTTGGTTAAAATATCTCAGCCTAATAAAGGAACTGGGCAGGTGAGCATAACTAAAAAAGAGTGCATAAAAGAGTGTTGTCCAAGTTGGCACCAGAGTAGGGGAGTTTTCAGGGGTTTTGAAGCTTGGAGGTCAATACCCACATCAGTTATTGGGGTGAGGGAAACAGGTCTTTGAAAAGAAGGCAACATGAAATTGGTAGCCCCTGTATCGATGAAACAGAGGGTGGACTTACCCTCCACTTGAGAGTCACCTGAAGTTGGGCATCTGTGATGGTCCAGGGGGCTTCTGAGGTGATCAGGCAGCATTAATCTTCAGTCGCTAAGCTGAGCAGATCTGGGAAGGAGTTAGAAAACCTTGGGCTAGAGCTTTAGGGGCTCTAGGAGTGGCTGCTGGGTGAGCTGGGCAGTCTGCCTTCCAGTGGGTCCCTGCACAGATGGGCATGGCTTAGTAGGAATCCTGGGCTATGGGCATTCCTTGGCCCAGTGACCAGATTTCTGGCACTTCAAGCAAGATCCTGACGGAGTGAGTCTTGTAGGAATGCTTGACTGCTGCAGCTTACGTGTGTGCGGCTTAGGCATTTTGAAGTTCTTATATGATGAAAGTGTGTCTGGTTTTGTCTCACAGCAGAGGCAAGTAATTGTAACAGAAATGTGTTACTGTCTGGCTGCTTCCTCTCTGTTATTGTACACCTTGAAGGAGAGGTTGATTAATTCCTGTTGTGGGGTTTGAGGGCCAGATTCTAACTTTTGAAGTTTTTTCCTAATGTCAGGAGTTGATTGGGTGATAAAATGTATATTAAGAATAAGACGGCCTTCTGGCCTTTCTGGGTCTAGGGTGGTATAGTGTCTAAGCATTGCTGCTAAGTGGGCCATGAACTGGGCTGGGTTTTTGTCTTAACCTTGGGTAGTTTCTTTAAGCTTGTCATAATTAACAGTTATGTAAGCTGCCTTCAAGGTGGGAAATCATGTAATCTCGCCTAGCTATACCTGGGGAATTTGCCTGGTAGTTCTATTGGGGATCCTCTCGGGGAACTGCTCTAATGCCTTCCTGGAGTTCTGGCTCATGAAGCCAGTGGTTATCAGCATGAGATTGGGCTAGAGAAAAAACTCTTTCCCATTCATCTGGGGAGAGGGCAGAAGTCAGGATGATATTTAAGTCACTCCAGGTTAAATTGTAGGACAGAGTTAGATATTGGAATTCCTGTATATATTTAGTGGGGTCTTATGAGAAAGAGCCTAAACACTGACTGATCTGAGAGAGGTCTGATAGAGAAAAAAGTACATGTACCCAGACTATGCCCTCAGCTCCAGCCACCTCTCTAAGAGGAAATTGTTGGGCAGGTGGGGAAGAGCTAGTCGCAGAAATAAACTGTAAGCTGGACTGGGTGTGAGAAGGGGAGGTGGTAGAAGGATTATAGGATGGAGGAGTGGAGGCTGAGGAAGGACTGGGACTTAGCTCGGCCTGGTGATGAGCAGCCTGCAGTGGAGGGGAAAGGTCAGATGGGTCTGTAGAAAAGGAAGACTGGAAAGACTTGGTGATGCTAGGGGTTTGGACTGGGGGACAGGTGGGTGGGAAAGAAGGAGGATTTGGGAGAAATTGCATTGGGAACAGAGACTAGGGAGGGAACAAAGTGTGAAAAATGCCTGGATGTAAGGCACCTCAGATCATTTGCCCATTGTTTGACAAAAATTATTTAGGTCTTGTAGGATGGAGAAATCAAACATGCCATTTTCTGGCCACTTATAGCCATTTTCACGTTTGTATTGGGGCCAAGCAGTGTTGCAGAAGAAAATAAGGCATTTAGGTTTTAGGTCAGGTGTGAGTTGAAGAGGTTTTAAGTTATTGAGAACACAGACTAAGGGAGAAGAAGGAGGAATGGAGGGTGGAAGGTTGCCCATAGTGAAGGAAGCAATCCCAGAGAAAAGAGAGAGTAGAGACTTGGAGGGAAGGGATTCAGGGGTTCTTACCCTAAAGAAAAGTGTGAGAGGGGTCAGGGCACAGAAATAAGGAGTTGGAGCATAGAGATAAGAGGTTGGGGTGTGGAAATAAGGTATTGGGGCACAAAGATAAGAGGTCAGGGCATGGAAATAAGGGATTGGGGTTCTTGCCCCCTAGAAAAGCAGGACTTGCTGCTAAAGGTGAAAGAGAAGGGGTTGAGGGGTTCTTGCCACTCCCCCAGAAAAGCAGAGAAGGGGTAGAGACACAAAAGAGAAGGGGCTAAGGTACTTGCCCCTCCCCCAGAAAAGCAGGCCTTGCTGCCAAGGGTGAAGGACCAAGGCGGGGGTCCCCATGTGGTCTGACACCTCTGAAACATGGGTGAATAATCAGAGAGGCATCCCTGCAATGATTAAACACCAAGGGAAGGCTGCCTTCCCAGTCCTTGACAAGTGCCAGAGTTTTGGGTCCATGGATAAAACGTGTCTCCTTTGTCCCTACCAGAAAATGAAAGGAATTGAAATTAAGAAAAGGGAGAGATTGAAGTGTGACACCAAGACTGAAAGGAGAAAGAGGTTGAGGGATAGTGGGGGAGGTTGGAGAAGAGAGTAAAAAGAGGCTGCTTACCAGATTTGAAATTCGTGAGATGTTTCTTGGGCTGGTCAGTCTGAGGACCTGAGGTCATAGGTGGATCGTTCTCACAGAGCAAAGAGCAGGAGGACAGGGGATTGATCTCCCAAGGGAGGTCCCCCAATCTGAATCACAGCACCAAATTTCATGCATGTCTGTGTGAAGAGACCACCAAACAGGCTTTGTGTGAGCAATAAAGCTTTTAACCACCTGGGTGCAGGCAGGCTGAGTAGGAAAAGAAAGTCAGTGAAGGGAGATAAGGGTGGGGCCATTTTATAGGATTTGGGTAGATAAAGGAAAATTACAGTCAAAGTGGATTTGCTCTCTGGTGGGCAGGAATGGGGGTCAAAAGGTGCTCAGTGAAGGAGGGTTTTGAGCCAGGACGAGCCAGGAAAAGAACTTTCACAAGATAATGTCATCACTTAAGACAAGGACTGGACATTTTCACTTCTTTTATGGTAGAATGTCATCAGTTAAGGCAAGGACTGGCATTTGCACTTATTTTGTGGTGGGATGTCATCAGTTAAGGCGGGGCAGCGCATTTTCACTTCTTTTGCGATTCTTCGGTTACTTCAGGCCACCTGGGCATATACCTTCAAATCACAGGGGATGCGATGGCTTGGCTTGGGTTCAGAGGCCTGATAAGAAATTCACAAACATACATTTAAAAGGAGTAATAAGGTTGATTTTTTCCTCCCAGTGTTTTTTTTTTTTTTCAGGAAACCCATCAATATAAACATACTTCAGGCACTGAAAGGTGACACAAGCTTTATGAAAAGACTCTTGATGATAAGTAGTTTCTCTTCAGGAAATGGAAAACATTTCCTTGGAGAAAAGTTTGTTGACAAGCATTTATAAAAAGCCGAAAGGGCATTTTTTTCTAGCAACAGTAAACCTGTTAGTGAACCATAAAAATATCTAAGCCTGAAAGCTTACCACAAAGTACATGCCAGAACTCATGAGAATGGCCCTTCTCTTTTAGAAAAAGGAAGATGTTCTAAAACAGATAACTTATCCAATAGCCATTTAGAAGGAGCAAGAAAGTTATCTCACTTCAGCGGCTCTCATAGAAATCACAAAAATAAACAAATACCTGGCCCTGAAATATGCAAGAAACTATGGATCAGAACTCTTTAAAACAGGTAATTTTTTCAGAGAAAGGAAAACTTCTATATGCAAAGTTTGCAGACATTTAGAAGAAGCAAGGGAAAGGAATTCTATCAGTGGCCTTCCTGAAAAAATATGAAAATAAATGAATACCCTTCCCTCAAATAAGGTAACAACCCTCATGCCAGAACTCTTGTTGATATGTAGTTTTCTTCTAGGAAAAAAAAATTAAACAGAAAGAAAAGTTGTCAGACAGGCTGTTGGAATGAGCAAGGAGAGGAATTTTCTTATGCTAGTTGGCTTCCTGAGGACACTGAATATTAACAAATTATAGTTCTCAAAGCTGAAAAAAGATTTGTTCAAGAGCTTTCTTTTTTTTTTCTTTCTTTCTTTTTTTCTAGACAGAGTCTCACTCTGTCACCCAAGCCAGAGTGCAGTAGCATGATCTTGGCTCACTGCACCCTCCATCTCCTGAATTCAAGTGAGGCTTCTGCCTCAGCCTCCCGAGTAGCTGCAGGCACACATCACAATACCAGGTTAATTTTTGTATTTTTAGCAGAGATGGGTTTCACCATGTTGGCCAGGCTGGTCTCAAACTCCTCACCTCAAGTTGGCCAGGCTGGTCTCAAACTCCTCACCTCAAGTGGTCCGCCTGCCTCAGCCTCCCAGAATACTGGGATTACAGGCATGAGCCACCACACCTGGCCTGTACCAGAACTCTTGACAGGTGTTGGTTTTTTTTTCTTTCAATAAGAAAGAAAGATTTTTACCACAAAGCAAAGTTTGCAAGAGGCATTTAGAAACAGCAGGAGGAAAACTGTCTAATGCCAGTGGCCTTTATATAGAGGCTTATCAATAGGAAAAATATTCAGTTTTCAAACTGACCAAAGGTTTATGCCAGTATTATTGATGAAGGCATTTTTGATGAAAAGGAAGATTTCAAAACAATGAAAGTTTGAAGACAGGCATTTAGAAGAAGCAAGGAGATAGATTCTCTCCTATCAGTGGCCCTTCTGGAAATTTATAAATAAAAACAAATATTTGCTTCTGAACACTGACAACAAGTTATTTGCCAGAAGTCTGGATGACAGGTAATATTTATTCTAAAAATGAAAGATGCCTCCATAATGAAAAGTTGGCACACAGTTATTTTGAAACAGCTAGGAGGGTCATTCTCTTACATGGTTGTGTTTTTTTTCAACCATCAAAATGTGCAAATATGTGACTCTGAAATTTGACAGGTTTTGTGTCAGAACTGTTGAAGTTGGGTAATTTTCTTTTAGGACAAACAAAATTTCAAAACACAAAAAAAGTTTGCAGACAATCATTTTGAGGAAGAAACAAAATTTGTTGCACTTATTTCCCTGTTAGGAAACTTTCAATATCATAAACTTAAATATAAATAAATATTCAGCCCTGACAGCTGACAACAAACTTTGTGTTAGAATTTTTAATAGCAGGTGATTTGCTTAAAAAAAAAATGACACTTAGTTCAAAACGCACTTGTAGACAGGCATTTAGAAAAAACAACCAGATCAATTCTCTCACATCAGTGGCCCTCTTAGAGAACCTTAAAAACAAATAAATATCCATCACTGAAAGCTAATGAAAAGTGTTGTGCCAGAACTTATGATGACAGTCAGTTATGGTTTTGGAAAAAAAAATGTTTTCAACAAGAAAAACTTTTAGATAGGTGTCTAGAAAGAGCAAGGAGAAGAACACTCTCAGTGGCCCTTGTAGAGAATCATCAAAATGAACATATGTCTAGTTCTAAAAGTGGACAATAAGCTTTTTGTCAGGACCCTTAATGATGGGTTGTCTTTAAAGGAAAGGAGGATTTTAACACAAAGTAACATTTTAGCACAGAAAAACATTTAGAAAGAGCAAGAAAAATAATTCTCTTAAACTAGTGGCTCTCCTAGGGAATGGCTAATAGGAATAAATATCTGGCCCTTAGGTAAAAATATTTTTAAATAAAATTATAAAATACAGAAAGATATATTTATTGAACCAAATACACTCATTGTTTTAACTTTTCCTTTTTTAATTTGTTATAATTATACTTTAAGTTTTAGGGTACATGTGCACAATGTGCAGGTTAGTTACATATGTATACATGTGCCTTGCTGGTGCGCTGCACCCATTAACTCATCATCTAGCATTAGGTATATCTCCCAATGCCATCCCTCCCCCCTCCCCCCACCACACAACAGTCCCCAGAGTGTGATGTTCCCCTTCCTGTGTCCATGTGTTCTCATTGTTCAATTCCCACCTATGAGTGAGAATACGCGGTGTTTGGTTTTTTGTTCTTGCGATAGTTTACTGAGAATGATGATTTCCAATTTCATCCATGTCCCTGCAAAGGACATGAACTCATCATTTTATATGGCTGCTTAGTATTCCATGGTGTATATGTGCCACATTTTCTTAATCCAGTCTATCATTGTCAGACATCTGGGTTGGTGCCAAATCTTTGCTATTGTGAATAGTGCCACAATAAACATACGTGTGCATGTGTCTTTATAGCAACATGATTTATAAACCTTTGCGTATATACCCAGTAATGGGATAGCTGGGTGCAATCTTATTTCTAGTTCTAGATCCCTGAGGAATTGCCACACTGACTTCCACAATGGTTGAACTAGTTTACAGTCCCACCAACAGTGTAAAACTGTTCCTATTTCTCCACATCCTCTCCAGCACCTGTTGTTTCCTGACTTTTTAATGATCACCATTCTAACTGGTGTGAGGTGGTATCTCATTGTGGTTTTGATTTGCATTTCTCCGATGGCCAGTGATGGTGAGCATTTTCTTATGTGTTTTTTGGCTGCATAAATATCTTCCTTTGAGAATGTCTGTTCATGTCCTTCACCCAATTTTGATGGGGTTGTTTGTTTTTTTCTTGTAAATTTGTTTGAGTTCATTGTAGATTCTGGTTATTAGCCCTTTTTCAGATGAGTAGGTTGTGAAAGTTTTCTCCCATTTTGTAGGTTGCCTGTTCACTCTGATGGTAGTTTCTTTTGCTGTGCAGAAGCAAAAATAATTAAGCTCTTTAGTTTAATTAGATCCCATTTTTCAATTTTGTCTTTTGTTGCAATCACTTTTGGTGTTTTAGACATGAAGTCCTTGCCCATGCCTATGTCCTGAATGGTAATGCCTAGGTTTTCTTCTGTGGTTTTTATGGCATTAGGTATAACGTTTAGGTCTTTAATCCATCTTGAATTGATTTTTGTATAAGGTGTAAGAAAGGGATCCAGTTTCAGCTTTCTACATATGGCTGGCCAGTTTTCCCAGCACCATTTATTAAATAGGGAATCCTTTCCTCATTGCTTGTTTTTCTCAGGTTTGTCAAAGATCAGATAGTTGTAGATACACGTCGTTATTTCTGAGGGCTCTGTTCTGTTCCATCGATCTATATCTCTGTTTTGGTACCAGTACTCTGCTGTTTTGGTTACTGTAACCTTGTAGTATAGTTTGAAGTCAGGTAGTGTGATACCTCCAGCTTTGTTCTTTTGGCTTAGGATTGACTTGGTGATGCGGGCTCTTTTTTGGTTCCATATGACCTTTAGAGTAGCTTTTTCCAATTGTGTGAAGAAAGTCATTGGTAGCGTGATGGGGATGACATTGAATCCATAAATTACCTTCAGTGGTAGGGCCATTTTCACGATATTGATTCTTCCTACCCATGAGCATGGAATGTTCTTCCATTTCTTTGTATCCTCTTTTATTTCCTTGAGCAATGGTTTGTAGTTCTCCTTGAAGAGGTCCTTCACGTCCCTTGTAAGTTGGATTCCTAGGTATTTTATTCTCTTTGAAGCAATTGTGAATGGGAGTTCACTCATGATTTGGCTCTCTGTTTGTCTGTTGTTGGTGTATAAGAATGCTAGTGATTTTTGTACATTGATTTTGTGTCCTGAGACTTTGCTGAAGTTGCTTATCAGCTTAAGGAGATTTTGGGCTGAGACAATGGGGTTTTCTAGATATACAATCATGTCGCCTGCAAACAGGGACAATTTGACTTCCTCTTTTCCTAATTGAATAACTTTTATTTCCTTTTCCTCCCTGATTGCCCTGACCAGAACTTCCAACTCTATGTTGAATAGGAGTGATAAGAGATGGCATCCCTGTCTTGTGCCAGTTTTCAAAGGGAATGCTTCCAGTTTTTGCCCATTCAGTATGATATTGGCTGTGGGTTTGTCATAGATAGCTCTTATTATTTTGAAATACATCCCATCAATACCTAATTTATTGAGAGTTTTTAGTATGAAGGTTGTTGAATTTTGTCAAAGACCTTTTCTGCTTCTATTGAGATAATCATGTGGTTTTTTTTCTTTGGCTCTGTTTATATGCTGGATTACATTTATTGATTTGTGTATATGGAACCAGCCTTGGATCCCAGGGATGAAGCCCACTTGATCATGGTAGATAAGCTTTTTGATGTACTGCTGTATTCCTTTTGCCAGTATTTTATTGAGGATTTTTATATCAAGGTTTATCAAGGATATTGATCTAAAATTCTCTTTTTTGGTTGTGTCTCTGCCTGGCTTTGGTATCAGGATGATGCTGGCCTCATAAAATGAGTTAGGAAGGATTCACTCTTTTTCTATTGATTGGAATAGTTTCAGAAGGAATGGTACCAATTCCTCCTTGTACCTCTGGTAGAATTTGGCTGTGAATCTCTCTGGTCCTGGACTCTTTTTGGTTGGTAAGCTGTTGCTTATTGCCACAATTTCAGCTCCTGTTATTGGTCTATTCAGAGATTCAACTTCTTCCTGGTTTAGTCTTGGGATGGTGTATGTGTCAAAGAATTTATCCATTTCTTCTAGATTTTCTAGTTTATTTGCATAGAGGTGTTTGTAGTATTCTCTGATGGTAGTTTGTATTTCTGTGGGATCTGTGGTGATATCCCCTTTATCATTTTTTATTGTGCCTATTTGATTCTTCTCTCCTTTTTTCTTTCTTAGTCTTGCTAGTGGTCTATCAATTTTGTTGATCCGTTCAAAAAACCAGCTCCTGGATTCATTAATTTTTTGAAGGGTTTTTTGTGTCTCTATTTCCTTCAGTTCTGCTCTGATTTTAGTTATTTCTTGCCTTCTGCTAGCATTTGAATGTGTTTGCTCTTGCTTTTCTAGTTCTTTCAATTGTGATGTTAGGGTGTCAATTTTGGATCTTTTCTGCTTTCTCTTGTGGGCATTTAGTGCTATAAATTTCCCTCTACACACTGCTTTGAATGCATCCCAGACATGCATTGTATGTTGTGTCTTTGTTCTCGTTGGTTTCAAATAACATCTTTATTTCTGTCTTCATTTCATTATGTACCCAGTAGTCATTCTGGAGCAGATTGTTCACTTTCCATGTAGTTGAACAGTTTTTAGTGAGATTCTTAACGCTGAGTTCTAGTTTGATTGCACTGTGGTCTGAGAGATAGTTTGTTATAATTTCTGTTCTTTTACATTTGCTGAGGAGAGCTTTACTTCCAAGTATGTGGTCAATTTTGGAATAGGTGTGGTGCTGAACAAAATGTATATTCTGTTGATTTGGGGTGGAGAGTTCTGCAGATGTCTATTACGTCCACTTGGTGCAGAGCTGAGTTCAATTCCTGGGTGTCCTTGTTGACTTTCTGTCTCGTTGATCTGTCTAATGTTGACAGTGTGGTGTTAAAGTTTCCCATTATTATTGTGTGGGAGTCTACGTCTCTTTATAGGTCACTCAGGACTTGCTTTATAAATCTGGGTGCTACTGTATTGGGTGCATATGTATTTAGGATAGTTAGCTCTTCTTGATGAATTCATCCCTTTACCAGTATGTAATGGCCTTCTTTGTCTCTTTTGATTTTTGTTGGTTTAAAGTCTATTTTATCAGAGACTAGGATTGCAACTCCTGTCTTTTTTTGTTTTCCATTTGCTTGGAAGATCTTCCTCCATCCTTTTATTTTAAGCCTATGTGTGTCTCTGCACGTGAATTGGGTTTCCTGAATACAGCACACAGATGGGTCTTGACTCTTTATCCAATTTGCCAGTCTGTGTCTTTTAATTGGAGCATTTAGTCCATTTACATTTAAAGTTAATATTCTTATGTGTGAATTTGATCCTGTCATTACGATGTTAGCTGGTTATTTTGCTCGTTAGTTGATGCAGTTTCTTCCTAGTCTCGATGGTCTTTACATTTTGGCATGATTTTGCAGTGGCTGGTAGCGGTTGTTCCTTTCCATGTTTAGCACTTCCTTCAGGAGCTCTTTTAGGGCAGGCCTGGTGGTGACAAAATCTCTCAGCATTTGCTTGTCTGTAAAGTATTTTACTTCTCCTTCACTTATGAAGCTTAGTTTGGCTGGATATGAAATTCTGGGTTGAGAATTCTTTTCTTTAAGAATGTTGAATATTGACCCCCACTCTCTTCTGGCTTGTAGGGTTTCTGCCGAGAGATCCGCTGTTAGTCTGATGGGCTTCCCTTTGAGGGTAACCCGACCTTTCTCTCTGGCTGCCCTTAACATTTTTTCCTTCTTTTCAACTTTGGTGCATCTGACAATTATGTGTCTTGGAGTTGCTCTTCTCGAGGAGTATCTTTGTGGCGTTCTCTGTATTTCCTGAATCTGAACGTTGGCCTGCCTTGCTAGATTGGGGAAGTTCTCCTGGATAATATCCTGCAGAGTGTTTTCCAACTTGGTTCCATTCTCCCCATCACTTTCAGGTACACCAATCAGACATAGATTTGGTCTTTTCACATAGTCCCATATTTCTTGGAGGCTTTGCTCATTTCTTTCTATTCTTTTTTCTCTAAACTTCCCTTCTCACTTCTTTTCATTCATTTCATCTTCCATCGCTGATACCCTTTCTTCCAGTTGATCGCATTGGCTCCTGAGGCTTCTGCATTCTTCTAGTAGTTCTGGAGCCTTGGTTTTCAGCTCCATCAGCTCCTTTAAGCACTTCTCTGTATTGGTTATTCTAGTTGTACATTCTTCTGAATTTTTTTCAAAGTTTTCAACTTCTTTGCCTTTGGTTTGAATGTCCTTCCGTAGCTCAGAGTAATTTGATCGTCTGAAGACTTCTTCACTCAGTTCGTCAAAGTCATTCTCCATCCAGCTTTGTTCCGTTGCTGGTGAGGAACTGCGTTCCTTTAGAGGAGGAGAGGCGCTCTGCTTTTTAGAGTTTCTAGTTTTTCTGTTCTGTTTTTTTCCCCATCTTTGTGGTTTTATCTACTTTTGGTCTTTGATGATGGTGATGTACAGATGGGTTTTTGGTGTGGATGTCCTTTCTGTTTGTTAGTTTTCCTTCCAACAGACAGGACCCTCAGCTGCAGGTCTGTTGGAGTACCCTGCCGTGAGAAGTGTCAGTGTGCCCCTGCTGGGGGGTGCCTCCCAGTTAGGCTGCTCGGGAGTCAGGGGTCAGGGACCCACTTGAGGAGGCAGTCTGCCCATTCTCAGATCTCCAGCTCTGTACTGGGAGAACCGCTGCTCTCTTCAAAGCTGTCAGACAGGGCCATTTAAGTCTGCAGAGGTTAATGCTGTCTTTTTGTTTGTCTGTGCCCTGCCCCCAGAGGTGGAGCCTACAGAGGCAGGCAGGCCTCCTTGAGCTGTGGTGGGCTCCACCCCGTTGGAGCTTCCGGGCTGCTTTGTTTACCTAAGCAAGCCTGGGCAATGGTGGGCGCCCCTCCCCTAGCCTCGCTGCTGCCTTGCAGTTTGATCTCAGACTGCTGTGCTAGCAATCAGCGAGACTCCGTCGGCATAGGACCCTCGGAGCCAGGTGCGGGATTTAATCTCGTGGTGCGCCGTTTTTTAAGCCTGTCGGAAAAGCGCAGTATTAGGGTGGGAGTGACCCGATTTTCCAGGTGCCGTCTATCACCCCTTTCTTTGACTAGGAAAGGGAACTCCCTGACCCCTTGTGCTTCCCGAGTGAGGCAATGCCTCACCCTGCTTCGGCTCATGCAAGGTGTGTGCACCCACTGACTTGTGCCCACTCTCTGGCACTCCCTAGTGAGATGAACCCGGTACCTCAGAGGCAAATGCAGAAATCACCCTTCTTCTGGGTCGCTCATGCTGGGAGCTGTAGACCGGAGCTCTTCGTATTCGGCCATCTTGGCTCCTCCCTGGCTCAGTTTTTTTTAAAAGACAAAACCCTTTACTTATTAAAGGGAAGAGTGAGCTTTCCAAATGATCTGTCTCTTGTTTTTTTCTTCACTTCTTGATAGTCTGTTCACAAAGCAAACAAAAATTTTTTATTATTTATATATTTATTTACTTATTTATTTTTGAGACAGGATCTCTCTCTGTCACCCAGGCTGGAGTGCAGTGGCATGATCTTGGCTCACTGTAATCTTCACTTCCTGGGTTCAAGCAATTCTCCTGCCTCAGCCTCCTGAGTAGCTGAGACTACAGGTGACCACCGCCATGCCTGGCTAATTTTTGTACTTTCATTAGAGATGAGGTTTCACCATATTGGCCAGACTGGTCTCAGACTCCCAACCTCAGGTGATCTGCCCACCTCGGCCTCCCAAAGTGTTGGGATTACAGGTGTTAACATTACATGAAAATATTGCTGAGAGAGAACAAAATTTTATCCATCCATTAGTCTATTATTCATGTCATCCCATTTTTTTAAATGAAACGTTATATGCAAATGTATTCAATTTTTATCCGTTTGACAGTGAGGTGAAATTCTTACAAGCCTTTTATAAACCTGTAGAAATATTCGTTAAAAAGCAGATCAGTGCAATAAGAAATGCTTGGCTTCCAATGTTCAATGTATGGGAAAACCAAATAATATCTTTTTGAATTTAGTCAGTATGTTTATACACATAATTTATTTTACAAGATTAAGTTTTACAAGCCATCCACTACTTGTTTTCACTTTTGCTTTATCTTATCTAATTTAACATAATCCTTTAGCTTCAAACTAGGCAAAAATTTATATTCCCATGCCATCTTATAATGTTTTACTAAAAACATATTTACTTTCCTTGTACACATTGCATGTAAATTTACTTTCAGTAGTCTCAGTTATATGTTATAATGGTAACTCTTAGCAATTTTTAATTTTGATGTAAAACCTGATAAGTTACTTTAAGTATGTAGTAGATGCAGATAAGGCCAGACTATTTCCAGCATAGTTAGGGTGTTGTTAACTTCATATGTCCCCAGGCCTTACCCAAACTGTAAAGAAAACAAGTTAAAAATTTTCAAAAGACAAAGAAGCCCCTTTGACCTCAAAGCACTTAGCAAACCTAGTTTCTGACCTGCATAATTTATACCACATGTGCACATTATGAGACATTCTTATTTTACCGATAATCTTAAATTCAAAGATCAAAGTCATATGAGCTAAAAGCATTATAGCTTTATTTTCTTTAAAAATATTTTATTTAGGTTATTATTTTCTCCTTAAGCCAATCAATTAAAACTCATTTTAATATAAACATTATACATAGAACACACATATAACTACACAAACAGACAAGAGATAATACAGTCATTGCAAGACCTTTTTTTTATTGCCAATCTCCTGAATGGACTACTGGTTACAGGGTGGATCTCTCCAAGAAACAAAAGCTGATTTTGAGAGGAATCTTCTCCTTTTAATTTCTGGGGTTCTGGAGTTCTATGAAAAACACCCTCATGTGGCACCCTTTTGTCCAAAACTTTGGTTTGAAAACCTAAAAGGCAAAGCTGAATCTGAGTGACCCAGAGGCAGATGATGGTGTAGGCCTCGGGCCACTTTCGTGGAACAAGAGGGACCAGGGAGATCTTTACTTTGAGGTAAAAGCAGGAGGATTAATGAGTGCACTCAGATGCAGTGGACTTAACATCCAAACACTGGGCCCAGAACAAAGACAGCACTTGACTTTTACATACATTTTAAAAGGGGGTGTGGGCTAGCTTGCAGTAGGCTTACAGTGGCATGAAAGCAAGCATACAGAAACAGAACAAAGACAGTTAATCAAATTGTGACAGTTTCATAACTCAGAATTACACATGACAGTTCCTAGGGAGAGAAAAGAAGTTTTGAAATTGGGGAACTGCCAAAAAAAACCCACCTGTACCCTCACATGGAAAAACTACGTTGAATCCTGACATGGTGGAGGAAAAAAGCACTTAACTGCAGGGGTGCTCTTCCAAGGCAGCCCCCTTTTTAGCAGCAGTCAGTATTTGATTAAAAGGTAATATAACATTCTTTCCAGGAGAGTTCAAATACTTAGATTAAATTCTGGAAGGCTTCCATATACCTGTCAAGGTCATCTGAAAACTTGTTGAGTTCACACCTAATTTGCCTTAAGTCATATAGAGTAAAGGAGACCTTGATTTTAGTGGGTCCATATTCACCAGACATCTGTTGTAGGGACAGAAGACAAAGACCTGCCTAAAATGAGAATTTCTAGAATGGAACAAATTTGAGAGAAAACCTGAATAGGAAGGAATGGAGAGAGTTGACTACCCCACTGAAGGTACCTCTTGGGTTTGCTTCCCTAAGTCCCTGAATTTTTCCCTTGCAGCCTCTCCTGATGTGGCCACCAGGAGGGCCAAATTAATCCTACAATGTTGGCAAAGGTCTAGATAACCCTGCAAGGTAAAGAAAGTCTGCACGTATGGGATCTTGGACCATTTGCCTTCACATTTACAGAGAAAGTCCAGCTTCAGGATGGTATTTAAATTAATGCTTTTTTCCTGAGGTCTTACTTCTTTTCTGTGCCTGAAGGTGCTTGGCAATATAGCTGCAGGATGGTATTGAAATTAATGCTTTTTTCTTGAGGCCATGCTTCTTATCTGTGTCTGAAGGTGCTTGGAAAAATTTGACAACCAAGGAAATGACAAGAAAGTTTTCACCACAAACTTATGTATAAATACCAAGAAACACTTTTTTTAATCTGTGCTACTCTTAACCTTCCATTTTCTACTCCTGATGACTAAACCAAATTCTCATTCTATCGGGTAATGTACCTGTGGTTTGCAACAACATTCTTAAGATTGTAGGTAGAGAAGAAAATCACAGCCACAGCAGTCAAGGAAGGAAAGAACGAAGGAAGGAAGGAAGGAAGAAGGTAGGAAGGAAGGAAGGAAGGAAGGAAGGAAGAAGGAAGGAAGGAAGGAAGGAAGGAAGGAAGGAAGGAAGGAAGGAGGGAAGGAAGAAAATGGAGGGTGGGAGGGAGGTTAATAAAAAAGGCTGAAGGCAACAAGAAGGTGAGAAGGGCTGTGACCCTCTGGGGAGGGCCAACACATTGTATCAACACATTGAGGGGCTGTTTACTGGAGTCAGTCAAGGTATGGCCTTGGCCAGATGTATTCAGTTGCCCTAATACCTTATTCTGATTCCACACAATGGCTAGAACTCTGTAAAGGTAAACTGATTTGAAAAAAAGAGAAAAAAGCCAACATTCCCAACACCTGAGGGTTATGGGGGATTAACAGTGTTTTCCTCAGCAAGCCTGTCCTCCCTGTCTTAAGTCAGGCAGCTTTGCCAGTTGCTTTTAACTGACAAACAGAGGACCTGTATTTTTCTTTTATTTTTGGCTATTGTGATGTTTAGGACAGAAAGCAACAAGTTTGCTTTTATTTGCCATTCTACAAATCCCAGATGAGTCTGCCAAAGGATTTTTGGAGTGTTGCTTTATCATCTAGAAATCTCCGTGACTGGTGGTACCTTCTGCCTGAGTATCACTCAGGTACCTTCTGCCTGAGTATCACTCATGCCACTTGGCTTGTTCTGCCCATTAAGCCCAGCAGGCTGTGCTTAAGTTGCACTGCTGGCCCAGATTCCACACCTGCTACATCAATCCAGCCATGAAGTGGCAAGGGATATGTAAGTGAGCACACATGGGGTCCTGCTGTGGCAGGACAGGCAGCTCCTGGTGCTGGCACATGTGCCAGCTCTGTGCAAGGCTGTAGCTACATGTATTTACATGTAGTTACATGTATACTGCATGTAACTTTCACTGTGGGCACCCACGTTTAGACAAGGGGAACATGGCCACCAAAAGCTTGGAGATGCCAGAAACCACAGAGGCCAAAGAGATTTTACAGCCCTGGCTTGTGAAGACCCTTGGTCTGGGCTTCCCAGAGGGCCACCTATTTTCTCACCTTCTTGTTACCTGCAACATGGTGAGTGGAAGTGGATGTGTTTTAGTCATTTATGTTACAGCCGTTTTAATCCCACCACTCAGCGGGTCCCAGGTTCTTGTCCTGCATCCAGGAAGAGTAAGTAATGAGAATAACTGGAGAGTGAGCAAGGCAGTGAGGAGATTCACTGAGTAATGGAACAACTCTCCAGAGACCTGAAATGGATAGTTTCTTTCAGCAGGCAGGTCATCCTGACAGGTGTCCAGCTCTCAGCAGAGAGGAGACCCACAATATGTATATCCTTTTGGTGGGCATATTGTCCCAATGTCTGTTCTAGTCTGGTGGAGTCTGGGGTTTTTATGGGCTCAGCATGGAGAAAGTGCATGCTGACTGGTCCATGGATGGTCATGGGTGGGCCCAGAAAAAGCATCATAAGTTCTCACTCTGGGTTGCTGACTCCACCCAAAGTTTATAAGTAAGCCCAACCCCCCACTTCAGGCTGTTCCTTGTTTGAAGGTGGAGTTTCACGGGAGATCCACTCCTTTCCACCCAGTAACCCGTCTGCCTCCCATCATGAACATACCATTCCCGCCATGCAGGCTGTTCATGCCAACAGGTGCTTGTAGACCCACACCAAGCTGCCCTTAGCCTCCCTGGACTCTCTCTCATGCTTGTCAGTGCCCAAAGTTTGGAGGGTGTTAAGGCTACAAGAGTCTAGCATGTCAGCACCACCCTGTGTGTGCAAACTTGGCCAGGTTATAATGGCACCCAGCCGCAGCCACAATTTTCCTCCAAAATCAGAGCAGACACCAGGAGTGGAGAAATGCCAGACAGTGGGAGCAGGCCCTACTGAACCTGCAGGAAAAAAGAGGGAAACCCTCATCCCTCAAGAGTACCTGGATTCCTGGATCTGGATCTGTGGCTGGACAGCTGCAGCTGTGCCCAGGAGCATGGGACTTCCACCCCTCTAACTTGGTAAAAGGTGAGGTTCCCACATATCCTTGGCTCTCACTGGCTCCATGAAGCATGCAACCCCTGCCATACATCCTCATGAAGCTGGTGCCTTCACATAAACAACACCACATGGGCCACCACTGCCATCACTGGGTCCAGCAATATCTCACAACATCCCCTGAGTGGAGGGACCATGCAGATAGGTCACATTACCTAGGTAAACTCCTTACAGATATGACACAATGTCCTCCCTGGATAGGACCCAGAAAGAGGAGGAGAGTCACATATCTTAGGGGCTGGACCCAGCTCTATGCCACATTTTCCCACATGGGTGTGGCCCAGGCATGAGATGAGAATCATATAACCTATGTGCTAGGGTTGGCAATATGTCACAATACTCCCTGAGTAAAGGGCTCAGGCATGAGAGCCACATCACCTAGGTGAAGGCTCAGAGATATGTCACTATGTACTCTGTGGGCAGGGCTTAATAAGAAACGGACAGTCACATATCCTAGGGGCTAGGCCAAACAACACGTTATGATCCCCACTGTGAACAAGTCCTAAAAAGGAAATGAGAGTCATACCATCTAGGAAATGACCACACCAATAAGTGACAATGACCGCTGTGAGTAGGGACCAGGTGACATAGCACATCATCTGTGTGCAGGTCCCAGTGACAACTCATTGTCCTTTCCGTGGACATGGACTAAGCAACAGAGGAGAGTTGAATTATCTATCTAGGTGTTGGGCCAAGAGATATGTAACAATCTCTCCTATGGGGAAAGCCAAGTAAGAGAAAAGAGTTATGCCAAATAGTTTATGGGCCCAGGATATGTCACAATGCCCCATCTAAGCAGGGCCAGGCATCAGATTGACATTACCTTGGTGCTGAGCCCACATATATGTCACATTGCAATCAGAGAATAGGTTCCAGAAACAAGAGTAATGGTACCTTTCAGTTGAGCCCAGTGATATGTCACTGTCTGTCCTTAGAACAGAACCTAGGAAGAAGTCACATCAGCTAGGTGTTTGGCCAAATATGTCACAATTTCCCCTAGGCAGAAGAAGACAGTCAGATCACCTGGGTGATGGGTGCAGAGCTATGCCATAATGCCCTCTGTATGCAGGGTTCAGGCAGGAGGGTTATATTGTCTCAGAGCTGGACCAAGCA
Source organism: Homo sapiens (assembly GCF_000001405.40). Taxonomy (NCBI): domain Eukaryota; kingdom Metazoa; phylum Chordata; class Mammalia; order Primates; family Hominidae; genus Homo; species Homo sapiens. Next base: position 21,059,877 of record NC_000024.10, read on the forward strand.
ATATGACACAGTGGCCCATGGTGGCAAGACCAGGCAGGAGACTTACATTATCTGGGTGTGGAATGCAGAGATATGTCAAAATTCCACCAGTGAAGAGCACCAAGGCAGGAGAGGAGACTCATATCAACTAAAGAGTAAGCCCAGTGGTATGTCACAATGTCCTTTGTGGGCAATACCAACGAATAAAAACAGAGTCACATCCCCGAAGTGCTGGGCTCAGCGATTTGAAGCAAAACCATCTGTGGGCTTAGCCCACACAGGACACTCAAATCACTAAGGTGCTAGACAGAAGCATGTCACAATGGTACCTGCAGGAGGCTTTAAGTGATGGTACTAATGATCCCACAAATGTCTTGATTTCATGCATGAGGGTGAATTTTCTTGTATGTTGGATCTAAGTATACTAGTCACAATCTCAATAGTGGACTTAATCTGGCCATAAAAGCCTCAACCTCTCCTGCAGACTTTGTCTCCTTCAGGGAGCCACAGCCACACACAGCACACACAGTGTGCTGAATTTTTGTTTGAGGGTGACCAACCTAACCATGGACTGGAATGATGTATGAGAGTAAGTTTTTAAACTTTTGACTGCCTTTTGACTGCAAACTTTTGGCTGTTAGATATAAAACCTCATCAATGGGCCGCGTTCCCGTGGGAGAATGAAAATCTTTGCTGTTGGCTGGATGTGCATATGAATGCACAATTCCACCTGTGTGCTGGGTTCCATAAACTTTCTACACTATCTGAAAGCTTTATACAATATAAATGAGAGTCTGGGCTGGGTGCAGTGGCTCGTGCCTGTAATCCCAGCACTTTGGGAGGTCGAAGTGGATGGATCACCTGAGGTCAGTAGTTCAAGACCAGCCTGGCCATCATGGTGAAACTCCATCTCTACTAAACATACCAAAATTTAGCTAGGTGTAGTGTTGGGTGCCTGCAATCCCAACTACTCAGAAGGCTGAGACAGGAGAATCACTTGAACCCGGGAGGCAGAGGTTGCAGTGAGCCAAGATCATACCATTGCACCCGAGCCTGGGCAACAAGATTGAAACTCTGTCCTGAAAGAAAAGAAAAAATAAAAAAGAGTCTCGATGTGTTCTGAAGCCTTTTTACTGGTATGGACACATAAACTCAGCTGTGTCCAGCACAGATATGAGAGTCAACGTCTCTCCAATTGACTCGGTCCTCTCTCCAATTGACTTGGTCCAAATAAGAGGGTCTTTACCTGCCTGTGAGCTGGGTTTAGAAATAGGTTATATTTCAACTGTGGCTATATGTTCACATATGACAGTCACAGTTTTAACTGTGGACTCTTTCTGCATGTGATATTCAGAACCCCCACAATGGATTGTGAGAATGACTATTATAATGCCAACTTTATCAGTTGGCAATGTGCAAACATAAGAAACCCGATTGTGGCCAGGTGCAGTGGCTCACATCTGTAATCTCAGCACTTTGGGAGGCTGAGGCTGGCAGAGCATCTGAGTTCAGGAGTTTGAGACCAGCCTGGCCAATATGGTAAAACCCCGCCTCTACTAAAAATCCAAAAAAAAAAAAAAAAAAAAAAAAAAAAAAAAAAATTAGCCAGGCATTTTGGTGTATGGCTGCAATCCCAGCTACTTGCAAAGCTGAGGCAGGAGAATCACTTGCAACATGGGAGTCAGAGTTTGCAGTGACCTGAGGTCACACCATTGCACTCTAGCCTGGGTGATAAGTGTGAAACTCCATCTCAAAAAGGAAAAGAAAATAAAAGAAAAAACACAATCTCAACTACGCACCAGGATTCATGATGACACTCTCTGTACCAAATAAGAACTTTATACTACGTACTAGAGAGTGGTAATCTTCTATGACCTTCATATATACATGCTCTCTGGTTATTTTCCAGACTTGTTGACCTCTCTTCATAGTGTTATTGGTCTCCATATTTCCATTTTCTTTCCTCAGTGGCTGATACTGATTAATCAGTAATCTCAGAACCTGTTTGGCATGTAGCATGCAGCATATGAGAATAAGTGTCTATTGTCAGTTCTGGGTCTAGCGTACCTTTAACTGTAGCAGTTTCTATGTGACCGACTACATTTACAACATAAGCTGAATTACAGACAATGTTGGTAGGATCTGCAGCTGTGAGCTGTAAAATCTGAATGACTGCAGTTAGCACTGAGAATTGAGCTGAAGCCCCAGAGGGCATTATTGTTTGAGTATGTTTAGGTCCATAGAGAGTGGCACGACCTTTAGAAGAGCCATCAGTAAAATAAGTCTGTCCACCTGGAATAGGCTTGTGATGAGTAATCACAGGAAGAATGAAAGAATGGAATTCATAAAACTACAAAATTTTGTCTGAGGGATAATGAAAGCAAAGGTTTCTGCAGGTGTAGCTGGGAGGCATGCCATTGCTAAAGCATTTGTTCTACAAGCTGCAACTCCAAATTCTGCCTCTTTGGCCAACTGCCATGGGAAATTTAGTGAAGAGTCTCCTGGCAGGGTTTAACCTTTCTTTCCAGTTATTGATATTGGGTTAGGGTTTCCTTGTAGGAATTTCTCTAAATATTTTCCACTCTGATGTCCCATGTCCTTCAACATTTTAAATCCTAGGTTATCAAAGTTTTCATTTGTAAGTCTCATATCCCATGCTGTAAGTAAGTCTTGACCCCATAAATTGATAGCTATATTTGCAACATAAGGCTGAAAAGTACACCATTGTCCGTCTGGACCAGGAAAAGGTAAAATCTCAGCACTCTGTTAAACACTTTGAGCTGTTCCTACTCCCGCTAAGGATGTAGAAGTTAATTGTAATGGCCAGGATGGGGGCCGATTGTCTTTAGATATTATTGACACATCAACTCCCGTATCCATAAGCCCCCAAATTTATTTCCTTTAATTTGCACTACACAGGTGGGCCTATCAGAGGCTATCGGTTGGGATGGATAGATTTCCCATGTAGTTGTGCTGCTAAACCGTTTATTCTCTTGTTTCTCCTTTCATGGAGGAGGGTGTAATTTGCAGGGAATAAACAATAATTGAGCAACATATTCTCCTGGTTCAAAAACCCAAAGATCTTGTTGTTGTACCCAAGCGAGTTAGAGGAACACCACACTTTGAGACAAATTTAAGAGTCCTTTATTAGCCAGTGAGAGAGAGACGGCTAACGTTTGGAATTCTCTTGGCCCCGAGGAAAAGGCTTGCTTTTCCTTTATACTTTGGTTTAGGAAGGGGAGGGGAGCTCAGTTGCAACAATTCTACAGAAGTGAAAACATGCGAAAAACTTAAAAAGACAAATGGTTACAGGGAAGACAACAGTTCCAGGTGCAGGGGCTCTAAATCTATCATAAGATGTTAGGTATGGGGGCTCTGCCAGACAGAAACTCAAGGCGTTATGGTGTTATCTCTTGAGCAAAATCCTGGGAACTTTGTACATTGCTTGCTTCAGTACCTTATCAGTTAATTGGACTCTTTGATATGTTGAGAGTCAGCTTACACAAGTGAACTCCTTGAGGAAGGGGGTGGGTAAGGAGTCCTTGACGTCTTGTAAATGAAGGAGCCAAATGGAGTTCATCAGGCTTTCTCAGTCAAGGGAGAGCTTATACATGTGGAAACAAGGCTAGGTGATTAAGGGAGAAAGGGAGAGTCTAAAAGCAAGGTTAGTAAAAACAAGGTTAGGTATTACACTATAATCAGCAATATAATTGTCAAGTAACATAATCAGTTAGGTAAGATTGTTAATGTTATGCTAGCATAATATTGATAGTGACAAAATCTTGAATTTAAAAATGTCAAAATCTTTCAATTTTTTTGAAGGGAAGACTTGCAATGCACCCTTAAAGTGAGATGTAACTTTTTTCTTATAGAAAAGTTAAAACAGGGTGGAGGAGCCAAGATGGCCAAATAGGAACAACTCCAGTCTACAGCTCCCAGCGTGAGTGATGCAGAAGATGGGTGATTTCTGCATTTCCATCTGAGGTACCGGGTTCATCTCACTAGGGAGTGCCAGACAGTGGGCACAGGTCAGTGGGTGCATACACTATTTGTGAGCCGAAGCAGGGCGAGGCATTGCCTCACTTGGGAAGCGCAAGGGGTCAGAGAGTTCCCTTTCCTAGTCAAAGAAAGGAGTGATAGACAGCACCTGGAAAATCGGTCACTCCCACCCAAATACTGCACTTTTCCAAAGGGCTTAAAAAACGGCCCACCAGGAAATTATATCCCCAACATGGCTGGGAGGATCCTATACCCACGGAGTCTCTCTGCTTGCTAGCACAGCAGTATGAGATCAAACTGCAAGACAGCAGCGAGGCTGGGGGAGGGATGCCCGCCGTTGCCCAGGCTTGCTTAGGTAAACAAAGCAGCAGGGAAGCCCGAACTGGGTGGAGCCAACCACAGCTCAAGGAGGCCTGCCTGCCTCTGTAGGCTCCACCTCTGGGGGCAGGGCACAGACAAACAAAAAGACAGCAGTAACCTCTGCAGACTTAAATGGCGCTGTCTGACAGCTTTGAAGAGAGCAGTGGTTCTCCCAGCATGAAGGTGGAGATCAGAGAATGCGCAGACTGCCTCCTCAAGTGAGTTCCTGACCCCGGACCCCGAGCAGCCTAACTGGGATGCACCCCCCAGCAGGGGCAGACTGACGCCACATGTGGTGGGGTACTCCAAGGGACCTGCAACTGAGGGTCCTGTCTGTTAGAAGGAAAACTAACAAACAGAAAGGACATCCACACCAAAAACCCATCTGTACATCACCATCATCAAAGACCAAATGTAGATAAAACCATGAAGATGGGGAAAAAAACAGAACAGAAAAACTGGAAACTCTAAAATGCAGAGCAACTCTCCTCCTCTAAAGGAGTGCAGTTCCTCACCAGCAATGGAACAAAGCTCAACAAAGAATGACTTTGACGAGCTGAGAGAAGAAATGTTCAGATGATCAAACTACTCTGAGCTATGGAAGGACATTCAAACCAAAGGCAAAGAAGTTGAAAACTTTGAAAAAAATTCAGAAGAATGTACAACTAGAATAACCAATACAGAGAAGTTCTTAAAGGAGCTGATGGAGCTGAAAACCAAGGCTCCAGAACTACTAGAAGAATGCAGAAGCCTCAGGAGCCAATGCGATCAACTGGAAGAAAGGGTATCAGCGATGGAAGATGAAATGAATGAAAGGAAGTGAGAAGGGAAGTTTAGAGAAAAAAGAATAGAAAGAAATGAGCAAAGCCTCCAAGAAATATGGGACTATGTGAAAAGACCAAATCTATGTCTGATTGGTGTACCTGAAAGTGATGGGGAGAATGGAACCAAGTTGGAAAACACTCTGCAGGATATTATCCAGGAGAACTTCCCCAATCTAGCAAGGCAGGCCAACGTTCAGATTCAGGAAATACAGAGAACGCCACAAAGATACTCCTCGAGAAGAGCAACTCCAAGACACATAATTGTCAGATGCACCAAAGTTGAAAAGAAGGAAAAAATGTTAAGGGCAGCCAGAGAGAAAGGTCGGGTTACCCTCAAAGGGAAGCCCATCAGACTAACAGCGGATCTCTCGGCAGAAACCCTACAAGCCAGAAGAGAGTGGGGGTCAATATTCAACATTCTTAAAGAAAAGAATTCTCAACCCAGAATTTCATATCCAGCCAAACTAAGCTTCATAAGTGAAGGAGAAGTAAAATACTTTACAGACAAGCAAATGCTGAGAGATTTTGTCACCACCAGGCCTGCCCTAAAAGAGCTCCTGAAGGAAGTGCTAAACATGGAAAGGAACAACCGCTACCAGCCACTGCAAAATCATGCCAAAATGTAAAGACCATCGAGACTAGGAAGAAACTGCATCAACTAACGAGCAAAATAACCAGCTAACATCGTAATGACAGGATCAAATTCACACATAAGAATATTAACTTTAAATGTAAATGGACTAAATGCTCCAATTAAAAGACACAGACTGGCAAATTGGATAAAGAGTCAAGACCCATCTGTGTGCTGTATTCAGGAAACCCAATTCACGTGCAGAGACACACATAGGCTTAAAATAAAAGGATGGAGGAAGATCTTCCAAGCAAATGGAAAACAAAAAAAGACAGGAGTTGCAATCCTAGTCTCTGATAAAATAGACTTTAAACCAACAAAAATCAAAAGAGACAAAGAAGGCCATTACATAATGGTAAAGGGATCAATTCAACAAGAAGAGCTAACTATCCTAAATATATATGCACCCAATACAGGAGCACCCAGATTCATAAAGCAAGTCCTGAGTGACCTACAAAGAGACTTAGACTCCTACACATTAATAATGGGAGATTTTAACACCCCACTGTCAATATTAGACAGATCAATGAGACAGAAAGTCAACAAGGATACCCAGGAATTGAACTCAGCTCTGCCCCAAGTGGACCTAATAGACATCTACAGAACTCTCCACCCCGAATCAACAGAATATACTTTTTTTCAGCACCACACCACACCTATTCCAAAATTGACCACACACTTGGAAGTAAAGCTCTCCTCAGCAAATGTAAAAGAACAGAAATTATAACTAACTCTCAGACCACAGTGTAATCAAGCTAGAACTCAGGATTAAGAATCTCACTCAAAACTCCTCAACTACATGGAAACTGAACAACCTGCTCCTGAATGACTACTGGGTACATAACGAAATGAAGGCAGAAATAAAGACGTTCTTTGAAACCAACAAGAACAAAGACACAACACACCAGAATCTCTGGGACGCATTCAAAGCAGTGTGTAGAGGGAAATTTATAGCACTAAATGCCTACAAGAGAAAGCAGGAAAGATCCAAAATTGTCACCCTAACATCACAAGTAAAAGAACTAGAAAAGCAAGAGCAAACACATTCAAAAGCTAGCAGAAGGCAAGAAATAACTAAAATCAGAGCAGAACTGAAGGAAATAGAGACACAAAAAACCCTTCAAAAAATTAATGGATCCAGGAGCTGGTTTTTTGAAAGGATCAACAAAATAGATAAACCGCTAGCAAGACTAATAAAGAAAAAGAGAGAGAAGAATCAAATAGACGCAATAAAAATGATAAAGGGGATATCACCACTGATCTCACAGAAATACAAACTACCATCAGAGAATACTACAAACACCTCTATGCAAATATACTAGAAAATCTAGAAGAAATGGGTAAATTCCTCGACACATACACTCTCCCAAGACTAAACCAGGAAGAAGTTGAATCTCTGAATAGACTAATAACAGGATCTGCAATTGTGGCTATAATCAATAGTTTACTAACCAAAAAGAGTGCAGTACCAGTCAGATTCACAGCCGAATTCTTCCAGAGATACAAGGAGGAACTGGTACCATTCCTTCTGAAATTATTCCAATCAATAGAAAGGAGGGAATCCTCCCTAACTCATGTTATGAGGCCAGCACCATTCTGATACCAAAGCCGGGCAGAGATACAACCAAAAAAGAGAATTTTAGACCAATATCCTTGATGAACATTGATGCAAATATCCTCAATAACATACTGGGAAAACGAATCCAGCAGCACATCAAAAAGCTTATCCACCATGATCAAGTGGGCTTCATCCATGGGATGCAAGGCTGGTTTCATATACGCAAATCAATAAATGTAATCCAGCATATAAACAGAGCCAAAGACAAAATCCACATGATTATCTCAATAGATGTAGAAAAGGCCTTTGACAAAATTCAACAAGCCTCATGCTAAAAACTCTCAATAAATTAGGTATTGTTGGGATGTATTTCAAAATAATAAGAGCTGTCTATGAAAAACCCACAGCCAATATCATACTGAATGGGCAAAAACTGGAAGCATTCCCTTTGAAAACTGGCACAAGACAGGGATGCCATCTCTTATCATTCCTATTCAACATAGAGTTGGAAGTTCTGGCCAGGGCAATTAGGCAGGAGAAGGAAATAAAAGATATTCAGTTAAGAAAAGAGGAAGTCAAATTGTCCCTGTTTGCAGATGACATGATTGTATATCTAGAAAACCCCATTGTCTCAGCCCAAAATCTCCTTAAGCTGATAAGCAACTTCAGCAAAGTCTCAGGATACAAAATCCAAGTACAAAAATCGCAAGCATTCTTATACACCAACAACAGACAAACAGAGAGCCAAATCATGAGTGAACTCCCATTCACAATTGCTTCAAAGAGAATAAAATACCTAGGAATCCAACTTACAAGGGATGTGAAGGACCTCTTCAAGGAGAACTACAAACCACTGCTCAAGAAAATAAAAGAGGATACAAACAAATGGAAGAACAATCCATGCTCATGGGTAGGAAGAATCAACATCGTGAAAATGGCCATACTGCCTAAGGTAATTTAAAGATTTAATGCCATCCCCATCAAGCTACCAATGACTTTCTTCACAGAATTGGAAAAAACTACTTTAAAGTTCTTATGGAACCAAAAAAGAGCCCGCATTGCCAAGTCAATCCTAAGCCAAAAGAACAAAGCTGGAGTCATCACACTACCTGACTTCAAACTATACTACAAGGCTACAGTAACCAAAACAGCATGGTATTGGTACCAAAACAGAAATATAGATCAATGGAACAGAACAGAGCCCTCAGAAATAATGTCACATATCTACAACTATCTGGACTTTGACAAACCTGAGAAAAACAGCAATGGGGAAAGGATTCCCTATTTAATAAGTGGTGCTGGGAAAACTGGCTAGCCATATGTAGAAAGCTGAAACTGGATCCCTTCCTTACACCTTATACAAAAATCAATTCAAGATGGATTAAAGACTTAAATGTTAGACCTAAAACCATAAAAACCCTAGAAGAAAACCTAGGCATTACCATTCAGGATATAGGCATGGGCAAGGACTTCATGTCTAAAACACCAAAAGCAATGGCAACAAAAGCCAAAATTGACAAATGGGATGTAATTAAACTAAAGAGCTTCTGCACAGCAAAAGAAACTACCATCAGAGTGAACAGGCAACCTACAAAACGGGAGAAAATTTTCACAACCTACTCATCTGACAAAGCGCTAATATCCAGAATCTACAGTGAACTCAAACAAATTTACAAGAAAAAATCAAACAAGCTCATCAAAAAGTGGGCAAAGGACATGAACAGACACTTCTCAAAAGAAGACATTTATGCAGCCAAAAAACAGATGAGAAAATGCTCATCATCACTGGCCAACAGAGAAATGCAAATCAAAACCAGAATGAGATACCATCTCACACCATTTAGAATGGCAATCATTAAAAAGTCAGGAAACAACAGGTTTTGGAGAGGATGTGGAGAAATAGGAACACTTTTGCTCTGTTGGTGGTACAGTAAACTAGTTCAACCATTATGGAAGTCAGTGTGGCAATTCTTCAGGGATCTAGAACTAGAAATACCTTTTGACCCAGCCATGCCATTACTGGGTATATACCCAAAGGGCTATAAATCATGCTGCTATAAAGACACATGCACACGTATGTTTATTGTGGCATTATTCACAATAGCAAAGACTTGGAACCAACACAAATGTCCAATGATAGAGTGGATTAAGAAAATGTGGCACATATACAGCATGGAATACTATGCAGCCATAAAAAGTGATGAGTTCATGTCCTTTGTAGGGACATGGATGAAATTGGAAATAATCATTCTCAGTAAACTCTCACAAGACCAAAAAACCAAACACCACATATTCTCACTCGTAGGTGGGAATTGAACAATGGGATCACGTGGACACAGGAAGGGGAACATCACACTCTGGGGACAGTTGTTGGGTGGGGGGAGGGGGGAGGGATAGCATTGGGAGATATACCTAACACTAGATGACAAGTTTGTGGGTTCAGTTCACCAGCATGGCACATGTACGCATATGTAACTAACCTGCACAATGTGCACATGTACCCTAAAACTTAAAGTATTAAAAAAAAAAAACCTGAGCCATTATTTTGGTTAAATAAATGACACATGAAAACCTGGAATTTTATTTCATAAGATAAAGTGTTTTAAAACTTTAACATACTTGATAGGCTTCCCAAAATCAAATTTTAGCTTCAAAATTCTTTCTGATCCCTAACATTAGAATTCTATGGAGGGCCCCTGGAGCATCCAAAATTAAGGTAAGCAAGGTTATTATTTGACATGTTCAGTTACTTAGGATTGTCAAACTAAAAATAAAGCTTAATCCTTTCCAGGTTATATTTTAGTTAACAGTGTTAACACATATTTTTAAATCATGTGAGTCTTCCAGAATTCAAATGCTTAAGTATATTTTATTAATCATAATTAGGGTTACTATGGTAAGTTATAAATCACAGAAATGACCAAATTTATTTGTCAGTTATGTTTTTTAATGTGAATATCCTAAAACATTCTGTCACTTACCGAAAATTGTTGCCTTGTTTTGATCCTCTAGAAAATAGAATTAATAATCAGCTACAGGACTTTGACAGGAACTTGTGATTTGTTTTTCTCTGTATTTTAGACTAACTCTCTTTATTCTGAGAGCCAGTCAGTGATCTCTGACTGCAGCTCAGAACAGACAAAAGGGACGGGTAATATAAAAATGTAGATCAATATTCTAATTCTGGGCAATTATCTTACAAATCCTGCCAGGTGATGGGGGTAAATTGGATGCCCATAACCTAAAGGTTTTGTTTTTCTTTTTCTTTTTTTTTTTCCTGGGAAAATAAGGCCACAGAAGCAAACCAGGGGCAACCCAAATTCACTCAAATTTTAGCAGGCATTAATGTAGCCACTGGTTATCTGAGTACATTGGTAGCCTCAGAATTTTTGAGCTGGTATTATCCCCTTGTTTCCTTTTGATCTACGTCTTTTAACGGTCTTTTTTTTTTTTCTCACCTTCAGGCCATCAAATCTCAAATGGTAATGCTAAGAGAGCCACAAATGATGGCTCCCTCTTACTGGGTACCCTTATATAGGCCTTGTGAGAAGATCTGGCTGCCACTTTTTCCAAAACAGTGCCCCCTGTCAGCATGAAGCAGTTATTAGCACATATAATCACTATTCTAATGGCAGTTAGATGTATCTCTTCACAGGGGGAATCAACGACAGCATCCTGTCTGGAGTGGCCACTGTGAAGACTCTAGCAGAAGTGGGAGAGACACGGCTTGGGTTGCACGCCTTGTGGAGCTAGCAGAAACCAGGAACGAGTGGAAGCCCTGCCTCCTACCGAGTTGGTGGGATGGGAGCTCCATGCTCCCAGATGCAGCTGCAGCTGCCAACCATGGTTTTAGATCTACGCATCTCTGCACTTTTGGGGCCGCAGACAGCCCATTCTCCTCCCACAGGCTTAAAAGGGCCTTCTCCCACTCTCTGGCCTCTCCACACTTTTGGTTCCTGATCCAGTTTGAGAGCAAAGTTGTGGTCAAGGTCAGGAACTGCTGTAACCTGGCCAGGTGTGTGCTCAGGGAAGCACTGACACCCAGAACTCTGCCACTTTGGCCCCCTCCAGTCTCAGAGTCCCAATAAGTGCAGGAGGGGGGCTGGTGGGGAGTGAGGGCAGATTGGCATAAGCCTGAAGGTGTCCCAGAACATGAACATCCTGGGACACGTTGATGGTGGGAGGCAGGCAGGCTCCTGGGAAGAAAGCAGTGAGTCCCTGGTGAAACCCCACCTTCAAGCCAGGAATGATCTGAAGTGAAACCTGGGAATTGATTGGTTAACTCCAGGTACAGACCACAACCTGAATTAAGAAATTATGTTGCCTTTTCTTGGTTTACAGATGGCTGCCTATACACAAATCAACATGCACTTTCTCCTTTCTGAGCCCATAAACACCCCAGACTCAAACAGACACTGGGATAACCTGCCTGTGGGAAGCAGCTATCCACTGCAGGCCTCCTCTCCATTGAGACACGGACAGTCATCAGAATGATCTGCTTGTGGAAAACCATCCACTTTGGGTCTCCTGAGAGCTGTTCTGTCACTCAATGAAGGCAGACCAGGAGTGTCTGCCTTTCTCATCCTCCAGTTGTCCATGTACCCATGGGGGCAAGAACCTGCATTCTTCCTGGATGTAGGACAAGAATTGAGACCTGTTAAATGGGGGGACTAAAAAAGCTGCAACACAACTAGGGCTGAAACACGCACCCTTGCTTGCTATGTTGCAGGCAATAAGGAGAGAAGAGCTGTGGTCTTCTGCAGAGCTGGGACCTAGGGCTTCCTCAAGTCAGGGCTGTGACACCCTATTTGGGACTCTGGTTTCTGGCATCTCCAAGCTCTTGGGAACCACCACCACATTTCCATCGTCCAGATGTGGGTGCCTGCAGCAGAAACTGTGTGTGGTACATTTTGTCTAGCTACAACATCAGACAGAGCTGGCATATTATATATGCATATATATATGAATATTATATATATATATAAGATATGGCATATTATATTGTATGTATAATATAATATAAAGCCCTCAGATGGTACAGAGAACGTCCTAAAAGGGGCCCACACACAGATAAAATTCTGATTGTCATATGCACAGCCAGCCTTCATTTAAAATTGTCATCCTTCCACAGGAACACAGCCCACTGTGGAAATTATGAATCTTACAACTGTAGTCAATCAGAAGTTGGAAAATTGACTGTTGTAGGTGGAGCTGGGCCTCAGGTGGATTGGTGACTCTCAGACCTTCATTAAGTGCACCTGGAATGCTGTGAATCCATTAGGTGGACACAGTCCCCAAGATGGATTTAAGCTCTTATGCATTGATCAAGTCCACTATTGAGAAAGTGACATGTATGCTTGAACCCAATACAGGAAGTCTTGACTCTCAGACCTACAACCTGGACACATGTGAAATTGATTGTTAATCTGATTTCTGAACCTACTGGCAGGTGTGATTGTGACATACGCATCTGCCCAGCATGTGTTTTGACTATTTTTTCTGTGCCAAGCCTACATATAATATTTTGACATATCAGTGGACTTAGTACTTAGATTACATTTCTTTCTTTCTTTCTTCTCTTTCTTTCTTTCTTTCTTCTTTCTTTCTTTCTTTCTTTCTTTCTTTCTTTCTTTCTTTCTTTCTTTCTTTCTTTCTTTCTTTCTGCTTTGGCATCCCTCAAGGTGCATTAGAACATATCACTGGGTCAAACACCCAGGTGACGTAACACTTCTGTCTTAACCCTGCCTACAGGACCCATTGTGACATTCCTCTATACCTATCAAACAAGTTAGGTGACTCTCCTCTTCTGCTGGGTCTCTGCTCAAACGGGGCAGTGTGACATATCATTGGATCCAGCACCTAGCTGTTGTGACTAATTTTTTTATTGTTCCATCACGGGAGAGACTGTGAAATATCACTAGTCTAAACACCAAAATGGCACTATTCTTTTGCCTTGGTCCTAAATTCTAAAGACATTGCAACATATTGCTAAACCCAGTACTAAGTGGATATAAGTCTCCTGTCTGAAACCTGCCCACAGGGGGCATTAAAACACATCTTTAGGCCTATCAACTCTTTCATGTGAATCTTCTTTCTTACCTCAACTTTGCCCATATGGGAGATTGTAATATATCTCTGGGTCCATCAACTTTTTATGTGACTCTTCTGTCTCGTGTTCTCCCTGCCCACAGGGATTATTGTGACATATATCCAGGCCCATCACCTGATTATGTCTCTCCTCCTTTTGCTGGGATTTACCCACAGTTGGGATTGTAACATATAACTTATCTAAACACCTACCCACTGTGGTGATTCTGAGACATAACTTGGTTCAGCCATGAAGTTATGTGACTCTCCTCCTCTTTCTGAGTCCTTTGCATGGCAAGCATTGTGATAAATTTCTGAGTCCTTCATGTAAATTTTGTTAATCTTCTCTCTGGGCCCTTCTCTCAGGGATGGTTGCAATATATTGCTGCACCCAGCAATTAGTTCATGTGACTCTTCTCTATTGCTTAACCTTCCCATAAAAGGGATTGTGGCCTATCACTGGGTCCAATGCCTAGTTGGTGCAATTGCCTTCATCTGCCCTGCCCACAGCGGTATTATGACATATCATTTTGTTCCTCACCTAGGTGATGTGACTCTCTACTGCATAAACCCTGCCAAACAGGGAGGTTGTAACATATCACTAGACCCAGAACTTAAGTGACAGTATTAGCGTTCTCTAAAAGGTCAGAACCAACAAGATAGATGTGTATATGAAGGGGAGTTTGTTAGGAGTATTGGCTCACACAGTCACAAGGGGAAGTCTCACAATAGGCCGTCTGCAAGCTAAGCAGCAGGAAAGCCAGTCCAAGTCACAGAACCTCAAAAGTAGGGAAGCTAACAGTGCAGCCTTCAGTCTGTGGCTAAAGGCCTGAGAGCCTCTAGCAAACCAGTAATTTAATTCCAGGAGTTGAAAGTCTGAAGAACTTGGAGTCTGATGTTCAGGCAGGAAGCATCCAAGAAGAGAGAAAGGCAAAGACTGGAAGACTCAACAAGCCAAATCCTTCTAACTTCTGCCTGCTTTTATTCTAGTCATGCTGGCAGCTGATTAGATGGTGTCCACCCAGATTGAGGATAGGTCTGCCTCTTCCAGTGCACTGACTCAAATACTAATCTCATTTGGCAACGCCTTCACAGAAACACCCAGGATCAATACTTTTCACCCCTCAATTCAATCATATTGACATTCAGTATTAACCATCACAGTGACATAACTCTCTTTTTATCCTGCGTCCCATATTTTGATTATTTTGACATGTTTCTGAGCCAATCTCCTAGAAGATAAAAGACTCTGCCTTGGCCATGCCACAGAGGGTCTTGTGATGTATCCCTGTACCCATCTACCCAGCACCTGACTGATACAACTCTACTGTCTGGGCTTAGCCCACATATGACATTCCTTTATTTTCCTTTTTTTTCTTTTTTGAGATGGAGTCTCACTCTGTCTCCAAGCTGGAGTGCAGTGGTGTGGTCTTGGCTCACTGCAACCTCTGACTTCCCGGTTCAAGCAATTCTCCTGCCTCAGCCTCCCTAGTAGTTGGGATTACAGACATGTGCCAACCTGCCCAGCTAATTTTTTGTTTGTTTGTTACAGACGGGGTTTTACCATGTTGGCCAGGGTGGTCTCGATCTCCTGACCTTGTGACTCAGCCACCTCAGCCTCCCAAAATGCTGGGGTTACAGGTGTGAGCCCCAACATCTGGCCCACATATGGTATTCTTATAGATCACTGGACAGAGCACCTAGAATATATGACTGTATTCTACATTGGTGCTATTCACAGACGGCATTTTTATATATTGATGAGCACCACACCCAGATTATGTGACTCTCCTGCCTGTTCTCTGTACACATGGGCCAGTGTGACATATTGCTAGGTTCAACTTCCAGGTAATGTAATTCTGCTCCCTGGTTCTGCCTACAGGGGATATTGAAAGATGTGTCACCCACCAAGTTAGTGATGTGACGTTCTTTTTTCTGCCTGGTTCCTGCTTAGACTGGAGATTTTCATTTACTGCTGAACCTAGAATCTAGATGATGTGATTCTTCTATTCTTTATAGGTTCTGTCCCCAAAGAAGATTGTGACATACTGACAACACCAAGGTGATTACTGTTTTGTCTTGGCCCTTCCCTTAGAAGGCATTGTTACATATTGCTGGCCACGTAAGCAAAATGATATGAGCCCCTTTCTAGACAATGCACACATGTGACATTTTAACATACCTCTAGGCACATCAACTATTTGATGTGACTCTCCCCTCTTATCTAGGCTTTGCCCATAGTTGTGATTGTGACATATTTATGGACCCAGCATCTAGTTAACATGACTCTCCACTCCAGCATAAGCCGTGTTCACAAAAGAAACATCACTGAGCTCAGCACACAGGTGATGTGACTCCTCTGCCTGGTTCTGGATCACAGAAGTCATGACCTATCTTTGGGCCAATAACCTACAAGATATGACCCCTTGCTTCTTTCTGGGGCCTCTTCATAGTGGAGTTTGTAACATACTGGTTGATGTAATATCGACATAATGTGACTCTCCTCTTATGCCTGGGCCATGCCCACTATGGTGATTGTGGCATACATTTGGACCCAGCCACTAAGTTATGTGATTCTTTTTTTTCTCTTCGAGCCCAACCCACAAAAGCCACTGTGACATATCTCTGAGACTCTCACATACATGATGTGACTTTCTCACCTGGATTCTCCCTTCATGGGGTATTGTGACATATTGCTGGACCCGACACCTAGATGATGTGACTCTCCTATATAACTTGGGCCCCACATTCATTGTGTATTTTGACATATTCCTGGGACTTATCCCTAGGTGGTGCAACCTTATTGCATGGGTGTGGTTCACAGAGATATTATGATATATCACTGTGGCTCTCCTCTCTTATCTGTGCTGACTAAAAAAAGGAATTGTGACATACAAGTAAACCCAGCACCTAGATGTGACTCTCCTGTTTTACTTGGATCATGTATATTTTGCATATTGTGTCATATTGCTATACTAGACACTTTGGGAATGGGAGGCTCTTTCCTGAGCCCTGTGACATATCTCTGCATTCATGACTTAGGTTATGTGACTCACCTTTTCTACATTCACCATATCCACAGGAAATATTGTCACATTTTGTTGGGTCCAGCAACCAAGTAATTTGTCTCTCCTGCTTTTGTCCTGTTTTCAGAAAAGGTTTGTAAAATATTCTTGTCTGAGCACCCAGAAGATATAACTCTCCTTGCTGGTCCCTGTCCTAAGCAAAAATTGTAACATATCCCTGGCCCAGCGCCTAGAGAGCGTGACTCACCTGAGATTGTAAGATATACCTCAACACAGGTAAAATGATGACTCTCAAGCCTTGAACCATCAAAAACAAGAGACACTGTCTCTCATGGCAAGGCTTAGGGATACACTAATTTGTGTACAAAACTCATAGGGGATTACTACTCTCTCATATATCACGTAAATCCCTTGTGTAGTGCAGAGAGTAACCAGATGCAACACACAGGTAAGAGCTCATTTCTTATATGCCCACTCTGCCTACTGTTAGAATTACTGACCCACAAATGGACACAGCTCATAGGTGAGGTCATAAATCTCACATGTAGGTGCAGTCCAAGGGGGAAATTGCAACTATCATGTGTGTACATTTGTCTACTTTTGTGGTGAATCATTTCTAAAACCAGTTTATAAAAATGTGAGGAAATGTGAGGAAATGTGTGGACTCTCAAATCCAGATGCAGTAAATGGAAACGATGTTGACTGTCATAATCGGTATTAGAGCCACAGGTATAACCATGGATGCACATAAGCACAAACGTCCCAGAGTAGATTGGAATAATTATGCATATTCCATAAACCCCTTGAGTGGTACAAAGAGTGTCTTAATAGAAACCAGTGAAAAAGTAAAGAGTGTGATACTTGTATGCACAGCCACCAGACTGTAAAGATTGTCATCTTTTCAGGTGAACACAGCTCACTATTGAGGTTTGAATCTCATATCCAGGGAAACTGAAAGTTGCAAAATTGACTCCCATAAGTAGATTTGGTCCACAGGTGTGTTGGTGACTCTTAGACAAATATTCAGCACTGCTGTGAGGTTGTGACTCCAATAAGGGGAAACAGTGCACAGGTGAGATTGTGGTTCACATGCATGAATCCAGTCCATCGTCCAGTTTGTGATTTGTGTACTTACAGCCGACATACAGGAGGTGTTGACTCTCATACTTCAAACCAGGACATGTGTGGGATTTTAAAAATCTTATCATTAAACCTTCCTGCAGGTATGATAGTGACATGTGCTTTTCCCCAGCACCTGAGTAATTTGACTCTTCTGTCTGGGCTCCACCCACAGATGAGTTTGTGTCATATCACAGGATGCAGCATCCAGGTGATATGACTCTAGTCTCCTGCCTTAGCACTATTTAAGGGGGCATTGTAAACTATCACTTGGCTTTGCACGCAGGTGATGTGCCTTGGTACTGACCATGTAAGTCATTGTGACATGCACCCAAAGTATATGATGCTCTTGCCCGAGCCTTGCCAACAGAAACCATTTTGATGCATTTCTGGGTCCAACATCCAGGTTATGTAACTCTCCTTCCTTGGTCCTGCATACTGGCAGCATTGCTCCACACCTCTGCATGCATCCCTAGGTGCTGTGACCCTTTTCTCCTAAATGGTTCCTGACTGTCCTCAGTGGGTCAGTTACATATCAGTGAACCCAACATCTAGCTTATGTGATTCTTTTATTTTTCCTAGCTTCTGCTCTTAGTGGAGATTGTGACACATCACTGAGACAAATCCCAATGTGATCTCAAACTTTTACCATGGCCCTGTCCTTAGAAAACACTGTGACATATTGCTGGGCCCAGCACTAAGCTAATGTGTATCCAGGCTGGATCCTGCCAACAGGGGCCATTGTGATATATATTTGGGCTCATCAATATTTGATGTGATTTTTCTCTCTAACCTGGGCTTGCCCATTAGCGAGATTGTGACATTTTTCTGGGCACAACATTTAGGCAACCTGATTCTCCATGCTTGCCTGGGTTCTGCCCACAAACAAAAGAGTGACTTATTACTGAGCCTACTACAAACATGATGTGATTCTTCTGCTCTGCGTACAGGGGTTAGTGTGAAATCCCTCTGTGCACATCACCTAATTAATGTGACTCTCTTCTTCTGCCTTGAAACTGTCCACAGTGGAGATTCTGACATACCACTTAATTCAGCACCTAAGTGATGTGATCTTCTTCTCATGTCTAGGCTCCACTCGCAGAAGTAATTGTGATATATATCTTGCCCCAGACTCTAGGCTATGTGACTCTCCTTTCCTTCCTGAGTCCCACTTACATGGAAGATTGTCATATGTCTCTGGGCCTCTCACTTTTGTGATGTGACTGTTTTACCTGATCCCTTTTCTTAGGAGGTATTGTGACATATTGCTGGACCCAGCACCTAGGTGACAAGATCTGCTCTACTGCTTGAGCTCACCTACAAGAGGAATTGTGATGTATCCTTTGTGACAATACCTAGGAATTGTTACTCTTCTCCCAGGCCTGGGCCCTTAATATATTGTGTATTTCAATGTCTCACAGGGTCCCACACATAAAAGATGTGATTTCCTGCATAGGCCATAATCACAAGATTGTATGATATATCATTTCATTTATTACCTAGGTGATGTGACTCTTCCCTTTTACATGCATCCTGCAAAAGGGAGGATTGTGACACAATGTTGAATCCAGCACTTAGTTCATGTTTCTCTCCTCTTCTGTCTGGGCCTCATATACTTTGGGAATTGTGACATATTGTTATGCTTAACACCTAGCAGATAAGGTGTTTCCACATGGGCCATGCTCACAGAGCACCTGTGACCTACTTCTGCATTTTTCACCTAGGTTATGTGATGCTCCACTTCTGTCTGCACCCTGTCCACAGAAAGATTGTGACATATGGCCTGACCAAGCAACAAGGTGTTGTGATTGTGTTGCCTGAATTCTACTTACAGGGGAAATTGTGAAATATTTCTGGGCTCAGTATAAAAAGGTGTTCTGTATTCAAAAGGGGATTGTAACATATTCCTGGCCAAGCTCTCAGGTGATGACTCTCCTGCTTGGTCTATGCACTCAGGGAAAATTGTGACATATTCCTGGACTAGCACCCAGGTGATGAGACTCTCCTTCTTACTCTCAACCCAAAGGCAGAATTTTGTTCTGTACATAGGCCCAGCTCACAAGTATAATAATGACTGTCATATCTCAAATTAGTTGATTGAAGTGACACCATCTCATTTCAGCTAGACCGAAAGTGGGTAAGGTCCTGACTCTCCTCTTTTTAGGAAGGTCATAGAGGGTTATCATTGTCTTGCATATTGCATAAAGCTCTTGAGTCATACACAGACTGTCATAACAGTGCCCAGTACACAGGTGAGATTGTGTTTATTCTATGCACATTCTACTAGCTGTCCAAGTTGTCAAACTTTTGCATGGGCAAAACCCACTTCTGAGGTCCTGAATCTGACAAGCAGATCCAGTCCACAGTTGGAAATGAGACAATCATATATAAAAATTAGGCAAGAGTTGAGATGCTGACTCATCTTTTTTGCTTGCTTGTTTGTTTGTTTGTTGTTTGAGATGGAATCTCACTCTGTCTCCCAGGCCGGTGTGCAGAGGTGTGATTTTGGCTCACTGTAACCTCCTCCTCCTGGGTTCAAGTGATTCTTCTGCATCAGCCTCCTGAGTAGCTGGGACTACAGGGACCTGCGACCACACCTGCCTTTTTTTTTTTTTTTTTTTTTTTTTTTGTATTTTTACTGATAAAGAGTTTCATCATGTTAGTCAGGATGGTCTTGATCTCCTGACCTTGTGATCTGCCCGCCTTGGCCTCCCAAAGTGCTGGGACTACAGGCATGTGCCACCTCACCTGGCCCAGTGGTGATTTATTTTTAAACTCATATTATAGGCACCCTGAGAATTCTCATATCTGGACCTGGTCAATTACAGAGATGGTGACTTTTGTACCTCTGGTTAAAGTCACAATTAAGATTATGAGGCCATACGTGCATGAAGATCTTAGAGCAAATTGTGACTGTCATGCATACATTATAAAGCCTTATGGTGCTAAAGAGAATGTCCTAACAGGGCCCAGCAAACAGGTTATGCTGTGACTCTCATATGCACACTCAGTCAACAGTTAATTTTTTTCACATGAACTCAGTTCGCTGTTGAGGTTCTGAATCTTACACCCAAAGGCAGATGAAAATTGGAAAACTGACTCTCAACAATGGGTCTTATCCACAGGTTGGTTGGTGATGCTCAAGTTGAGATTCAGCACTCCTGTGAGAAAACACAGTGACAGTAGGGATAGAGGCTCGTAGGCATGGATTCAGCCCACCACTGAGATTGAGACTCGTGTACTTAGTCTCAACATACGGGAAGTGTGGACTCTCATACCTAGAACTGGGAAATAGGGGAAATTGTTAATTTCATCTTAGGACAAATTGCTGGGCCAAGAATTAAGGTGATGTAAGTCTCCTGCTTAAACCCTATCCACAGGGAGCATATCACCTCTGGGCCCATCTAGTTTTTGATGTAACTCTTCTCTCTGATATGGAATTTGCCCATTGGAGAAATTGTGACATATGTTTTTGCCTAGCTTACAGATAATGTCATTCTTTTTTTTTCAGTCCTACCTACAGGGTAGGTAGGACATAATAGTGACATATCTCTATTATGTTACCTAGCTGAAGTGACTCTCCTCTTCTCTCTGGACCCTTTCCACAGTGGGAATTGTGTATTAGCCCATTTTCACACTGCAGATAAAGACATACCTGAGACAGGGCAATTTATGACAGAAAGAGGTTTAATGGACTGACAATTCCACGTGGCTGGGGAAGTCTCATGATCATGATGGAAGGTGAAAGGCACATCTTCCATGGCATCAGACAAGAGAAAAGGATTTGTGCATGGAAACTCCCCTTTATAAAATCATCAGATGCCATTAGATTTATTCACTATCATGAGAATAGCGTGGGAAATACGTCTTCTCGTGATTCAATTATCTCCCACTGGGTCCTTCTGACAGCATGTGGGAATTATAGGAGCCACAATTCAAGATGAGATTTGGGTGGGGACACAGAAAAACCATATCAGATTGTGACATATCACTTGTAGAATCACCTAAGTATTATGACTCTCTTCTCCTGCCTGGGTCCTCCCTGGGCCATGCACACAGGTGTCCTTGTACATATCTTTGCATCCATCAACTATTTGATGTGACTTTCTTTTTTCTTCTTACACCCTTCCAACAGGG
The DNA here is from genome assembly GCF_000001405.40 of Homo sapiens. NCBI lineage: Eukaryota > Metazoa > Chordata > Mammalia > Primates > Hominidae > Homo > Homo sapiens. The sequence continues at coordinate 21,081,597 of NC_000024.10, forward strand.
AAGATTGTGGCATATCACTGAATCAAGCAACCAAGTGATGTGACTCTCCTGCCTGAACCTTGACAACAGAAGTTATTGTCACATGTCACTGGACCCACCATTCAGGTGATAAAACTCTTCTGCCTGGTATCTGTTTTCAGAGAAGCTGGTGACGTATTCCTGGACAAGCATCTAGGTGATGTAATGCTCTTGCTCATTTTCCACCCATAGATGGGATTGTGACAAATATCTTGACCCAGCTGACAGGTGTAATAATGACTCTCATAGCTCAAACGAGCCAATAATAGAGATACTTTATCTTATAGTTAAGCTTAAGGAACTGATAAGATTCTGGGTCTCTTCCCTTTTAAAAAATGCCACAAATGATTACCACTCTTTCAGATATGGTATAACACCCTTAGGTGGTACAGAGAGTTTTCTAACAGGGCGTAACAAATAGGTTAAATTATGACTTACAGGCACACTCAACAGACAGTGAAGATGACAGTAAAGATTATCATTTCCTCACATGAATAGAGCCAATGCTTGAGGTTCTGAATCTTACGCCTGAAGGCAGATGAAAGTTGCAAAAGTGATTCCCATATTTAGATAAAGTCCACAAGTGGGCTGGGGACTCTCAGACAAAAATTAAGTATACCTTTGAGTCTGTGACTTCATTAGGGAAACACAATGTGCATGATGGATTGAGGCTCTCATACACAAATCAAGTCCACTATTAAGATTGTGATTCATGTTCTTGGAACCAATATACATAAAGTATTGACTCTCATATCTAGAAACAGGGCACTTGGAAGATTACTAATCTCATCTCTAAACACTTGTAAAGGTCATTGTGACATATACTTCTGTTTAGCACTTAAGGGATTTGATTCTTCTGCCTGGGCCCATCCCACATATGGGATTATGAAATACTACTGTACCCAGCACCTAGGTTATATGAGTCTATTATTGGTGTTGCCTACAGAGGGTATTGTGACATATAACTTGACCTTGCACCCAGGTGATGTAACTATCCTCTTATGCCTTGTTTCTGCCAACAGAGAGCATTGTAATATATTGCTGGGCATCACATTCAGGTTATGTGACTTTCTTGCCTTGACCCTGTCCACAGAGGCTGTTGTGAAATATTGCTGGGTCTAACACCCAGGTGATGTACCATTTTTCTTTGTTACCAACTACAGGAGGCATTGTGAAACATATATGTGCTCATCACCCAGGTTATATGACTCTCTTCTTTTGACTGAACCATGGTCACAGTGAGAATTGTGACATATCACTGGGCCCAGCACCAAGCTAACATGATTCCTCCCTTCTAGATCCTGCTCACAGGGGAGAATTTTGACATTTTCTTGGGCCAGACATCTAGGGTAATTTACTGTTTTTTTGTGGTGCTGTGTGGCTATGTCTTCCAAAAACATTATGACATATTGCTGAGCCCAGCACTAAGGTGTTGTGAATATCCACCCTGGACCTTGCTGACAGAAGGCATTTTGATATCTCTCTGGACCCATCAGTATGTGATGTGAATCTACTGTCTGATCTGGGTTTTGATCATTGGATACTTTGTTTTATATTCTTTGTTCCAGAACCTAGGTGATGGGACTCTCCTCTTCTGTGTGGATCCTGCCCACAGAAGAAACAGTAACTTACCTCTTGGCCCAGGACACAGGTGACGTGATACTTCTGCCGGGGTCTTGCACACAGGGTACATTGTAAAATATCTATAGGCCCAACACCTAGTTCAAGTGACTTTCTTGTGCCTGAGCCCTGTTTACAGATGTAATTGTCATATTTTTCTCTGGCCAGCACCTTAGTAATGTGACTCTCCACTCATGCCTGGGCCCTGCCGAAAGGGCTGAATGAGACTGTATTAGCTGTTCTCACATTGCTATAAGGATGGTACCAGAGATTCACTAATATATAAAAGAAAGAGGTTTAATTGACTCACAGTTCTGCATGTCTGGGGAGGCCTCAGAAAACTTATAATCATGGCAGAAAAGGGAAAGATATATATTAAATGGCAGCAGATGGCACACACTGAGTGTGTTTCTGTACAGAAAAAAAACTGCCACTTATAAAACCATCAGATCTCATGAGAATTTACTCACTATCATGAGAACAGCATGGGGAAAACTGTCCCCATAATCCAATCACTTCCCACCAGATCTCTCCCTAAACACCTAGGCATTAAAATTCAAAATGAGATTTGGGTAGAGACAAAAAGCCTAACCATATCAGAGACATATAGCTAGGCCCAGCACCTAAGTTATGTGACTCTTCCCTTCTTCTTGAGCCCAATCCACTAGGTGCATTATGATATATCTCTGGGCTCCTCACCTAAGTGACTCTCAGGTTTTATTGTGATATATTGCTGGACTCAGGACTTAGGTAATGTGACTCTCTTCTAATGTTTATGCTTTGCACACAAAAGAAATGTGATGTATCATAGAGCCCAGTACCTAGGTTATGTTGCTCTCCTCAACTGCCTAAGTCTTTTATACATTGTGTATGGTGAACTACGGCTGAGCCCAGCACCTAGGTAATGTGACTCTTCTGCATGGGTTCTTCCCACTGAAGTATTAGACATTTTTCTTCACTAAATAGGTTACATGACTCTGTTTTTCTGCTTGGAGGATACAAAGAAGATATTTTGACATATTACTGGACCCAGAACCTAGGTAGTATGACTCTTCTTTTGTTTAGGCATATATACTTCTGATATTGTGACATATTGCTGAACTCAACATCTAGAAGATGAAATGCTTCTGCCTAGCCTCCGTTCATATAAGGTCTTATGACATATCTCTGGGCCCATTACTAGGTGGTATCACTCTCTCTTCAGCCTGCATTCTGCACACAAAAGAATTTGGGAAATATTGCTGGCCCTAGCAGCCAGATGATTTGACTCTTCTTCCTGGCTGTGTACACAGGAATAATTATGACACATTTTTTTTGGTCCAACACTGTAGTGGTAACTCTTTTCCTTGGTTCTGCTTACAGGTGGCATTGTGACACTCCTGTGCACCCAGCACTCAGGTGATGGTAATGTAACTTTCTTCTCCTGACTAACTTCTGTTCCAAAAAATGTGTGACATATCACTGGGCCCAACACCTAGCAAGTGTGACTCTTCACATCTTTCTAGGTTCCACCTGCAGGAAAAAATTGTAACACCAAAGCAATGTTACTCTTTTGCGTTGCCCCTGCACTCAGAAGATATTGTGATATATTATGGAGCACAGAATCCAGGTGATGTAGCTCTTGCTGGGCCTTATCCAAAGGGGGCATTGGGACATATGGTTGGACCCACCACCCAGGTATTGTAATTTTACTGTCTTGGTGATGTGGCTTTTCTCTTTTGCCTGGGCCTCTTTCTCAGGGATAAATGTGACATATTGCTTGGCCCAGGAACCAGGATATGTGACCCTTCTCTTTTGGCCCTGCCTGCAGGGAACATTGTGACATATCTCTGAATCCATCACATAGCCGACATGAATATCCTCTTCTGCTTGAGCTCTTCCCCAACTGGGGATATTAATATATCACTGCATCAAGTACCTTTATGATATCCCTCTCCTTTTCTGCTTTGGCTTTGCTTACGGGGAACATTGTGAAGTACTGATAGGTCCAAAGGCCAGATGATGTATCTGTTCTCTTCTGCCAGGACCTTACACACTGAGGGCATCATGACATGACCCTGAACCCATCACCTAGGTGGAGTAAATCTCCTGCCTTGGCCCTCCCCTCAAGAGATATTTTACATGTTGCCAAACCAAGCACCTAGGTGATGTGACTTTTCCCTTCTGTGTGCGTCCTGTCAACAGTGTGTATTCTACCATAAGTTGACCCTGCACCTAGGTGATGTGACTCTTCTCTTTTGGCTAGACCCTGACAACAGTGAGCATTGTGACATATTGCTGGATGCTACATGATACCTACATGATGAGACTCTTATGCCTGGGCCCTGTCCTCAGGAGATACTATGACCTATTAATTGACCCAGTACCTAGGTGATTTGACTGTCCTGCCTTTGCTCTGCTTTGAGGGAAGATTGTGACTTATTTCTAAGCCTAATCTCTAGATAATGTGACTCTCCTTTTCTGTCTGGGATCTTTTCCACAGGGGGCATATTGACATATTGCTGGACCTAGCATCAAAGTAATCTCACTTGTCCACTTGAGTCCTGCCCACAGGGCTGATATTTTCCATATTCCTTGTTAAGCACCCAGATGATATGACTCTTTTACCTGCTTATAGGTGGGATTGTGACATATACCATGGCTCACTCCATAGGTGCTATGATGACTGTTGTACCTGGCCTCAGCCAGTGGGAGAGAAGTTGACTCTTGTCACTAGTCTCAGAGAAGCAGGTTAGATTTAAGGGTAGGGATAGGGTTAGGGTTATACTTAGAATTAGAATTAGGGTTAGTGTTAGGCAGGGCTCAAAGAAGAGAGTCTTATCACAGAGGATTATGACATTTCTGCATGTCATATAAAGCCTTCACGTGGCACAGAGAGTGTCATAAAATGACGGGTGATATGAATCTTCCATCTGTGCTCTCTTCCCAGGGAGTATTTTGACATATTGCTTGAACCAACAGTATGAGAGTCAACATACCCTGATTCTGGTAGGAGAGTCCTAACCTTCTTGTGAGCTGGATGTAGAAATAAGTAACGACTGTCATCCTTTCACAAAAATACAGCCTACCATTAAGGTTTTTATTCTCACATGTGGAGGCTGTCAAAAGTGAAAAATTGGCTGGGCGTCATGGCTTATGCCTGTAATCCCAGCACTCTGAGAGGCCTAGGCAGGTGGATCACTTGAGATCAGGTGTTCAAAATGAACCTGACCAACATGGTGAAACCCCATCTTTACTGTAAAAATACAAAAATTCACCAGTCATGGTGGTGAGTGCCTATGATCACAGCTACTCAGGAAGCTGAGGCAGAAAAATCACTTGAACTGAGATAGTGGAGAATCACTTGAACTGAGATAGTGGATGTTGCAGTGAGCTGAGATCCCAACGCTGCTCTCCAGTCTGGCAACAGAGCAAGACTCCATCTAAAAAAAATAAAAAATAAAAAAAAAAATAAAGTTGAAAATTGTGTCTCGTATGTGGGTCTGGTCCACATCAGCATTGCTGATGCTCAGACCAAGATTCAGCCCACCTGTGAGGCTACTACTTTACCAAGGGACAGTCAACAGAAAGGATTGAGTGAGGCTTTCATGCACAGATCCTGTCTACCACTGACGTTGTGACTAATGTACTTACACCCAACTTAAAGGAGAAAATTACTGTCATATCCAGAACCTGGACATAGGCAGGTTTGTTAATCTAATCCCTAGACCTTCCTGGAAGTGTGATTGTGATATACAACTTCCCCCATAACTTGAGTGCTTTGATTATCTTGCCTTGGCCTAGCCAATAGATGGGACTGTAACATGTCAATGGACCTCACATGAAGGCATGTGAATCTCTTCTTCTGCATTGATTTTCCTTACAAAGAGTAGTTTGATGCCAGGTCCGACCTGCAGACCCTGGCCGAATGACAGATGAACAAATGCACTCTGATGCTGATGTCCAGTGAAAGAGTGGGCTAGGGGACCGGGCCACTTACAGAACATGAAAGGATCCTGTAAAGAGTCTGCAACCCAAACTAGCTGGTGCTGTGGGCATTTATTTAGTACAGATTTAATGACAAAGGCGTGAGTCAACACTCTTTGTGGGTAAATAATATTGCTGGCCCCCCAAGTAGAGAGCAGTCCTGCACACAAATGATCAAAGTTAGGCCTTAGGACAATGAGTAAATAAGCTATTTAGATAAACTTCTGTATATTCCCTTGTTATTTGCTTTTTATTATTAGCTCAAGGTAAGCAGGTCAGGCTGCCTTCAGCCATAACCCTTTCCCAAAGCTTTTGTAAAAGCTTCCAGCCTTCCAATAAGGTTTGTATCTTTCTACAATTTTTCCCACCACACTGATAGATCTCCTATATCTCCCTCTTTTCTGTTTTTAGCATCAGGTTTTGTTGATTGGAGAGTACAGGTGTGTGCAGCCACAGGCCTGTCAGGCATAGCAGTCATTGTTCGTATTCTGGCTTTATAGCCTAGAATTAGTAATTGACATCAGACAAATATGAGTATGAATAACAACATTCCTTTCCATTCAAGGAGTGACCCCCAGGACTGGGGAGTCTAACCAGGAGAGACAATCTCATACACTCTTCCATATGGCCATTTGCTGGGTGCGTAGATCTATGGCATTAGGGCATTCTAGGATTTTAGTTTGAAATTGCTTTATGTCTGCTGTTAAATTGTCATAAAAGTTTCCCCAGTGGTGTTATTTCACCTTATCTCAACCATGTATTGATTGATTCCATGGTATAAAAGTGGCACAGATATGTCACTTCTATGCAACTGCCAGTTGCACTTTAATTGTTGTTGGAATGCCAGTGCATCTTGTCGCTTCCCTACATATTCCAAGGCAGCCTCAAGGGTTTTCAGACTTGCAAGAATCTTTTGATTTACACCTTGCCATAAGAGAATTTTATTAGACACATTTCTGGCCAAATTATCTACAAAAGTAGCTGTTCAACCTGATTCAGTAATAGATGCTACAGCAATGCTAGCAGTTGCTAGAATTACTATGGTGGGGATTATAAAGGCTATAAGTGTAACTATGAACCTTTTGTATCTGATCTGGGATACAGTATGTTCTAAGGTGGCAAGGGCAGAGGAACCTTGCCAATTGCATGTCAAAATGATGGGTAGGAAAGCCTCAGATTGTCTCCTCAATACCATGACACTAGTAATATTTAAATTAGATATATCATAATTAGAGATACAAGAGGCAAACCAAGCCTGTCCCTGTACTAGGGTCAAAAATGTGAAGTTTTGGGGTGTAATAGAAATATTGGCTCCATAAGAAAAACATATGAATGGGTAGTGTGCAAATCAGGCACTGATCAGGGTAATTATGAAAAAAGGTCATAGTATAATTGTGACTGGAATTATGATATGTCCCATGCCAGGTGTTAAAAGGGGTGCTAAGATGTCCAGGCACCATAAAGTGTCTTGGGGTGACATGGACTTTACTTGAGGATGGAGACATGCCCATTCCCCTTTTGGACCAAATTATAGGGGAATGGGATGTGACTACAAAATTGTCATTATACCACGATAGACATGGACATCAGTATGATCACCCTGCAAATGTCTGTGGGGGCTCAAGTTTGAGATATTATAATTGCCTATCTGGAGGCTATGAGCATTTTCCCAATGACAGACCTTCCAGCTAAAGTAGAACCCAGTGTTTTCTTAGCTTTGTTCTTTAGCACAGCGAGGAATGTTGGGGAAAGTGGCAATGATTGAATTGCCTGCTTTATGGCTACATGCACCTAAGACTGTTAAGGCCTTTCCTTTGCCATGATGTAGCCATACTTGTGTTTGGGCAGGTACACAGTAAGGTGTATAACTTTTACAATTTATACATAGTGGGAGGATTGTGGAGTGATATGTAGTGTTACCTGGCACCTTAGTCCAATATGTGCCATCAATGAGGGACCCCACTGGGGGTAAATCTTTCCCTCACAGCCAAGCAGTTATGTTCTTAGAGGTTGGGAAGGGAGTGTCTGTCCAGGAGACAGGGCAAAGAAAGGTGGATCTAAAATATGAGCCCAGTACAATGTAGCAGGTACAGGTTGCAGACAAAGCGAGAGCATAAAAAGGATCAATACCCTACATGAGTTTCAGTGTACAACAGAGAGCATAGCAAAGAACAGATTACCTGGAGTGAATGGTGTCTGTGTCCAGAGCAGGATTTGCTCAGCCCCCTGAGTTGTCCCCTTCAGCATCCCTCAGGTAATGTCTGGGGCTTGTATCATCTGCAGAAGCCGCATCGTCTGGGGCTTCAGGTCCTATAGGGTCATTTTCTTCCTTTCTGGTACTGGGTTGGGTCCCAGCCATGCCATGGTATGGTTTGATGTATGACGCTGGAATCCAAAGAGGACCTGAGGGGGTGTGAACACAAGCATGCCCTCTTCCCCATGTTAACAATTCATTTGGACCACATCATCCATTATTGTTTCCATCTTTTCATAAAACTGCAGGTTTGTGTCTTGAGAGATTTTAGCAAAGTGCGCTTCTAGAGCTGACTGAAATTTGTCATCTAAGTTTAAAACATTGACGGATAAATAGGGCTTGTTCTTGTAGTGTTGCAGGGTCCTTAGCCATACTACCCTTTTTCGTTTTCTGATCAGACTTTTAAGGGTGGAGTGGGTACATTCTACCATGGCCTGTCCTTGGGGTTTATACAAGATGCCTGCGGAATGTTGGATATTACATTTGTGACAAAATTGTTGGAATTGTGAGCTGGCATGCACTGGACCATTATCAGCTTAAATTTTTGTGGGCCACCCCAAAAACGCAATAGTTAGAAGAAGATGTTTAATGACATCAAATGGACTCTTCAGGAAGAGTATGTGTACTAATTAGGTAAGTGTTGGTATCAACAGATACATGCACATATCTTAGCTCTTCAAATTCAGAAATGTGTGTAACATATGTTTTCCCTAACTGATTAGTTTCTAGTCCTCTAGGGTTAACACCTGTAGAAGAAGGGGATGTACCTATGGGATGGCAATCTGGGCATTGCAGGATAATTTGTTTAGCTAGTCTTTTGGTAAGTTGAAATTGTTTATATAAATTTCTCCAGTTTTGATGCGATGGAGTGGCTTGGTAAGGCAGCAATGTCATAACCTGTAGGTCTGCTTGATTATTGACATAAGCCAATGGGCCAGAGAGTGAGCTATGGACTTGAATATGTGTGATAAAAATAGGATGTATACATTGACCTAGCAAATGCTGAAGTCTGAGAAAAAGTGCACACAGGGTGGGCTCCAGAGTGGATTTAGTGATAGCTCTCTCAAGGTTCCACAATTAATAAACAGAGTATGCAGAGTCACTGACAACATTGATGGGCTGAGCAGAAAAAGTCTCCAAGGGCAATATTAAATCTCCAACCTCAGCTCTCTGAGTGCTAGTAAATCCAGAATGAGTGAGGGAGCTATGTGGTCTCCACCAGACAACCGCTTTTCCATGTCTGCCAGAGCCATCAGTAAACAGTATTAAAGCATTAGGTATAGGTGATTGAACTGTTTTTGTAGGCAAAACCACAGAAGTATGAGATAAGAATGGAAGGAGTCTGCTGGCAGAAAGGACATGCTCTATATGGCCTGTATAATCAGAGAGTGCTATTTGCACATCCATAGATAAGGGCAATACTGCTTCAAATTGCTTTTTACTTAAAGGAATTCTGATAGTATCAGGGCCATAAGATAATAACAGACTGCATTGCCTGTGGCCTGAATAGATGACTTTACTGGCCAATGGCATATAGGAAGAGAGTGTTTTAGTCCCAGTATGTGAGCAAAAAAACCATTCCAGAAAGTGTAGCCCTAGGGCCATCTGTCCTATTAACCCTGTTGGGGAGTGTTTATTGGGAAAAATAAACAACAGAACTGAATATCTTGGATCTATGTTACCTAGCTGCCTTTGAGAAATAGCTTATTCTATTTCTTCAATTTCCTTTTTTGCTGCAGGAGTTACATATCTGGGAGAGTCTATGGCTGTATTGCCCTTTAGGATAGAAAACGGGTTTTGTAACTTATCAGTAGTTATGCCCAAGGTGGGGTGAAGCCAATTAATATTACCCAGTAATTTCTTATAACCATTCAAGGTGTGTAATTGCTAGTATTTAATTTAACATTTTGAGATCGTACTGACTGGGAAGTTAGTATGTATTGAAGATATTTCCAAGGAGAGGACATTTGTACTTTTTCAGGTGTTAGGATTAAACCTCTTAACTGTGTATCATTTACAACAGAGGTATATAAACTTAAAAGTATTGGCTCCATTGGGGCTGCTAGGAAAATATCATCCATAAAATGAATAATCTTGCAATCAGGAAATTGTTTTTGACTGGGGAGGAAAGCCTTATTTACATGATGCTTACTCATGGCAGGACTGTTTAGCATCCCTTGAAGAAGCACTTTCCAATAAAATCAGTGAGCTGGCCTTTCATTATTGATAGCTGGCATTGTAGATACAAAGTTTTCCTTGTCCTGTTCTGCTAGAGGAATAGTATAAAAGCAATCTTTTAAGTCAATAACAATTACAGGTCAATCTCGAGGAATCACCATGGGGGAGGTGAGCCCCTGCTGAAGGGGCCCCATAGGTTGCAAATTTGCATTGATGGCATGTAAGTCATGCAAAACTCTCCATTTGCCAGACTTTTTGAGAATGACAAAAATGGGCAAATTCCAAGGGCTTGATGGTTCTATATGGCTGGCTTTTCATTGCTCCTCAACTAACTCATTGGCTCTTTGTAATTTCTCTCCCTTCAAAGGCCACTCTTTTACCCAAATTGGATCTTGAGAGTCACATCAAGGGTAGGGGAGAAATAAGAGTGGCCATTACTACAAAAGGGTTTCCTGTTCACATAAGTTGTCAAATTCTGCCCTCCAGAGGAGGTATTGATTAGAGTTTAAAGTTGATTTAGCTAGCACTGACCAATCCTATAGAGTCATACAGAAGTTGTCAGCCATGGCCTTAATTAATCTTTTGACAAATGGACTAGTAACTCCACTCTCTAATGCTTTTTCTTAATTCTTTCTGTGCCTGGTTGCCTTGTTAATCTTGCAATGCTAGGCAGGCTAAGAGCTCCCCTTCTAATGCCGCTTGCCTAAGACACGTTCCCATAGCTGTACATATCCCTTGTCTTTCTTTCCAATTTATTGGAGGAGAAGGCTAAGGCAAAAACGTCTGTTTCTTCCTTGTTATTTTGGCCCAGTGTTAGTGGGGCTGAGGAATAAGGAGGTGGTAAGATAGGTGATAATTCTTCCTCCCTTCCTTCTTTAGGCTTTTCTGTGTATATTGAGAATCTGCTTGTAGAGGGAGGGTGTAGCCAAGATGGCCAACTAGAAGCAGTGGTGTTTGGAGGCACCCATCAAAATAAATAAATAAATAAATAAATAATAAAAGCATATGAATTATTCATCAGCAACAAAGGTATCCAAGTTCTCTCATCAAAACTGAAAAGGTACCTAATGTGACCCCACCAAGAGAAGGAAGAACAGTTTGGTGAGATGACCCAACTAAGAGCCACAAAGCGCAAAGGAGTCCCCTCCCCCAGCCAAGGGAAGCAGTGAGTGAGCATTTTACCCAGGTGGGAAAGGTTGAAAAGTCCCACTCACTAACTCACACCATCAGGACCTGGCATCTCAATCCTGGAAAGTGCAATTTCTTACAGCCTCTCAGCTAAAATCTGCTTATGCCTACTGAATTACCAGGAGGAGGAACAACCAGTACTGCAGCTGTGGCTGTCTGCTCTCTAAGCCATATGAACTCTCTGGGGGAGTGACAGCAGCCAGCACTGGGATACAGAAATGCCTAACACTCTAAGCTACTGCGACAGGGGGAGGTTGACACCCATCTTTGCAGCTCCAGGTTATGCTTTTGTCCTGCTGGAGCCAGGGAAGCTAGAGAGCTAGGTACACAATGTTTTCCCCCACAGTCCAACACACTGGTTGTGGCAGTCTGTGGCCAGAGTGTACCTTCAAGGCCTGTCATGACCCATCTTTCCTCATTGGGTGTGGCTTCCCTGAAGGAACTCTGATAACTCCAGCCAGGGAATCAGAGACAGAACTTGGATTTCCCTGGGCCTGAGCCCCTATGGAGAGAAGTGGCCACAGTTTCTGTGGACCAGCCAACTTAGCCTCACCTCTTGGTAGTTATGAGGAATCTGGCCTGCCCAGATTAGTGAGTTTCCCCCCAGCAAAGCACACTCCCTCCATCAAGGGACAAAGTGCTTCATTAAATGGGTCCTAATCTCCATGCCACCCAACTGAGTGAGACACTCCAACAAGGATTGTCAGACACACTGTACAGGAGAAATCCTACTGGCATTGTTGGTGCCCCTTGAGGTCAGAGGTCCCCGAAGAAGGACCAGACACCTGTCTTTGCTGTTCTCTAGTCTCCTCAAGTGACATCTCAAGGCACAGGAAAAATCAGATGAATGAGGCCTCAAGTGAACTCCCAGGAAAACACAGCAGCCCTATACAGAAGGGACCAGACCTTTTCGGGGGGGTGGGGTAGAAGAAGAAACAGAAAAAAACAACAACAGCAACAACAAAAAAAAAACCCCACAAAAATCCCATCTGAGGGTTAGTAGCTTCAAAGGCTAAATAATTAGACAAACTCACAAAGTGAAAAAATGTTAAAAACCCATAAGAACAGAGGGCCTCTTTTCTTTCAAATGATCACAGTGTCTCCCCATGATGAGCACTGCACTGGATGGGAGATCTGATGCAGGAATTGACAGAAGCAGTCTTCAGAAGATGGGTAATAAATACCTATGTTGAACTAAAAAAGCATGTTCAACCCAATGCAAAGTTCAGAACCTTCATTAAAAATTAGAGGAATTTCTAACTAGAATAACCAGTTTAGAGAGAAACATAAATGACATGATGGAGTTGAAAAACAAGGCATGAGAACTTTGTGAGGCATACACAAGTATCAATACCTGAATCAACCAGGCAGAAGAAATAATATCAGAGTTTGAAGACTGCCATGCTGAAATAACGCATGAAGAAAATATTCAAGATAAAAAAATTAAAAGAATAAACAAAGCCTGCAAGAAATATGGGACTTCAAAAAAAGACTGAACCATCTATTGATTGGCATATGAGAAGGAGATGAAGAGAATGGAAAGAAGCTGGAAAACACACTTCAGGATACTAGCCAGGAGCACATTCCCAACCTAACAAGACTGGCCAACATGCAAATTTGGGAAATACAGACAGCACCATTAAAATACTCTACAAAAAGATCAACCCCAAAACAGATAATCATCAGATTCTCCAAGGTGTAAATAAAGGAAAATTTGTTCAGTGCAATCAGAGAAAAAGGTAGGTCACCTACAAAGAGATTCCAATCAGACTAACAGCAGACCACTCAGCACAAACTCTACAAGTCAGAAGAGATTGGGGGCCAATATTCAAAATTCTAAAGAAAAAAATTTTCAGCTCAGAATTTTATATCCAGCCAAATAAGCTTCAGAAGTGAAGTAAAAAAAAAAATCTTTTACACAAATCCTGAGCATTTGTCATATCTAGGTCTCTGACAAATAAAGGACCCTTAAATTCATCTCAATGTGTGGCATTTCTCTAACTTATTCGGGTAAAACACTTGTTATGTAGTATAATTAGAAGCATGTATATTCAAGGGGACTAGATATGCAATTTGTTCTATTATTCTAGTCATTCATTTCTCAATTCTAAAGTTTCATATGCCATAGTGAAGATGCTCATCTTCTTCTAGGAACAACCATTGCCAGAAGTCAGGTAGCTAATTGGCAATTTCCCAGCTCAATTATTATATCCCAAAACTCCCATCACCATTTAATGGGGTACTACTGTCACTCCATATTGGCAAATTCTCTTGTTTTCTGTCCATGAGCACAGCTTCCAACAGCTTTGTGCTGGATCTTTTGATAATGGTTGGGTTATGTTCAGGGAAGGGAAGATTTTAACTAAAAAAAGAGTTTGCAGAAAGAAATTTCAAAGAAGCAAAGAGGGAAATTCTCTTACACTAGTTGCCCTCCCAGGGATGAATCAATGCAAATGAACATCTTTCCCTCAAAGCTGAGAACAAGCTTCTAGAAAGAACAATTGATAATCAGCAGTTTAGTTGCCACAATGGAAAGATGTTTACCTAAATATAAGTTTGCAGAAAGGCATGGAAGGAGAGCAAGAGGGAAAATTCTTTTATTACACATGCTGTTCCATAAACCCATAAGATGAATAAGTATCACCCTTTGAAAGCTGAAAAGATTTGTGTGGGAACTCTTGATTATGAGTGGTTTTCTTTCAGAAAAGGAAAGATGATTTCATAAAGATAAATTTGTAGACAAGACTTACAAACAGCCAAAGGGCAATTCTCTAATTCCAGTGGTTCTAGGAAGCCTGCCATACAAATGTTTAGTTCTCAAAACTGACAACCTTGGTGCCAAAACTATTGATGACTGGTGTGTTTTATTTGTTTTGTTTTCTTTTTAAAAAGAAAGACTTTAACAAAATAAAATTTGGCAGGTGTTTAGACGGAGCAAGAGAAAATTTGTCTTAGCCCAGTGGTGCTCATAAAAACTCAGCAATAAAAACAAATAATCAGTTTTCAAAGCTGAAAAGATTATGCTGGACTCTTCATCATGACAATTTTTTTTATGAGAGAAAAGATTCTTATTACAATATAAATTTGCAAGCATTTAGAAGGAACAAAGAGATAAATCCTCTCAAATCAGGGCCCTTTTAGGGATTGTCAATAGGCAAAAATATCCAGGTCTGAAACCTGACAACAAGCTTTCTGGCAAAAGTCTTGATAATTAGTTTTCCTTTTTTTTTAAATCATAAAAAGATGTTTACATGATGAAAAGTTTGCAGATAGATATTTAGAAGGAGCAACGAGGGGAATTCTTTCACACATGCGGTTCTTTTCTGGAACAGTCTAAAAAAAAAGAAGGCACACATCTGGCCTTGAAATCTGATAACTACAGTTGTTTCACAACTCTTGAAGATGAGATATTTTTCACGAAAAATATTTCAACACAAAAAAATATTTATAGACAGATGTTTCAAATAGAGAAGAAGAAACATTTTCACACTAGTGGGCCTTCTAGGGGCCCCACAAAACCACTGAATATTCATCCCTGAGAAAACAAGCTTTGTGTTAGAAGTCTTGATGAAAGTCTCTTTAGTTTTAGGAAATGGAAGATATTTACATAAGAAGAAATTTATAAGCAGGCATTTAGAAGAAACAAGGAGGATAACTAAAACTTCACAAAAAAAAAGAAAAAAAGTGTGTAACCCGACATTTTAAAGTAACAAAAAGGGGAATTCTCTCACATCAGTGGCCCCACTGAAGAACCATCAAAATGAATGAATATTCCACCCTGAAAGCTGACAACTATTTTTGTTCTATTTTTTTGATGATGGGTAATTATCTTTTAGGAAAGAAAAGATTTTAACGAAAACACAAGTTGGCACACAGGTATTTAAAAGCAGCAAAAAGAAAAAGGTTCTCTTCTGCCACTGGTTTCTCTTAGAAAACCATCTACATGAATGAATATCTACGTTTCAAAGCTGAGAACCAAATTGTGTGCCAGATCTCTTGGTAAACTGTGGTTTTCTTTTGAGAAGGAAATATATATATGGAGGAGTTATATATATGCATTTATATTGAGCAGGAAGACCTTTCGCACCAGTGGCCCTTCCAGAGACCTTTAAGAACAAATAAATATCCAACACGAAAAGCTTACTACAAACATTGGGGCAAAATTCATGATGATAGTCAGTTCTATCTTAAATATAAAAATACATATTTAGGAGAGAAAACTTCAAACAGACATTTAAAAGAAGCTAGGAGGGCAATTCTTTTACTTCAGTGGCCCTTGTGTGTCTGGAGTTGGTTTCTTCCAGTGGGTTTGTGGTCTTGCTGACTTCAAGAATTAAGTGGTGGACCTTTGCAGTGAGTGTTACAGCTGTTAAAAGTGGCACAGACCCAATGAGTGAGCAGCAGCAAGATTTATTGTGAAGAGTGAAAGAACAAGACGTCTACACCATGGATGGGGACCCAAGCATGTTGATGCTGCTGGCTGGAGTGGCCAGCTTTTATTCCCTCATTTGTCCCTGCCCGTGTCCTGCTCATTAGTCCATTTTACAAAGTGCTGATTGGTCCATTTTACAAACCTCTAGCTAGCTACAGAGTGTTGATTGGTGCATTTTTGCAGAGCACTGATTGGTGCATTTTACAAACATCTAGCTAGTAGCTGAGCACTGATGGATGCGTTTCACAGTACTAGCTATGGAGTGCTGATTGGTGCATTTTACAATTCTCTTGTAAGACAGAAAAGTTCTCCAGGTCCCCACTTGACCCAGGAAGTCCAGCTGGCTTCACCTCTCACTAGCAAAGAACCAACTAAACAACACTGACAGCTGACCATAAGATTTGTGACAGAATCCTTGATGATGAGAGGTTTACAGAGAAAAAAAAGCTTTTACATTTAAAAGGAGTTTGCATATAGGTATTTAGAAAAAGCAAAAAATAATTTTCCTACATCAGTGAGAAAACAGAGTACCATGGAAATGAATACATGAATACATATTTATAAAGTTGACAAAAACATTGTGCCAAAACACTTATTAAAAAACAGTTTTCTTATAGGGAAGAAAAGATTTCAATGTATAAAAAATTTAGTACACAAACATTTAGAAGAATAAGAAGGAAAATTATTTTATGCCTATGGACCTCCTAGAAATTTATTAATGCAAATGAATATCTGGTTCTCAAATCTGAAAACTAGTTTGTGTTGGAACTCTTTTTAATGAGTGGTTTTCTTTCAGGAAAAGAAAGAATTTAACATGTGAAAAGGAAATAGGTCTTGGAGACCCAAAATCATTAGGCTAAATGGAAAAGTCAAGCTGGAAACTGCTTAGGGCCAACCTGCCTCCAATTCTATTCAAAGTCACCTCTCTACTCAATGAGATAAATGTGTATCTAGTTGCCTCCTTTAGAGAGTCTAGTCAGAAACTGAAAAGAATACAACCATTTGTCTCTTACCTACTTATGATCTGGAAGCACCCTCCTCTCTTTGAGTCTTTCCACCTTTCTTTCAAATTGTTCTGCCTTTCCAGACCAAACCAGTGTTTAGCTTACATACATTGATTAATGTTTCATATCTTCCTAAAATATGTAAAACAAAACTGTGCTTTCACTACCCTAGGTGCCTGTCGTGAGAATCTCCTGAGACTGTGTCAAAAGTATGTGTCCTCAACCTTGACAAAACAAACTGTCTAAATTAACTAACCTATCTCAGATTTTCAGGGTTTAAAAATACAAAAAAAAAAATTGCAGACAGACATTTAGAAGAGTAATAAATGGAATTATTTTATGCCAATGACATCCAGGGACCAACTGGAATCAATGAATGTTAGCATTGAGTTGCCAACAAGCTTTTTGATGGAACTTTTTTTTTATATTTTAAATTTTAGTGTACATGTGCACAATGTATAGGTTAGTTTTATATATATATATATATGCATGCCATGTTAGTGTGCTGCACCCAGCAACTCATCATTTAACATTAGGTATATCTCCTAATGCTATCCCTCCCTCTCCCACACCCCACAACAGGCCCCAGTGTGTGATGTTCCTCTTCCTGTGTCCATGTGTTCTCATTGTCCAATTCCCACCTATGAGTGAGAACATGTAGTGTTTGGTTTTCTGTCCTTGCAATAGTTTGCTGAGAATGAAGGTTTCCAGCTTCATCCATGTCCCAACAAAGGACATGAACTCATCATTTTTTATGGCTGCCTAGTATTCCATGGTATATATGTGCCACACTTTCTTAATCCAGTCTATCATTGTTGGACATTTGGGTTGGTTCCAAGTCTTTGCTATTGTGAATAGTGCCGCAATAAACATACGTGTGCATGTGTCTTTATAGCAGCATGTTTTATAGTCCTCTGGGTATATACCAAGTAATGGGATGGCTGGGTCAAATGGTATTTCTAGTTCTAGATCCCTGAGGAATCGCCACACTGACTTCCACAATGGTTGAACTAGTTTACAGTCCCACCAACAATATAGAAGTGTTCCTATTTCTCCACATCCTGTCCAGCACCTGTTGTTTCCTGACTTTTTAATGATTGCCATTCTAACTGGTGTGAGATGGTATCTCATTGTGGTTTTGAATTGCATTTCTCTGATGGCCAGTGATGATGAGCATTTTTCATGGGTCTTTTGGCTACAGAAATGTCTTCTTTTGAGAAGTATCTGTTCATATCCTTCACCCACTTTTTGATGGGGTTGTTTGTTTTTTTCTTCTAAATTTGTTTGAATTCATTGTAGATTCTGGATATTAGCCCTTTGTCAGATGCCTAGATTGCAAAAATTTTCTCCCATTCTGTAGGTTGCCTGTTCACTCTGATGGTAGTTTCTTTTGCTGTGAAGAAGCTCTTTAGTTTAATTAGATCCCATTTGTCAATTTTGGCTTTTGTTGCCATTGCTTTTGGTGTTTTAGACACGAAGTCCTTGCCCATGCCTATGTCCTGAATGGTATTGCCTAGGTTTCTTCTAGGGTTTTTTATTCAACACTGAAAGCTGACAAGAAGATTTTAGCCAGAATTCTTCATGATGAGATCTTTTCTTTTCAGGAACAGAAGCTATTAAGACAAAGAGAAGTTAGTCAAGTAAGCTCTTAGATGGAGCATGGAGGGGTGTCTTCTTATATGAGTGGCTCTTTGAGAAAACCATGAATAAGAAAAAATATACAGTGCTCAAAGCTGAATACAAGATTTGTGTTAGAACTCTTAATAATTGGCCTTTTTCTGAGTAAAGAAGAGTTAAACACAATAAAAACTATTCAGACAGGCATTTAGCAAAACTAAGGAATGAAATTCTTTCACATCTGAGGCCTTTCTAGAGACCAATATTTGGTATATTTTGTATATTGGTCTCTAGAAAGATTACAATGTACATTCTTCCCTGAAACTTTACAGGAGGCTTTATTCTAGAACTCTTGAAAATGGCAATTTTTCTTTTTAAACAAAGGAAGACAATTATAAGAAGAGAAGTTTTAAGACAAGCATTTAGAATGAGCAAAAAGAAGAATCCTTTTATATGGAAGTCCCTTATAGTAAACTGTCAAAATGGGTGAATATCCAACTCTGAAAGCTGAAAATCATCTTTTGCAAGGCTCCCAGTGACAGGTGGTTTTCTTTAAAAATAATAATAAAAATAACAAACTAAAACAGAAGATTTTTGACCAGGCTCAGTTGCTTATGCCTGTAATTCCAGCACTTTGGGAGGCAGAGGCTGGCAGATCACCTAAAGTCAGGAGTTGAAGACCAGCGTGGCCAAAATGGTAAACTCCATGTATGCTAAAGATACAAAATTTAGCTGGGCATGGTGGTGCACACCTGTAATTCCAGCCACTCAGGAGGCTGAGGCAGGAGAATGGCCTGAACCTGGGAGGCAGAGTTTGCAGTGAGCTGAGATTGTGCCACTGCAGTCCAGCCTGGGCAACAGAGCAAAACGCTGTCTGAAACAAAACAAAACAAACAAAACAAAAATGGAAAATGGAAGATTTTTAGCACAATCCAGATTTCAGAAGTAAAAATGGGAGGCCAGGTGCAGTGGCTGCCACCTGCAATCCCAACACTTTGGGAGGCCCGGCGGGGCAGATCACAAGGTAAGGAGTTCGAGACCACCCTGACCAATGTGGTGAAACCCAATCTCTACTAAAGATACAAAAATTAGGTGGGCGTGGTGGTGTGTGCCTGTAATCCTGGCTACTTAGGAGGGTGAGGGAGGAAAATCACTTGAGCCCGGGAGGCAGAGATTGCAGTGAGCCAAGATAGCACCATTGAACTCCAGCCTGGGAAATAGAACAAGACTCTATCTGAAGCAAAAGGAAAAAAGAAAAAGAAGTCCAAAGGGGAATTCTCTAATGCCAGGGGCTGATCTAGGGCTCCATCAATATGAGCAAATATACAAGTTTTGAAGCTAACAACAAGCTTTGTCTCAGACCGTTAGAGGATTGAAAGTTTACTTTAAAAAATTAGAAAGATGTTTACACACTGAGACATTTGTAGCCTGGTATGTAAAAGAAACAAAAGGGAAAATTCTCTCACAAAAGTGACCTTCTTGAGACCTTTTAAAGTGAATGAATATCTGGCCCTAAAAGCTGACAGCAAGAATTGTGCCTGAATTCTTGATAATGTGCTTTTTTTTTTTTTACAAGACAAGAAAGATGTTTCCATGAAGAGAATATTAAAAACATAAATTTAGAAAAATCACTAAGAGAAATTTTCTCATTCCAATGGTCCTTCTAAAAAATAGCCTGAATATCTGGTTTTAAAAGCTGACAACAAGTTATGTGCCAGAATCCTTGATAATGGACATTCTTTTTTTTCAGGAAAAGAATAGAGGCAGGAGAATAGCAGAGGGAATTGGAAATTGAATAAAGGGTGAAATGAGTAAAAGCAAAAGCAAGGGACAGATGAGCAAAAAGTAAAATAAGAACAGAAGTTGAGTGGCCAAAACATGAGATAAAGTAGTGTGTAAGGAGCCCAAGGCTGGCTAGAGCCAGACAAAACCAGTAAAGAGCAGCTACTCAGAGATGGACATGTACGTTAGAAAAAAAAAAAAAGAAGAAACCCTTAAAATAATCCTATATGATAATCAGCTAATTAAAGCTTGCATATATGGACTGCATATCATGCATGTACTTAAAATTATGAAATAAGGTGACACACAAGCATGCAGAGGCCAGACTAAATAAGCAACCCACCTGTCAGTCAAAAGGCAGATATTAGGCCAGGCACAGTGGCTCACATCTGTAATCCCAGCACTTTGGGAGGCTGAGGAAGGTGGATCACAAGTTCAGGAGCTCGAGACCGTGCTGGCCAACATGGTGGAACCCCATCCCTACCAAAGTTAAAAAAATAGACAGGTATGATGGTGGGTGCCTGTAGTCCCAGCTACTTGGGAGGCTGAGGCAGAGGAATCATTTGAACCCAGGAGGTAGACATTGCAGTGAGCTGAGATAGTGCCACTGCACTATAGCCTGGCAACAGAGCAAGACTCTGTAACAAAAAAAGAAAAGAAAAGAAAAGAAAAGGTAGATGCTAACTAGAGATTGGGAAGTTTCGGAAGAGAACAAATAAAGCATACAAAAAGATCCAAAATATACCAAATGCCCAGCTAACTTTCTGTTTTTAGTAGAGATGGGGTTTCACCATGTTGGCCAGGGTGGTCTTGATCTCTTGACCTCATGATCTCCCCACCTCTGCTTCCCAAAGTCCTAGGATTACAGGTGTGAGCCACTGTGCCAAGCCCCAAACTAATGCTAATCATATTTAGTAGAGGTGAACATACTTCTCCATCTCTGACAGAGTTACTGTGCTTGATAAAGTTTATTTGTTTTGCTATTTGTTGTGTGTGGCACCAAGAACCTGGGACTTTACAACATCAGCCAGTCACATATTATTGTGGTGAGACACCCAGGAGGCAAGCTCAAGTTTGAGATTCTTATTTTTGCTTCTACTTTCAATGTTTTGTTTCTGTTTGTTGCCATTCTTCACAGGCATGAGATAGGCAGTTAGGAGGTATTAGGGCACGCAATGCTGGAGGACTCCCACGACAGGGTAAGATGGTTGGGAAATAAAGCAACAAGGCTCTGCCAGATGCAAGAAAGAACACTGCATCTGTAAAGTATTTGTGTGTTTGGTAAGACATAATATTTGATTTCTGCTATCACAATGTTGAAACCAATAATTATTATACACTGACTTAAAGAGCCAAGATAAATAAAAAGAAAACCCTACATTTTATGTGAGGAAGCAGATCTCAATTCTTTTAGTTTGGTAGACCCGGAACTGAAAGTAAACTCCTTGTAGAGTCTCTTAAATCACGCACAGATTGCATAGCAGATCCATGGGTAAATTGATCTGCCTGGATTATCTGTTATAGTTATAGGACACTATATTTCCTTATTAACATGGCAGTGTCTAACATATTTAAGCTAGGCAGTCTGCCTTTTCTAGTTCCTCAAACTATAATTACCAAAATGCTTGAAGAATTCATTTCAGAAGATGCTATTTTGGGCAGCTACAGGGAAGCCAAAAGCTAAGGGATACACATTGGTGCTAAAGGGAAACTTATAAATTACCAATTATTGTGGGATCCTTCTTCAAGTGGTTCAATTGACACTGACACCTAGCTAAGGCTAGAGACATAAAGCATATCATGAAAATGCCCAAGAAGAACATGTCCTGCTGGCCCTCAAATCTAGCATAGGTCCCCCATAGAAGATGCTGCACTGAGCAGCAGTGCTCTGTTTCAAGTTTCCCTTGTTTTCCTCCATAGACAGACAATAACAAACTCAGCCTCAATCTTACAAAACTCCTTTCTAGCCGCATTTTCAACAACTGGAAATAGTTGTCTTGACAGATATTCTGAGAGCATGGGCAAGGCATACATAGATTAGGCTCAGCTCAAACAAAATAATATCTTTTTTTTTTTTTTTAACTGGAGATGGCTGGATTTTTCAAAATCGCCTGTTTTGGATTTATAGCAAAGCTCATTCACAAGGCAACATAGGGACCAGAGAATAAGCCAAGTGAATAAACCCTCAATAATTAGAGAGGTCTTTACTAAGTTAAAACAAGCCCTCACCCGGACTCCTGCACTAGGCAACCCAGACCTCACTAAATCTTTTTTAAATATGCGGGTGAAAGTAAAGGCATTGCTATTGGTGTTGCAACCTAAATATTAGGCTTAAAACCTAGAACAATTGCTGGCTTTTCAAGGAAATTGAATGGGGGCAGCCTCAAGATGGCCAAGCTGCTTGTGTGCAATAGAAGCCACTACTATTTTAGCAGAGGAAACCACTAAGATCACTCTGAGTCAGCCATTGAAATTACTAACAACACCAGGCTAAATTAATCCTGCAGGTAAAAATCAATAACACATCTGGATGACAGGAGAAATGTTAATCAAGTATCAGGCTGTGCTTTTGAATAATTGAGAAGTTAAAACTTGTAAGACCCTGAATCCAGCTTTACTACTGCCTACAGGCTCAATAATTGATTTTTTTTAACATATTATTGCACATGCAAAGGTGAGCCAAGCTCATCGAAAAGATCATGGTCTTCAAGACCCTGAAGATGACTGCTTCACAAATGATAGTAGCTGTTTGTCTAATGGAGAATGCCAGGCTGGGTATGCAATAGTAAACTACAACACCATTATTAAGTCCCAGCCACTGCCCCCAGGCAAAGCACACAAAGCTTGAGATTATTACTTTAATCTGGGCCCCAATAACTAGAAAAGAAAAGCATATTGCTAAACAGCAAGCATTCCCCCTTAAAAAATGAAAATAAAATTCCTCAATTATGAGAAGCCATAAGTCTACCAAAGCCTATAGCCATAATTAATTGTGGAGGGAATCAGAAAGATTTAACCTGCAAAGTGCAGAAAAAGAAAAAGGTCAATAAGAAAGCCAAAGTGGCAGCCCTCAGAACATAATCCCAATCAGTTTTAGTCTTGTTTTCTTATCATAATTCCCTTGCAGAAACTAACCACACAATACAAGAAAAACAACAAACAAAACAGCAAGAAGGACAAAAACAATAACTCTAGTGGTATATGGGGCCAAGATGATAACTTACTCAAGCAGCCAAGTGGAAAGTTATAAAAACTTTACATGACTACTTTCACATGGGGAGGGATGCCACACTAGCGATAGTAAACAGACTCTTGATTAGATGTAATATTGCTTCAGTGGTTAAGCAATTTTTTCAAACAACTCGGAGTATAACACCTCTCTTAATAGAGCCCAACTATGTGGGAGGCTCCAAATAAAGGTCCTCAAAAGGAGAGTCTAAAGACAGATTTAGACGTTACATACCATCCTCTGCTGTGGGGGCACCAGTCTCTTTTTCTTTTTCTTTTTTTTTTTTTGTTTTGTTTTTGCTTTTGTTTTTTGAGACAGAGTCTCACTCTGTCACCCAGGCTGGAGTACAGTGGCATGATCTTGGCTCACTACAGCCTCTGCCTCCTGGGTTCAAGTGATTCTCCTGCCTCAGCCTCCTGAGTAGCTGTGATTACAGGTGTGCACCACCATGCCCAGCTAATTTTTGTATTTTTAGTAGAGACGGGGTTTCACCATGTTGGCCAGGATGGTCTCAATCTCTTGACCTTGTGATCCACCCACCTTGGCCTCCCAAAGTGCTAGGATTACAGGCATGAGCCACTGCACCTGGCCGTGGGGGCACCAGTCTCTCAGGGGGAATCAGAACCACCTCCATATAACTCTTCCCTTGGGCAATACAGAAAAAAAACAAGAATTGACACATAGAACAGTGGGCCCCTACACACTAGAAAAGTCACCCCATATATCATTCCCCAAATTGTACTTTCTCTCAGGGAGATGGCAGAGCTGGAGAGCACAATGAGAGTTCAAGCCTCTTTTTCATTAACAGGTAACAGACATACAACAATGGAAAGAAAAACTAGTGAGTTATTCTGAAAGCCCGAGTGAGTTTGCAAATGTTTTCCAAACCTTGTATCTGGCTTGTAACCTTTCATAGAAGAATGAGAAAAAAAAAAATCACTTAGGTAGTGAACTTTTACAAGCTGACATTAGTCACAAAGAAAAAAAAAAGAAAAAATGTATTTTTTTTTAAATGTGGCTATGTTTTACAGATGGTTGAAAGACTTTAAAATATATACTAACCTAGACTCAGCCTCACAAAAAGGGAAAGTACTCATGGCTCAGCACTTTATAAGCCAGCCTGCCCCTAATATTAGATGCAAACTTCAAAGGCTGCAAATGGGGCCTTAGAAACCTCAGGCTCAGCTCCTGGATACTGCTTTTATGGTATACAGGAATCATTACCTAGAAGAGAAGAAGAAATGGTAACCCAAAATTATAGCTACCATTATTGGCAATGCCTTAAAGGCCCAGAATGTGTCAAAGGATAACCTGCAAGGACCCAGAAGTAGGAAACCTTGCTTCAAGTCCAAAGAAAGGACATTGGATGAAGAATTTTACAAGACCCCTATCTTGCTGCCAGTGCAAAGGTACAAGTCATTATCCCTGGCTTTGGAGGATTGATTGTCCTCACTCCCACCAAGAGACTTGGTCAGCTAAAATTCTAACAATGCAAAGGAAGGAAATGAATGAAGACTGAAGGAGCTTACAGTCTCCCTCACTGCCCCATCCAGCAATATTATCCTTATCATTGAGAAACCTGGGATAACTCTGGATGTCATGGGCACCCAAATTGCATGTAGTTTTAATACAGGGATACACTACTCTGTCCTTACTGCTTATGCTGAAAAATACCCCTCTTGGTCTAAGTGATGGAAATAAAAAGAAAGGCACAGACTAGGTTGTTTACTCCTCTTCCAGCTTGCTAATTTAAAAAAATCTTTCAACAAGAATTTCTGATAGTGCCCAGTTGCTGAGTTAGTTCCTCTCCCCATAAGAGGTACTATGGTAAAAACAGGGTTGCTACTACCACTGCAGATTCAGTTAACAGCTTCAGCACAGGAAAGCAAGCATGCAGCGTCGGGGCCAAGATCTAGCCAACCTTTGATTAAACAGAATATTATTTCTGTAACACTCATAAATATGTTATGTCTATCTAGTTATTCTCATAACAGTGTTGAAGAAGACTACTGGTTTTTAGGTGCAGATAATTATTATTCAGCTGTGAAGTCTAGAAATTTTGACCCATCGGGAGAATGTGATCCAAGCGTCCTGGCTAATAAATTTGGAATAAAGATGAATAACCCTCATGTAGTTCTACAAAGACCTACCATGGAAATTTCCTGGGTGGGAACAGGAAATTCTTTCTATGTGAAAAAGAGAGTATTTTGTAACTTCTTGTAAAATAGAGAAGCCCTTGTGATGTTGTGGGACATGTGTGGTGATGCACATCACCCTACACTTCCATGCCCTGAAGTTTAAACCTATCATTTTTCTTCTGCTCTTACTGACTTTCATTATTGGGATTGTTTAATTCAGCATCTCCCTAGGTAGCACTGAAGGCCAGAAGCCTACCAGGATTTTGTCTTATTTTTTTAAAATGAAGAATTTTGTCTAATTCAGAGGTTACCTAAAGTCTAAATTATGAACTTAAAATGGTTACATATAAAATAAGCTAGAAAGAAACCTGTAAGTAGGAAACAGTAATATAAAGAAAGACAGGAACAGGTAGATCCACTTTTTCTTAAAGAAGATTATAAAGAAAGAAAAATAATTTTATACAAAAAGGATATTGTATGGTAAAGTTCTGTCCTAATGTAAAATAACTGTTTACTTAAGAAAGAGAAAAGTTTGTGACATGTCAGAAAGTTCAAGCATGTCATAGAATGTCTATGAAAATCATCATAAGTTTCATGAAGTGGAATTTATAAAAGAAATTTTATATTTTATTAAGTTGCTTATTATTTAAAAATCAGTTGTAATAATTTTACTAAGATGGTACCCTTTATGAATATACAGTTTTCTTAAAGAATTAATTTTCTCTCAATGAAATTACAAGATATTTTACTTTTAATTTTACAAACTATTTCTTTTAAAAACTTGTCAGTGTGTCACTGCATTCAATTTTGTTCTCCCCTTGAGAATAACTCAGATAATAATTCTCCTCTTCAGCTTTTCAGATTCTGTAACTGTTTTTCTCTAGTTCTAATTGCATTGACAGAATAAGGGAAGAAGCCAGAGTTTGACCAAGCTGTCTCAAGAGCTTGTTATCATTGAGTTACCTGATTTTAAGAATTGGTACTACCAATCATCTTGCTTATATCAAAACATTTAATATTCATCTTAATTTTACTACTTCTAGAACCCTACATTTTGAATTACCTCATTTTATGTGTGTCTGACTACCTGGCAGCTCTCCAGTTCCAGATGATGATTATTCCAAAAGCCTTGGAAAAACACCAAGCTATGACCAACCCAGACACCCTTACATAAAGCATGGAGAGAGTTCTATGATCTCCAGGTAGGCATCATCACCACACAAAGCCAGTGAAAAGCAGGTACAGAAAATGGGCCTTCACTTTTGGAACCCCATTAAGATGTATGAGGATCATTTCTATCAGGGAAGAAATTAGGGAAGAAAATAGCAGAGGAAATTGGAGGCTAAATGAGTAAGAGCAAGGGGAAAAGTTGGGTGAGCAAGAAAAATATAATAAGCAGAAATTGAGCAGTCAAAAAAAGTGAAATAAAAGAGTAAATAAGGAGCCCCTGGCTGGCTAGATCCAGACCAAATCACTAAGGGGCAGCTTCTCAGAGATAGGTATAAGCATTAGAAAAAGTATTCTTAAAATACATTGCATGTGAATGAACTCATTAATGCTCATGCATATTGACTAAATATTATGCCTGGACTTAAAATTATGGGATAAGTGTGATGTTCAAGTGTACAGGGGCCAAGGAAACTAAGCATCTCTCCTATAAATCAAAAGGAAAATGCTGGCTAGAGATTAGGCAGCCTGGGAACAGAACAGAACAAACATGTTAAAAAAAAAAAAAAAAGAACAAAATACACTAAGTTGACAATCATCTTATTTTGCAGACATCAGCCCACTCTACCCCTCAAGGGTGCTGCTGTGCTTGGTAGGAAGTTTGCTGCTTTGCTATTTGTTGTGTGTGCCATGTCCAATTCTTTGCTCATGACACCAAGAACCTGGAACTTCATAACATTGCTGATAACAGAAAGATCTTTATATGAAAAGAAGATTGTACACAAATATTAAAATAAAGCAAGAAGTGGAAATTTTCTATACTAGTGGCCTTCCTAATATACCTAAATTTTCAGCCCTGAAAGCTGACAACAAGATTTGTGCAAGAATTCTTGATGATGGGCAGTTCGTTTGCAGAGAAAGAAAAATTTTAACACAAAAAGAAGTTAGCAGACAGGCATTCAGAAGAAGCAAAAAGAAAAGCTTCTTATGCCAGTGGTCCTCTAATAATCCCATCAATGCAAATGAACATCAGTCCTGCAAGGTGAAAACAAGCTTTCTGCCAGAATTTTTGATGAGTAGTTTTCTTCAAGAAAAAACACGTTAACACAATAGAATATACATGCAAGCAGTTAGAAGTAAGAAATACACTTCTTTCACACCAACAAATTGAAACCAATGAATATCTAGCCACAAAATTTGACGACATACTCTGTGACAGCACTGTCAATACTGAGGAATTTTCTCTTATGACCAGAAAGACATTAACATACACAAAGTTTGCAGACAGACCTTCAGAAGAAGCAAGGAGTGAAACTTCTCTCACATCGTGGCCCTTCTAAAGAACTGTCAAATTGATAAGCATTCCTGAAAGCTGACAGCAATCATTTTGTTAAAACACTTGATAATAGGCAGCTTTCTTTAAGCAATAAAACAGTTCATAGGAAAGACAGTTTGCAGATATTCATTAAATGAAGCAAGAATTAAAATTATCTTACATTGGTGGCATACATAGGGGACCATCAAAATGAACAAATATCCAGCCCTCAAAGCTGACAACAACCTTTTCACTAAAACCCTTAATGATTGACTGTTTCCTTTCATGGAAAAACAGAAAAAGATTTTAACACAAAGATGGGCATTTGAAAAAACCTAAATTAAAAAAAAAAACTCTAACATTTGTGGTTCTTCTAAAGAACTGTCAAAACAAATGAATATTTGGCCCTGAAAGCTGACAACAAACTTTGTACCAGGACTCTTGATTATGAGTGACTTTCTGTTGGAGAAACATAATATAACACAAGGGAAAGTGTGTCAACACATATTTAAAGAGAGCAAATTGAGGAATTATCTTATGCCAGTGGTCCTTCAAGTTACACATCAATAGGAATGACTATTCGGCTGGAGCAGCCTGCAAAGCTGTAAACAAGTTTTGTGCCAGAACTCTGCAGAACAAGTTGTTTTGTTTCAGAAAAATACATACTTTTACATTTGAAAAACACCTTGCACACAGAGATTTAAGAGAAGCATAAGGGAAATTATCTCACATTAGTGTCCTTCTCAGGAAACAGTCACAATAAAAAAGTACCAGCCCTGAAAGCTGACTACAAGCTTGGTGCAAGGACTTTTGATAAGGGAGAGTAGCTTTTAAACAGAAAAAATTTTACCACAAAATATAGGTTGCCAAGTGGAATTAGGAAAACATACACAGTTTTCTTTCTTTCTTTCTTTCTTTCTTTCTTTCTTTCTTTCTTTCTTTCTTTCTTTCTTTCTTTCCTTCCTTCCTTCCTTCCTTTTTTCTTTCTTTCCTTTTTTTTTGAGACAGAGTCTTCCTCTGTCACCCAGGCTGGAGGGCAGTGGCCTGATCTTGGCTCACCGAAAGCTCCGCCTCCCTGGTTCACACCATCTTCCTGCCTCAGCCTCCCAACTAGTTGGGACTACAGGCACCCGCCACCATGTCAGGTCATTTTTTTTTTTTGTATTTTTACTAGAGATGGGGTTTCACCATGTTAGTCAGGATCGTCTCAATCTTCTGACCTCGTAATCCACCTGCCTCTGCCTCCCAAATTGCTGGGAATACAGGCTTGAGCTATCACACCTGGCCATAAATAAAAATTTCTAATGCAAGTTGTTCTTCTAGAAACCTTACAATATAACTGAATACCTATCCCCAAAACCAGTCAAAATTTGTGTCAGAACTGTTGATGACTGATCGTGTTTTTGCAGAGAAAGAAAAAATTTGCAGGAAAAGATTTAGTAAACAGGTATATAGAAAAAAAACATGTGAACTCTGAATATCTGAGGCAGGTCTCAGTTGATTTAGAAAGTTAATTTTGTCAAGGTTGAGGACACATTCCTGTCACACAGCCTCAGGAGATCCTGATGACATGTGCCCAATGTGATTAGAGGACAGCATCATTTTATACACTTAAGGGAGACATGGGACATCCATCAACATATGTAAGAAAAACATTGCTCAGTCTTGAAAGGTCAGAAAACTTGAAGCAAAGGCAGAAAAAGTCAAAGCAGGGAGGGGGATTTCAGGACATCTAACCACCCATTGGATTTACCTTGTCTGCTGCCTAGACAAAGCGAATTTATCAAGACCAGAAAAAAAAAATGCAAGTCAAAGAGTAATTCCCATGGAGCTCACTGTATGGAAGATTGGAGTTTTATTACTACTCACATGAGTCTCTCTGAAAACTAAGGGATCAGAGATTTTAAGAATGATTTGATGGGTATGGAGCTAGTGAATTGGGAGTGCTAGTTGTTTGGCTTGGGGGTAAAGTCATAAGGAGTCAAAGCTGTTCTCTTCTGCTGAGTCACTTTCTCGGTGGGGACCAGAGAACTGGTTGGCAGGTCCAGGAGGAGTCATCTGGTTGTTAGAAATGCAAAAACCTGAAAAGACACCTCAAAAGACCAACCTTAGTTTCACAATAGTGATGTTACCTTCAAAAGTAATTGAGGAAGCTGCAAATCTTATGACCTCTGGAATAATGGATGGTAATAATTAGAACTCCTGCCCTTCTCATTTGACTTGGTGGCTGGTGGACTTTTATTTGTTTTACAAGAACAGTTTAGCCTTTTGAGAATGGATATTACGTAGACTATACACTAAATTTCTTCCCAAAGTAGTTTGGCCTATGCCTAGGAATAAACAAAGGTTGTTTAGAGGTTAGAGGCAAGATGGGGTCAGTTAGATCTGATATATTTCATTGTCATAATTTTCTGAGTAAAAATTTTTGCAAAGGCAGTTTCACCTACTTCAGAGGCTGAGGAGGGATAATTGCTTGAACCTAAGAGTCAGAGATTGCGGTGACCTGACATTGTACCACTGAAATCCAGTGTAGGTGACAGAGTGAGACTCTAACAACAATGAAATTTTAGTCAAAGTTTTGGAAATATAATATTTTCAGTTACATTCTGCTATAAAAATAAATTTATGTAAATACTATAAAATTTATGATTTATTTATAAAACTTTACATTTAAAATATTTAAAGAAATTTATGATTATTTACTTATGTAAATTATCATAATTTTATATGAATACTGACAATAATTTCAGAATTCTGGAGAATCAAGGTAGAATAGCAAACATTGTAAGGAGAAAAGAGGCAACCTACAGAAGTAGTGGAGCTCAAATGGCCTCAATGTGAGTTAATCACATTATAGTTCTACAGGCCTGCAATTTTATCCAAAGTGAGTCAGCTCTGGAATCCCATTTCTGACACCAAACATGTTAAGATCAAATAGAATATAGACACAAATCTCTGAAATCAAAACATTTTATTTGGGAAGACAGAATTGCAATTTGGGACATACACACAGAACAGGTGGACTTTAATATGGTTGAGGAACAAACAGAAAGTTAGAGATTTTATTTGAAAGAGAGTGAGGAGAGAGGAGAAGAGAGAGAGAGAGAGAGAGAGAGAGAAAGGAGAGAGGAGAGATATTACATATTGTTCAAGAAAGTTCACTGGCACTAGTAAGGTATGGGGAGCTCTGATTTGTGACTTATGGTGGTAGGTTTAATTAATTTTAGATTTGCAGGAGTTTGTCTCAGCAGCTGTTACATAAAACTGGACTCTGGTTACAGCAAGCAGTTTTACCAGCCACACCAGAAGAGCGTTATATTCTTGAAACAATGTTATGCTTTCTGAATGCTTTTTTTTTTTTTTTTTTGAGATGGAATCTCACTCTGTGGCCCAGGCTGGAGTGCAGTGGCATGATCTTGGCTCACTGCAACCTCCACCTCCCAGGTTCAAGCAATTCTCCTGCCTCAGCCTCCTGAGTAGCTGGGATTATAGGGGCCCACCACCACGCCCAGCTAATTTTTGTATTTTTAGTAGAGACGAGGTTTCACCATGTTGGTCAGGCTGGTCTCGAACCCCTGACCTCGTGATCCACCCACCTTGGCCTCCCAAAGTGCTGAGATTACAGGCATGAGCCACCATGCCCGGCCAGTATTCTGAATGCTTTTTACATACGACCTCTTGACTCTGTTTTAGTTGAGTGTGAAAAGGATGCCCCAATTTATATGACTGACTTTCACAGACTTCTAGTTGTATTTATTTATTTTTATTTGATGGATAAGCAATAGTTGTATATATTTATGGGATACATGAGTTATTGTGATACAGGCATATAATGTATAAGAATTACATCAGGATAAAAAGGGTTTCTATCATCTCAAACATTTTTCATTTCTTTATTGTTATAAATATTGCAATTATCCTCTCAGGTATTTTTAAATGTACAATAAATCATTGTTGACTGTGATCACAGTATTTTGCTATCAAATACTAGATCTTATTCATTCTTCCTAATGATATTTTTGTACTTATTAGTCATCCCCACTTCCTCATCTCCCTCACACTACCCTTCCCAGACTCTGGTAACAATTTTTCTCCTCTCTATTTTCAAGAGTTCAATTGCTTAACTTTTAGCTCTCACAAATGTCTAAGAACATATAAAGTTTTTCTTTCTGTTCCTGGCTTATTTCAATAACATCATGCCCTCTAGTTTTATCCATATTTTTGAAAATGGCAGATATTCATTTTTTTATGACTGAATAGTTTGCCATTGCACATATGTACCAGAGTGTCTTCATCCATTTTTCTGTTGATAGACATTTAGGTTGCTTCTAAATTGTTGGTGTTGTGAACGGTGTTTTAATAAACTTGGGGATACAAATATTTCTTTGACATGCTGATTTCCTTCCTTTTAGGTATATTCATAGCAGTAAATTGCTTGATTAAATCATAGCTTTATTTTTAGTTTTTGGAGAAACATCCATACTGTTCTTCATAGTTGTATTAATTTATATTCCAACCAACAGTGTATGAGAACTCCCCTTTCTCCATATCTGTGCTATTATTTGTTATTGCCTGTCTTGTGAGTAAAAACCACTTTAACTGGGGTAAAGTTATGTCTCATTGCAATTTTTGGTTTTCATTTCTCTGATGATCAATGATATTGAACACCTATTTGTAAATATGTTTGCCATTAGTATGCCTTCTTTTGAGAAATTTTTACTCAGATCTCTTGCCAGGTGTTTTTTTCTGTTGTCTTGTTTGAGCTTTTCATACATTTTAATTATTAATCACTTGTCTGATGCACAGTTTGCAAATATTGTCTCCTATTCTGCTGGTTGTTTCTTCTCTTCATTGTCTCCTTTGCTGTGGAAAAGCTTTTTAACTTGATGTGATGCTACTTTTCTATTTTTGCTCCAGTTGCCTGTATTTCTGGGTATTACTCAAGAAATATTTGCCCATACCAATACCCAGGAGAGTTTTCCCAATGTTTTCCTCTAGTGGTTTCATGGCTTGAGATCTTAGATTTAAGTCTTCAATCCATTTTGATTTGATTTTTGTGTATGGTGAGAGAGAGGGGCCTAGTTTCATTACTATGCATATGAATATCCTATTTTCCCTGCATTTATTGAAGCAACTGTCTTTTCCCCAATATTTGTTCTTGACATCTTCGTCAAAAATGAGTTCCTTGTATATTTAAGGGTTTATTTATGGGTTCTCTATTTTGTTCCATTGGTCTATGCTGAGACAAGTTCGGTCAGGGAGACCCTAACCCAGCAGCACTAGAGGAATTAAAGACACACACACAGAAATATAGAGGTATGGAGTGGGAAATCAGGGGTCTCACAGCCTTCAGAGCTGAGAGCCCAAACAGAGATTTACTCATTTATTTATTAACAGCAAGCCAGTGATTAGCATTGTTTCTATACATATTTGATTAACTAAAAGTATCCCTTATGAGAAACAAAGTTATGGGCCTAAATAAAGGGGTGGGTCTGGCTAGTTATCTACAGCAGGAACATGCCCTTCAGGCACAGATTACTCATGCTGTTGTTTGTAGTTTAAGAATGCCTTTAAGCAGTTTTCCACCCAGGGTGGGCCAGATGTTCCTTGCCCTCATTCCAGTAAGCCCACAACCTTCTAGCATGGGCATTATGGCCATCACGAACATATCACAGTGCTGCAGAGATTTTTTTTTATGGACAGTTTTGGGGCCAGTTGATGGCCAGGTTCTGGGGGGCCTGTTCCCAACAGGCCTGTGTGTCTGTTTTTATGTCAGTACCATGCTATTTTGATTACTATAGCTCTGCAGAACAATTGCAAGTCACATAATGTGACTCCTCCAGTTTTGTTCTTTTTGCTCAGGGTGGCTTTGGCTATTATGGGTCTTTTGTGATTTCATAGACATTTAAGAAATATCTTTGTCCTACTGTTGTGAAGAGTATCATTAGTATATTGATAGTAATTGCACTGAATTTGTAGATTGCTTTGGGTAATATGGATATTTTAACAATATGGATTCTTCTAATCCATGAATGTGAAATGCCTTTCCATTTGTGTGTGTGTGTGTGTGTGTGTGTGTGTGTCTGTGTGTGTTCTATAATATCCTGCATCAATATTGCATAATTCTCATTATAGTGAGAATTATGTACTTTTTTGATTGAGTTTATTCCTAGATATTTTATTTTATTTGTGCCTGTCATAAATGGAATCACATTGATTCCTTTTTCAGAATTTTTGCTGTTGGCATGTAGAAATGTTATTGATTATTGATTTTGTATCTTCCAACTTTACTGAATTTGCTTGTCACTTGTAACAGTCTTTTGGTGTAGACTTCAGTTTTTTCCAACTATAAGAGTATATCATCTGCAAAGAAAAACAATTTGACTTCTTTCTTTTCAATTTGGATAGGCTCCATTATTTCTCATCTAATTTTACTTGCTAGGGCCTCCAGTATGATGTTGAATAACAGTGATAAAAGTGGCATGTTGGTCTTGTCTTTGATCTCATCTTGTTTAAGATCTTGGAAAAAACACTTTCAGTTTTTCCCTATGCAGTGTGATATTAGTGGTGAGTCTGTCACATATGGTTTTTATTGTATTGAGGTATGTTTCTTCTATGCTCAGTTTTTTGAGGATCTTAGTCATAAACAGATAATGCACTTCATCAAATAATTTTCAGAATCAATTGAAAAGATTGTATAATTTTGGGGGGTTGTTTTTCATCTTGTTGGTAAGATTTATCACATTGACTGATTTGCATATGTTGAAGAATCCTTGCATCCATTGGATAAATCTCACTTTGTCATGATGAACAATCTTTTAAATGTATTGTTGAATTATGTTTTTTCTTAGCAATTTTTAAGCATATAATTTGTTATTTTTTACTATAGTCATCATGTTCTATGATAGATCTCTTGAGCTTATTCATTCTGCCTAACTTAACAATTATATGTTGTTTGATCAGCATTTCCCCACTTCTCCCCCATCCTAGGCCTCTGGTAACCAGAATTTTACTTTAAAATTTTTGCATTTTAAAACTAAAAATGTTAATGCACGAAAAATTGTATACAAGGTTAAGGTATAATACCATGTTTTGCCCTCTCTCTTTCTCTCTCTCTGTGTATATACACACATCTCTCTATATATGTTGTTAAATGAATAAATCAGGCTAATTGGGTAAAAACATTTAAAATCTATTATTTTAGCTATTTTGAAATATATGTTCCTCACTATAGTCACTATACTATGCAATAGATCTCTAAAACTCATCTGCACTGACTAACTGAAACTTTGATGAACTCCTTCCCATTCTTCTCCCCACCCATCTCTCCCAGCCTCTGGTAACCACTGCTTTACTCTCTACTTCTACAAGCTCAAACTTTTCAGTCTACATATAAGTGATATCATGTAATATTTATCTTTCTGTACCTTGCTTACTTTACTTAATATAACCTCCTTTTTTGTTCATCACATTGTAAAAAATGGCAAGATTTTCTCATATTTTAAGGTTGAAGAGTATTTCTTATATTTTAGGGTTGAAGAGTATTACATAGGTTGATTCTGTATTTTGGCTATTGTGAATAATGCTACAATGAACATGAGACAGCAGATATATTTTCCACATATTGATATCATTAGCCTTTGGAGATATCTAATAAGGACATTGCTGGATTATATTATAGTTCTATTTTTAATTTATTGAGATATGTCTATACAGCTTTCCACTGTGGCTGCACTAATTTATATTCCCACCAAGAGTACAAGGGTTTTCTTTCCTCCACATTGTCACCAACATGTTATTATTTGTGTGTGTTTTTAATCATAGTCTTTCTAACAGACATGAGGTGATATCTCACTATAGTTTTAATTTGTGTTTCCTTGATGATTAGGATTACTGATGTTAAACATATTTTTACATGTGTTAGCCTTTTTATTTGTTTTTTGTTTTGTTTTGTTTTTGAGACAGGCTCTTGCTTTGTCACCCATTCTGGAGTGCAGTAGCATGATCTCAGCTCACCGCAACTTCTGCCTTCTGGTTCCAAGCAAGTTTCCACCTCAGCCTCCTGGGTAGCTGAGACTACAGGCATGAATGACCATGCCTAATTTTTCTATTTTTTTCATGGAGACAAGGTTTCATAATGTTTGCCAGGCTTGTCCTAAACTCCGGACCTCAAGTAATCCACCCACCTTGGCCTCCCACAGTGCTGAAATTACAGGCCTGTGCCACTGCACCCAACCCTGAATTTCTGAAATAATGTTAAAGACTTTGACTAGATCTCTCTTCTTATCCAGAAATTTTTATTTCAAATCCTGTGAGATAGTTTGAAAAATGGGCCCTCCAAAGATATTAACTTTTTACTCTTTCTCCCTGTAATGGTTCCTTATTGCTAAAAGGTCTTTACAGTTACAATGAAGAATCTTGAAATGCAAGATTATCCTGGATTATCCATGTGTACCCTGGATGCCACAATGACTTTTCTTGTGAAAGAGAAAAGATTCCCTTGTCCCACACACAGGGCATGTGACAGGGGGAGTGCTCACTTCTTCAGTGCCCCCACTGCTCATATCTCTAAGGGAGCATACAGATGAACCAGTTGTGGAATTCTGACCCCACAGCAGCATCTAGGGTTGAATTTTTACAGCTCCTGAAGCCCCAGTGAGCATGTGCTACTATGTAAATTTTCAGTTTTGCCATCTATTGGTAACTTGTGTTGGTAGTTTGTGTTGACCAGCTCACTTAGACCCTCTACCTTGTCACAAGGACAGAGGGCTTTCTGTATCTCAGGTTCTCATCTTGGTGTACCAGAAGAATTGAATCACACCTGGACTTGGAGAATGAGTGCAAGGTTTTATTGAGTGGAGGTAGCTCTCAGCAGATGGGGAATGCCAGAAGACGATGGAGTGGAAAGGTTTTCCCAGGAGTCTCGCCGTTCAGAGACCCAGAATCTCCTACTACCTGGGCCAAACTTCACATTGTTCTAATGTTTGATGGCATTCTGGCATGCCAATGCCTGTCAGTGTGCTGTCAATGTCCTCTCAATATCTATTCACTTGTGTGTTCCTCCACTGGTGTGTTTCTGTTGATGTCCAGCCACTTGTACATCTCTGCCTGCTAGGGTTTCAGGGTTTTTACAGGCACAGGATGGGGGCATGGTGGGCCAGAGAGGTCTTGAGAAATGTAACATTTGGGAGCAAAGGCAAGATTTCTTGTTTTCACCTAGGTCAATGGGCATAGCCTCAGAGCTAGAGCCCTCACCAGATACCCACCCTTCTTTACCCAGAACTTCTCTTCCCCTATTTCATGTCACTTATAAAAGAGAGACATAGGGGCTCACATAACACAAACACAGAGAAAAAGTGATGTAAAAATAATACCCAAAGCTGAAGTATGCAGCCACAAGCCAAGGAATGGCAACAGGCACAAGATGGTAAAGAGAAATGGAATGAATTCTTTCCTAGAGCCTCTGAAAGGAGCACAGTCATGCCAGCACCTTGATTTCCACCCTGGGATAATGATGTGTGAATTTTTTTTCATACAGAACTGTAAGAAAATACATTTTATGTTGTTGTCTGCCACCAAGTTTGTGGTAATGTTTTACTGCAAAGACATGACTCTCTATATCCTACTAAGTATTTTCCTGTATGTAACTTCTTGTCTTTTTTCACAAATGCACCAGGCCCTGATAATCAATACATAGGTAAATAGGTCCAGCATGTTTCTCTGCTCCTTTATAGAAGAGCCCAACACCTATTCCATATGTTTAGAAACTCAGTAGAGTGCCACAGTGATTGAAATACTAAGGAATGAGAGGAAAGTTTTTCTGAGATGGAGTCTTGCTCTGTCGCCTAGGCTGGAGTGCAGTGGCATGATCTTGGTTCATTGCAATCTCTGCCTCCCAGTTTCATGCCATTCTCCTGCCTCAGCCTCCTGAGTGGCTGGGACTACATGCACCTGCCACCAAGCCCGGCTAATTTTTTTTTTTTTTCAGTAGAGACAGGCTTTCATCATGCTATTCAGGATGGCCTCAATCTCCTGATATTGTGATCCACCCACCTTGGCCTCTCAAATGCCGGGATTACAGGTGTGAGCCATCACACCCAGCTGAAATTTTCCTTTTAATTCAACCTCAGGGAGTTTGGGAAAAGCCCACTGAAAGATAATCACATCACTAATATCTGAGCAGAGGAGGAAGGCAATACAAACAGGGAAAGTAAACCTAAACATCTATAAGTAGAGATAATGTTAACTATATTATATCTATATAATTCACATAAATTTTATGCAGAAATTAATGAGAAGACATATACACTAC
Organism: Homo sapiens; assembly: GCF_000001405.40. Classification (NCBI taxonomy): domain Eukaryota; kingdom Metazoa; phylum Chordata; class Mammalia; order Primates; family Hominidae; genus Homo; species Homo sapiens. The sequence continues at coordinate 21,119,817 of NC_000024.10, forward strand.
ATTACATGTAATCTGTAAGTACATTTGCAGGTTGATGTCTTGTCAAGTCAGGGATGTCATTCAACATCTATTTCACTTTAAAATGAGAAAATGCATAAGCAAATAGAAGTTCAGACCAGCATGCTAACTTTCCTAGGATTAAAAATAGAATAATAGAAGATAGACAGTAAGGTTGGAAGAAAGGAATCATCAAAAAAAATTATAAAAGATACTGAAAATTGAATACGTGTCTGTACATACAAAATGAGAATGGTTTCATTCGTAAACAATGTGGGTAGAAGTGCTGCATCAAAATTAGATCATGGCTGGGTGCAGTGGCTCACAACTGTAGTCCCCACACTTTGGGAGGCCTACATGGGTAGATTACTTGAGATCAGAACTTCAAGGCCAGCCTGGACAACATGGTGAAATGCCATCAATACTAAAAATACAAAAATTAGCTGAGAGTGGTGGCATATGCCTGTAATTCCAGATGCAGGGGAGACTGATGCAGAAGAATCCCTTGAACCCAGGAAGTGGAGGTTGCAGTGAGCTGAGATCATGCCACTGCATTCCAGCTTGGGGGACAGAGCGAGACTCTATTTCTAAAGAAAGTAAACAATAACAATAAAAATTAAAAATAAATAAATAAATAAAAATGTAAGCCATAACAGATATATTATAATGCAGGATTCTGGATTCAATTTGGAAAAGAGTTGAAGCATGTTTAACATGCATATGGTAGATGTGCAGAGGCTATTAACAGGATTTTCTTCCAAAAGATAACATTGAAATCCCCATGTGAGACTGTACAGAAAATGTAGTTATGTGTCTGCATAGTTAGGGCTACCTGAAAAAATTTCACAGAGAACTGGGTGAAAGAACAAGCCTTGACATTTAAAAGATGTGTAAAATGTGGTTCTGACTATTTTAGCTCTTTGAAGGTGTGTTTTTACCTCCCAGAAGGCAGATGGATCCTGGGACTGTGGAAACTTTACAGGAGTTTTAAGCCTGGGATGCTCCTTTTCTTCCTGGAGACAATTACCAAAAAGAAATTACTTAGATCTGAGAGTATAAAGCTTTCTGTTCTTCTCTGAGGAGATGAAATGGACAGTGTGTATGTATGCAAGAAGTCAGATTCAAAATCTCTGGGTTCCTCATCTATGGCACAGACCATAGTTTGTGTAGAGTGACATGGACTTAGTTCTTATCACTTCTCAGAAAAGGAGAGAATTGGGGTAAATGGGATCTGGAGCAGTTATTGCACTGTTAGTGATAATACACCCTCTTCTCCAGGAATCTGGGGTCCACTTTCAGGATAGCATGAATAAATATAGCTTTTAAAAACATATCAACCATATTCAGATATGCTTCAATACACTTAAAGAAAATATGTGTATGAACCTCAGAGATTGGTTCAGAGAACTAAATGTATGTGTACAGAGAACTAAAACTACAGAAAACTTAGAAAAAGGAAGTACACACACAAAAAAAACTGTAACACTCTCTAGCAGTGAATACAGTTTATATAGTCATAACCATGTAACCACTGACACTGATACATATCTGTTTTTTAAAATGTATTTTACTGTTATTCCATTTTTTAGTTCTTTACTTTCCTGTGTAATTTTGTATTTGTACTTTTTTATTTGAATCGGAGTCTTGCTCTGTTGCCCAGGTTGGAGTGCAGTGGCACAATCTCGGCTCACTGCAACCTCCACCACCCAGGTTCAAGTGTTTCTTCCCCTTCAGTCTTCCAAGCAGCTGGAATTACAGACACATACCACCACACATGGCTAGTTTTTGTATTTTTAGTAGGGACAGCGTTTCACCATGTTTGCCAGTCTGGTCTTGAACTCCTGACCTCAAGTGATCCACCTGCCTCAGCCTCCTAAAGTGCTGGGATTACAGGCATTAGCCACCAGGTCTGGTCAATATTTGTAATTTTATCTCTGTCTTAGACAGTAGTGTGCAAGAAGTGTAAGATTCAGACTCCACAAAAGCTGGCTTTACTACTGCCATTGGTCAAAAAGATTAAACTCCATAGGAGAATGTCAGAGAGAAGAGGAATATTGATGTAGAAGACAGATTACCAATGAAAAGGAGACAGCCTAAATTTGGAAGGATGAAGAATCTATGTCTGAATTTGGAATAAAAAAAAGAAAAAAATTGGTGGGAGAAAATGTATATCAGGCTACAGTATATCAGCAGTTAAAGCCCTTTAAAGTAAGACTATATTGCTGACTGTGAGATTAGTTTGGCCTAGAGTGTTCTGGGAATATTTGAAGTAGATTCTAAAGTAGAAAGCTACAGGTTGGGTGCAGTGGCTCATGTCTGTATTCCCAGCACTTTGGGAGACCGAAGCATGTGAATCACTTGAGGTAAGGAGTTTGTCACTAGCCTGGCCAGCATGGTGACACCCCATCTTCACTAAAAATACAAAAAATTAGCCAGGCATGGTGGTGCATGCCTGTAATCCCAGCTACTAAGGAAGCTGAGGCAGGGAAAGTGCTTGAACCTGAGAGGTTGAGGTTGCAGTGAGCCGAGATCATGCCATTGCACTCCAGCCTCGGCAACAGAGTGAGACTTCATCTTGAAAAAAAAAGTTACATAGAGGTAGGGATGAATGGAAGAATAATGGAATGAAAAAGAAGGGCTGTTTAAGGTCCTGATGAACAAAATTGTGGTGTAATGTTCAATAGTCAGTGAGGTGAAAGGGGGAAAATGCCAATGTCTTCACACTTCTTGATGTGTAAATGGTTGCCCAGGGGAACCAATGAGAATAATTGTTTAACTAGTACTCAAATTTTAAAAGCACTGATTATCAGTACATAACATTTCCTCTCCCACATTTTTTTCAGAAATAGAGAAAGAGCTAAAGAAAAAGAGATAGAGAAAAATGCAAGAGTGTCAGAGAAAGAAAAAGAAAGAGAGCTTGCACTTTAGAATGTGAATCTTTTCTCTTTAAGGTATGTGAAAATTCATTATACAAATACAGCCTTCTATGTTATACCCAACTGTAATAGAGTCGGGGAGCCATGAGGGCACCCAGTTCACATACATTTGTTCTAAAAACTGGTTTTGCATTTCAACAGGAAAACCAGAAAAACCTAATGGTGACTTTAAGTCTTACCCAGTAACTGCTGCTACTCCTCAATCAGAACTTGCCAGCCCCTTGGAGACACTGCCAGCACCAACAAATTTTCTTTCAAAACAATTCACATAATCTCCCTTCTTTCCCTCATGAAAACCCTCACTTTGTTTTTTTGTTTCTCAGACACACCTAGGGGCTACCAGGTTCAAGCAAATCTCCTGTCTCAGCCACCTGAGAAGCTGGAATTACAGGCACACGCCACCATGCCTAGGTAGTTTTTGTAATTCTAGTAGAGATAGGGCTATCACCATGTTGGCCAGGCTGGTCTCAAACTCTTAGCCTCATGTGATCTGCCCTTCTTGGCCTCCCAAAATGCTAGGATTAAACGTATGAGCCACCACACTCAGCCTTGAAATACTTATATGTTCCCAAATAGACCCTTTTCTTGAATATTCATCTCTTTATATTTTATTTATTTTATTTTATTTTAGAAAGAGGGTGTCCCTCTGTGAATCTGTCTGGAGAGCAATGGCAGGTCCATAGCTCACTACAACTTCAAACTCCTGGGTTCAGGCAATCCTCTTGCTTTAGCCTTCCAAAGCACTGGGATTACACATTAGCCACCATGCCCAGCAATCTCTACATTTTTTTTTTATTTTACTATACTTTAAGTTCTAGGGTACATGTGCACAACATATAGGTTTTTTACATATGTATACATGTGACATGTTGGTGTGCTGCACCCAGTAACTCATCATTTACATTGGGTATCTCTCCTAATGCTTTCCCTCTCCACTCCCACCACCCCACAACAGGCCCTGGTGTGTGATGTTCCCCTTCCTGTGTCCAAGTGTTCTCATTGTTCAATTCCCACTGATCAGTGAGAACATGCAGTGTTTGGTTTTCTGTCCTTGCAATAGTTTGCTGAGAATGATGGTTTCCAGCTTCATCCATGTCCCTACAAAGGACATGAACTAATCATTTTTTATGGCTGCATAGTATTCCATGGTGTATATGTGCCACACTTGCTTAATCCAGTCTATCATTTTTGGACATTTGGGCTGGTTCCAAGTCTTTGATATTGCGAATAGTGCCACAATGAACATATGTGTGCATGTGCCTTTATAGCAGCATGATTTATAATCATTTAGGTATATACCCAGTAATTGGATGGCTGGGTCAAATGGTATTTCTAGTTCTAGATCCTTGAGGAATCACCACACTGTCTTACACAATAGTTGAACTAGTTTACAGTCCACCAACAGTGTAAAAGTGTTCCTATTTCTCACATCCTCTCCAGCACCTGTTCTTTCCTGACTTTTTAATGATCACCATTCTATCTGTTGTAAGATGATATCTCATGGTGGTTTTGATTTGCATTTCTCTGATGGCCAGTGATGATGAGCATTTTTTCATGTGTCTTTTGGCTGCAAAAATGTCTTCTTTTGAGAAGTGTCTGTTCATATCCCTCACCCACTTTTTGATGGTTTTTTTTTTCTTGTAAATTTGAGTTCTTTGTAGATTCTGGGTATTAGCCCTCTGTCAGGTGACTAGATTGCAAAAATTTTCTCCCATTCTGTCGGTTGCCTCTTCACTCTGATGATGGTTTCTTTTACTGTGCAGAAGCTTTTTAGTTTAATTAGATCCCATTTGTTAACTTTGGCATTTGTTGCCATTGCTTTTGGTGTTTTGGACATGAAGTCCTCGCACATGCCTATGTCCTGAATGGTATTGCCTAGGTTTTCTTCTGTGGTTTTTATGGTTTTAGGTCTAACATTTAGCTCTTTAATCCATCTTAAATTAAATTTTGTATGAGGTGTAAGGAAGGGATCCAGTTTCAGCTTTCTACTTATGGCTAGCCAGGTTTCCCCAACACCATTTATTAAATAGGGAATCCTTTCCCCATTTCTTATTTTGTCAGGTTTGTCAAAGATCAGATTTTTGTAGATATGTGGTATTATTTCTGAGGGCTCTATTCTGTTCCATTGGTCTATATCTCTGCTTTGGTACCAGTACCATACTCTTTTCATTATTGTAGCCTTGTAGTATAGTTTGAAGTCAGGTAGTATGATGCCTCCAACTTTGTTCTTTTGGCTTAGGATTGTCTTGGCAATGCAGGCTCTTTTTTGGTTCCATATGAACTTTAAAGTAGTTTTTTCCAATTCTGTGAAGAAAGTCATTGGTAGTTTGTTGGGGATGGCATTGAATCTATCAATTACCTTGGGCAGTATGGTCATTTTCACCATATTGATTCTTCCTATCCATGAGCATGGAATGTTCTTCCATTTGTTTGTATCCTCTTTTATTTTGTTGAGCAGTTGTTTGTAGTTCTCCTTGAAGAGGTCCTTCACATCTGTTGTAAGTTGGATTCCTAGGTATTTTATTCTCTTTGAAGCAATTGTGAATGGTAATTCACTCATGATTTGTCTCTCTGTTTGTCTGTTATCAGTGTACAAGAATGCTTGTGATTTTTGCACATTGATTTTGTATCCTGAGATTTTGCTGAAGTTGCTTATCAGCTTAAGGAGATTTGGGGATAAGACGATGGGGTTTTCTAGGTATACAATCATGTCATCTGCAAACAGGGACAATCTGACTTCCTCTTTTCCTAGTTGAATACTGTTTATGTCTTTCTCCTGCCTAATTGCCCTGGCCAGAACTTCCAGCAGTATGTTGAATAAGAGTGGTGAGAGAGGGCATCCCTGTCTTCTGCCAGTTTTGAAGGGAATGCTTCCAGTTTCTGCCCATTCAGTTTGATATTGGCTGTGGGTTTGTTATAGACAGCATTTATTATTTTGAGATATGTCCCATCAATACCTAATTGATTGAGAGTTTTTAGCCTGCAGTGCTGTTGAATTTTGTCCAAGGCCTTTTCTGCATCTATTGAGATAATCATATGATTTTTGCCTTTGGTTCTGTCTATATGCTGGATTACGTTTATTGATTTGCATATGTTGAACCAGCCTTGCATCCCAGGGATGAAGCCCACTTGATCATGGTGGGTAAGCTTTTTGATGTGCTGCTGGATTCGTTTTGCCCATATTTTATTGAGGATTTTTGCATCGACATTCATCAGGGTATTGGTCTAAAATTTTCTTTTTTTGTTGTGCCTCTGCCAGGCTTTGGTGTCAGGATGATGCTGCCCTCATAAAATGAGTCAGGGAATATTCTCTTTTTTTCTATTGATTGTAATAGTTTCAGAAGGAATGGTACCAACTTCTCCTTGTACCTCTGGTAGAATTCGGCTTTGAATCCTTCTGGTCCTGACTTTATTTGGTTGGTAGGCTATTAAGTATTGTCTCAACTTCAGAGCTTGTTATTGGTCTATAAAGGGATTCAACTCCTTCCTGGTTTAGTCTTGAGAGAGTACATGTGTTCAGGAATTTATCCATTTCTTCTAGATTTTCTAGTTTATTTGTGTAGTGGTGTTTATTGTATTCTCTGATGGTAGTTTGTATTTCTGTGGGATTGGTTGTGATATCCCCTTTATCATTTTTATTGCTTCTATTTGATTCTTCTCTCTTTTCTTGTTTATTAATCTTGCTAGCAGTCCATCAATTTTGTTGATCTTTTCAAAAAACCAGCTACTGGATTCATTGATTTTTTGAAGGGCTTTTGTGTCTCTATTTCCTTCAGTTATTCTCTGATCTTAGTTATTTCTTGCCTTCTAATAGCTTTCGAATGTCTTTGCTCTTGCTTCTCTAGTTCTTTTAATTGTGATGTTAAGGTGTCAAGTTTAGATCTTTCCTGCTTTCTCTTGTGGGCATTTAGTGCTATAAATTTCCCTCTATACACTGCTTTAAAAGTGTCCCAGAGAGTCTGGTATGTTTTATCTTTGTTCTTAGTGGTTTCAAAGAACATCTTTATTTCTGCCTTCATTTTGTTATGTACCCAGTAGTCATTCAGGAGCAGGTTGTTCACTTTCCATGTAGTTGAGCGGTTTTCAGTGAGTTTCTTAATCCTGAGTTCTAGTTTGATTGCACTGTGGTCTGAGAGACAGTTTGTTATAATTTCTGTTCTTTTCCATTTACTGAGGAGTGCTTTACTTCCAACTATGTGGTCAATTTTGGAATGAGTGCGATGTGTTGCTGAGAAGAATATATATTCTGTTGATTTGGGGTGGAGAGTTCTGTAGATGTCTATTAGGCCCTCTTGGTGCAGAGTTGTGTTCAATTCCTGGATATCCTTGTTAAGTTTTTCTCTCATTGATCTCTCTAATGTTGACAGTGGGTTGTTAAAGTTGCCCATTATTATTGTGTGGTATTCTAAGTCTCTTTGTAAATCTCTAAGGACTTGCTTTACAAATCTGGGTGCCCCTATATTGGGTGCATATATATTTAAGTTAGTTAGTTCTTCTTGTTCAATTGATCCATTTACCATTATGTAATGGCCTTCTTTGTCTCTTTTGATGTTTGTTGGTTAAAGTCTGTTTTATCAGAGACTAGGATTGCAATGCTTGCCATTTTTGTTTCCATTTGCTTGGTAGATCTTCCTCCATCCCTTTATTTTGAGCCTATGTGTGTCTCTGCACATGAGATGGATCTCCTGAATACAGCACACTGATGGGTCTTGACTCTTTATCCAATTTGCCAGTCTGTGTCTTTCAACTGGGGCATTTAGCCCATTTACATTTAAGGTTAATAGTACTGTGTGTGAATTTGATCCTGTCATGATATATGCTGGTTATTTTGCTCACTAGTTAATGCAGTTTCTTCCTAGCATTGATGTTCTTTACAATTTGTCATATTCTTGCAGTGGCTGCTACCAGTTTTTCCTTTCCAGGTTTAGTGCTTCCTTCAGGAGCTCTTTTAGGGCAGGCCTAGTGGTGACAAAATCTCTCAGTTATTTGCTTGTCTGTAAAGTATTTTATTTCTCCTTCACTTATGGAGATTAGTTTGGCTGCATATGAAATTCTGGGTTGAAAATTCTTTTCTTTAAGAAGGTTGACTATTGGCCCCCACTCTCTTCTTGCTTCTAGAGTTTCTTTCAAGAGATCAGCTGTTAGTCCGATGGGCTTCCCTTTGTGGGTAACCCGACCTTTCTCTCTGGCTTCCCTTAACATTTTTTCCTTTATTTCAACTTTGGTGGATCTGACAATTATGTGTCTTGGAGTTGTTCTTCTCGATGATTGTCTTTTGGCAGTCTCTCTATTTCCTGAATTTGAATGTTGGCCTGTCTTCCTAGGTTGGGGACGTTCTCCTGGATAATATCCAACACTGTTCCATTCTCCCCGTCACTTTCAGGTACACCTATCAGATGTAGATTTGGTCTTTTCACATGGTACCATATTTCTTGGAGTCTTTGTTAATTTTTTTTTAACCTTTTTTCTCCAAGCTTCTCTTCTCCCTTCATTTCATTCATTTGATCGTCCATCACTGATACCCTTTCTTCCAGTTGATCAAATCAGCTACTGAAGCTTGTGCATTCATCCTGTAGTTCTTGTGCCATGGTTTTCAGCTCCATCAGGTCATTTAAGGACTTCTCTACACTGATTATTCTAGTTAGCCATTCACCTAATTTTTTTCAAGGTTTTTATCTCCTTTGTGTTGGGTTTGAACCTCCTCCTTTAGCTCAGATAAGTTTGATCATCTGAAGCCTTCTTCTGTCAACTCGTCACAGTCATTCTCCATGCAGCTTTGTTCCATTGCTTGCAAGGAGCTTCATTCCTTTGGATGGAAAGAGGTGCTCTGATTTTTATAATTTTCAGCTTTTCTGCTCTGTTTTTTCCCCATCTTTGTGGTTTTGTCTACCTTTGGTCTTTGATGATGGTGACGTACAGGTGGGGTTTTGGTGTGGATGTCCTTTCTGTTTGTTAGTTTTCCTTTTAACAGTCAGGACCCTCCACTGCAGGTCTGTTGGAGTTTGCTGGAGGTCCCCTCCAGACACTGTTTGCCTGGGTATCAGCAGCAGGGGCTGCAGAACAGTGAATATTGCTGAACAGCAAATGTTTCTGCCTGATTGTTCCTCTGGAAGCTTTGTCTCAGAGGTGTACCCAGCCATGTGAGGTGTCAGTCTGCCCCTACTTGGGGATGCCTCCCAGTTAGGTGACTCAGGGTTCAGGGACCCACTTAAGGAGGCAGTCTGTTCATTCTCAGATCTGAAACTCCGCGCTGGGAAGACCACTACTCTTTTCAAATCTGTCAGACAGGGACATTTAAGTCTGCAGACAAGGACATTTAAGTCTGAAGAGGTTTCTGCTGTGTTTTGTTTGGCTATGCCCTGCCCCAGAGGTGGAGTCTACAGAGGCAGGCAGGCCTTCTTTAGCCACAGTGGGCTCCACCAAGTTCGAGCTTGCCAGCCACTTTACCTACTCAAGCCTCAGTAATGGTGGGCACCCCTCCCCTAGCCTTGCTGCTGCCTTGCAGTTCAATCTCAGACTGCTGTGCTGGCAATGTGTGAGGCTCCACCAGTGTAGGACCCTCCAAGCCAGGCATGGGATGTAATCTCCTGGTGAGCCGTTTGCTAAGAGCATTGGAAAAGTGCAGTATTATGGTGGGAGTGACCCAATTTTCCAGGTGCCGTCTGTCACCTCTTCCTTTGGCTAGGAAAGGGAATCCCCTGACCCCTTGCACTTCCTGGGTGAGGCAATACCTCACCGTGCTTTGGCTCATACTCAGTGGGCTGCACCCACTGTCTGAGGAGCCACAGTGAGATGAACCCAGTACCTCAGTTGGAAATACAAAAATCACCTGTCTTCTGCGTTGCCCACACCAGGAGTTGTAGACTGGAGCTGTTCCTATTTGGCCATCTTGGAACCACCTACATTTTTATTTCATATTAATTTTATGTTTTCAAATAACTTAAAATGGCTCCATGGCCAGAGCAACTTTTGATCTCTTCCTCTTTGTGGCTCAGAAAATGCACAGGTTTTTCAAGGAAGCCTTGGGGATTGGGATCATTTTGTATTATTTTGTAACATAAAATAATATGTTATTTTATAAGATAAGATTAATAATGTTAAAGAACACAACTCAGTGTCATGTAACACATTCACAATGTTGTAGAAACAGTCACTGCCTATTACCCACTTCTTGTTGGTCTGTGACAGCCACTAGTCAGTTTTCAATCTCTGTGGATTAAAAGATTTTGGAAGTTTTATACAATTGTAATCCTACATTATTGGTTGCTCATGTCTGGTTTTTTTCACTTAACATATTGCTCACAAGATTCATCCACAATGTGGTAGATTTTGGTACATCATTTCTTTTTATGGTTAAATTATGTTGCATTATGTGGATAAGCCTCATTTCTCCCTCCATCTTAAAATAAAATTCACAAAACATAAAATTAACAATTAAATATTTTAAGCTGCACAATTTCAGTGGGATTTCTCTAATGACCAATGTCATCCAGAATTTTTTTTTTTTTGTGCTTGTTTGTCATTGGTCTATTTTCTTTGGAGAGTATTTATTTCATATGGGGTTTCCATATTTGTTTTCTATTGTTGTTTACTTGCTTGATTTTTGCCCATCTGGTAAATAGATTGTTTGGCAGTTTGTTATTGGGTTGTGGCAGTTGTTTATAGAGTCTAGATACCAGATGCTTATGAAATCTACAATTTGAAAATGTTTTCTCTCATTTTGTAGGTTGTCTTTTGACTCTCTGTAGATAGTCTTGTGACATACTTTTCCATCTTAAACAACTTCAATTTATCTATGGCTTAAAGTTTTGTTCCTTTTTTTGTTGGTGTCATATTTACAAATTGAAAGACAAATTCAAGGTTAGGAAAGATGCTTCCATATATTTGCTTAAGAATTTTGTAGACTGGATCTTTTAATTTTGTTTGTTGACCCCGTTTTGTATTATTTTTTGATTACTTTTATTTTTAAAAATAGTTACATGCTATTTTAAATACCACTTTTTGGTAAAAAATTATTTTAGTTGTCCAACAGCCATGGTTGCTGTCATTGCTGCCACTGGTGCTCAGACAAGGGTGACAGTTGGGGCCAGGGACCCCTGTTTCTGATTAATTTCTCCTGTAAAGGTAACATGGAGAAGACTGGAGAGGAGCTATGAGAGTACAACAATGAAAAGGAAGACCTAGATGAGACCCTGTGGCAGACACTGTAGGTCCTGATGAAGATGTTTCCAGAGATGGTTCAGTTGCACAGTCCATGCCACTTACAATCTCCTCCTCTTTGTGACTCAGAAAATGTACAGGTTTTCCAGGGCAGCTGTGTCTATTGAGACCACCTCCTTTATGTTACTCGTTCTTGCTTTCATCTTTGAGACTGAGAAGTTGCAAGTGGAGCAAAAGCAGCAATGATAGAAGCAAAAGACACTTCTCTAGGCTTTTAGGGCTGTAAGGAAGAAGGCATTCTGTCAGGCACTCTATCTTTACTTCTTGGGATGACCTAGATTGTGATTGCTCTATATGGGCTGTCACAGTGAGAGAAGTTTTAAAAGTTGATTATTTGATTCTTTTTTAACTTTGGCACATTAGCTAAACCTGGGGAAAAGAATTCTCCTCACATAGTCTCACAAAGAGATTCTACTTGCAATGGTGTCCTCCACACTATCCTGACATACTTTTGTTCACTCTGATACCAGAGTGCAGCCATGCAGATGTTATTCCAGCTCCAGCCACCCCACTTCTTTCACTAATTTATCCCTAACTGTAAGATTTCACTTTCCCATTATGGAGTAAGAACTGGTGCCAGTGAGAGATTCTTTTTCCCATTAATGACTGCTTATATATATGTATGTGTGTGTGTGTGTGTGTGTGTGTGTGTATACACACATATACATATATATACACACACATATACACATATATATATAAGTGTGTGTGTGTGTGTGTGTGTGTGTGTGTGTGTGTGTGTGTATATATATATATATATATATATATATATATATATATATATGACTCTAGATTTCCAGGAGGGACAATGCAACAATATGAAATAGACAAAATGCATTAAACCCATAGTGCAAAGCAGCCACTATGAATCTCTGTGTGGCTGGAGGAGGAGGGAGGCCAGCTACACCTTCAGCCATAGCATGGAAACCATAGAGGACAAAGCAAGAGCTCATTTTCTCTGCACATTTTGGCTGTTAGACCTGTGTGTATGTAAATAAACAAATAAACAAAAACAGAAGCATTTGTTCACTTTTTGTATTTAAATATTTAAAATAAGTCCAACTAAAATTTACTTCATACTTTTTTTATTAGTGTAAACAATTTTTGCAATCTAATCTTGTATTCTGAAAAATTACTGAGTTCATTTACTAGCTTTAATAGTTGTTTGGGGGTATGTTAATGTAACACTTACCAACTTATTATAAAGGATGTAGCAAAGGATACAGATGAACAGATGCACAGGGCAAGGAATGAGGAAAGGGGCATGAGTCTTCCATGCCTCCCTGAGCATGCCGCCTTCCAAGAAGCTTCAGCTGGGCATAGTGGCTGATGCCTGCAATGTCAGCACTTTGGGAAGCCTGAGGCAGGTGGATAACCTGAAGTCAGGAGTTGAAGACCAGCCTGGCAAACATGATGAAAACCCATTTCTGCTAAAAATATGGAAACAAATTAGCTGGGCATGGTGGGATGCCTGTAATCTCAGCTAGTTGGGAGGCTGAGGCAGAAGAATTGCTTGAATCTGGGAGGCGGATGTTGCAGTGAGCTCAGATTGCACCACTGCATCCAGCCTGGGCAAGAAGAACAAAACTCTGTCTAAACAACAAAAAAAGAAGCTTCATGTGTTCCAATACCTGGAAGCTCTCTGAACTCTGTCTCCTTAGATTTCTATGGAGGTTCCATTACATCAGGGTATTAGTCCATTTTGTGCTGCTATAATTAAATACCTAAGCTGTGTATATTAAAAGAAGCAGCATCACATGACTCACAGCTCTGCAGGCTGTACAAGAAGCATGACACCAACATCTTCTCCTGGTGAGGCTTCAGGAAACATTCAGTCATGATGGAAGGTGAAAGGGGAATAGGTATGTCATGTGGTAGGAGAGGAAACAAGAGAGAGGAGATAGTCCGCCAGTCTTTGTAACAATGCATCTCATGTGAACATATTAGTGTGGGAAGGGTGCCAAACTATTTACCAGAGATTCACCCCCATGACCCAAACCCCTCCCACAAGACCCCACCTCCAATATTAGAGATCCCATTTCAACATGAGGTTTGTAGGGGAAACGTATTCAAACTATATTACTAGGGATGATTGATTAAGCCATTGGCCATTGGTGGTCAAACTGACCTTCAGCCCTTGTCTCCTTGCTGCAGGTTAGGGTGTGGGGCTGAATGTTTCCACCCTCTAAGCATGCTTTGGTCTTTCTTGTGATGAGCCCAATTCTAAAGCTATCAGTGTTCATTAGCTGACATAAAAAAAGAAAGCACTTTGCAGCACATTGGAAATCCCAAGGATTAAGGTATCATATGCCAGGAAATAGAGGGGAAGATCAAATATATATTTCATGATATATATTTCACAATATATATTTCACACCTTTCCACCATCCCACCACCCACTTCAACACTTCTGATATGGTTTGGTGATGTCCCCAACCAAATCTCATCTCAAATTCCCATGTGTGAAAGGTACCTGGTGGGAGGTTACTGAACCATGTGGGAAGGTGTTTCTCATGCCGTTCTCATGATAGTGAATAAGTCTCATGAGATCTAATGGTTGGATAAGGGGGAGTTTCCCTACACAAGCTCTCTTTTTTGCCTGCCACCATTCACATAAGATGTGACTTGCTCCTCCTTGCCTTCTGCTGTGATTTTGAGGCCTCCCCAGCCATGTGTAACTGTAAATGCATTTAACCTCTTTATTTCGTAAATTACCCAGTCTCGGGTATCTCTTTATTGGCAGCATAAAAATGAACTAATACACCCACCATGTTAAAACTTGGATCCCTTACATGAAATGAACATACAACTCAAAAGATATGGCCACATGACTACAGTCACATTTCACCATTGATAATTAGTTCGATCCATCATATTGTAGTAATGTCTCCTAGGATGAGTTCATTCAGGTTTCAGGCTTCCTTTCAATCTTGTCAGGTTCTAAAGCAAGAGTGATGTTGGGAAACACACAACTTTACTCTTGCAGGCATCTGGTGTAAATGAGCTAAGACTCATTATCTCTTGCTCTGAAATTCTTTTGAGGTGATGGTAAATTTTCCTCAGTTTAGAATCCTGTTCTAGTTTAGATTGTAGGCAGCTATACCAATCCAGCAAGTAGCTTCTCCTCAGTCCACTCTCATTCAGATACACTCCCATTCAGATAAAGTTATCTACATAAAAATAGAAATGAATAGGGTTTTTTTTTCCACCAGAAAATACAACTGCATTTACTATTAGACCCACTTTTCCTGAATAGAGTGAAGACACAACCCACCCCCAATAGGCCCTTAGGAATTCTGAAGTAACATTTGAATATATAGTTATGGTTTCTTGTTTGGATATTATTTATGCTTTCTGCACTTGCCATTGCAGCCTTGATCCTAAGACTACTGCATCAGGCAGGGGAGAAAGAAAATTTGAAGTGATTTGGGGAATAAAGAAAAAATAATAGTTACACCAGTGTGCTTCTTCCTTGCCAAGAATTTCATGGTCATATCAGGGTCCTCCAGTTACAGTAAGTAGGTAGTCAGGCATGAACAGGGCAGAAGAGACCCCCATCTCTGTCAGGTGACCATCAGGTGATGGTCAGGCAGTTGCTAAACTGTCTCTCTATAATAAAAGTTGCTCATTACCAGTGTCAGAGCAAGGTCGGTTCCCAAAATATAAAAACATCTAAAACTTGTGATTAATAGCTTCTAAGTAAGATATCAGGAGTTGGGTCACTGTGCCCAAGCATGTGCAGTAAGAGGCAAAATAGCAGAACGTAACTGGTGTATGACCTTCTAGGAACCCTTGACTGGTAAGGAAAGAATGTACCACATTCACACAACTTCAGTAAACAAACTGAGAATGTGTCCCCTCCCAAGTGCTAGCAGGGCACTTCACATGCAGACAGCTTGCTACAAAGGAAGAATAAGGAGAGAAAGTATGCAAGACCTCAGAATTATACCAACATATATGACTGCAAGTCAGAGGTTAAACCTGGTACTTGATTCAAGATGACTTAAGAGCAAGTCATCTGGTTGGCCCTTTCCAAGCTACTTTACTCTCTTTCTTTCCTGATCGAAAACCTTTTTAATACACTTTCACTTCTGCACTAGAACTTGCCTCAGTCTATTTCCCTGCCTTATGTGCCTCAGACAAATACTTTTTTTCTGATGAGGCAAGAACTGAAGTTGCTGTAGACCCATATGGTTTCAATGCCGCACTGGATTCAGTGCTGCTAACAACCCTGTCACCCACTTATCCCCAGATCGATCTGGAAAATAGAAAACTCTAGTGAAGACACATTGTTTATTCCATGCATGTTAAGTCAGAGCACACTTAGGAAGACATGGAAGCCAGTCCTTTATGCTTTCATCTCCACCCATTTTAGACAATCAGTGTTTTAATTGCCTATTTTACAATAGTTTTAATCACACCATTACTCTGGGGAGGATACCTCTCTGCCTATTGTTGGATATTATGGGCTGTACAGAATGTTTTTTGATCTAAAGAAATGACAGTCAGCCATCCAAATCCATGCAATATCTTCTGTTCTATTTATTGTGTGGCACTCTGAGAATTAGCATCTTCCCCCATGTAATGGAAGCCCACTCCAGACTCAGTGTCTACTCCTCTATTCTCTGTCCCCTTTGAGAATACCAGTCTTGGTATTGCTTGCCAGACATGTACAGGGCTTTCTCACCAGAAACTCTGCTCCAGAGCCATCTGCAGTATATGTCTTGCTGGCTGACAAGCATAGCGGTTCTTACTGGCCTTAATGGCCTGAGACAATGTAAGAGGACTTATCTAGATTTGGCCCATATCTGCACTGCTGCAGAAACCCCATATACATCCATTTCATGGCTGCAAGTGACCACCTCAAGGGAACACATGGGGATATCTACTTATCAATTCTAGTCACATTCTGGAAGGGGGCTTTTTCTGGGTGTATCCATCTGTCTTACTTTTTGAGTATGGAAGGGGGCACTTTGTGTGGGCATCCACTTGTCTTACTTTTATGCACCCCTGAAGTTTCTATAGTAATTTCTACATGGCCATGCCCCATACTGGCATTGTTTTAATTGGCCAATTAAATTGGTCATTGTCCTTCTGCCTGACCATGTGACCAAGCAGGGCATTGGCTAGCCATTACCCATGAGTTAGTTAGTGAAAACTCAAAACAGAGTTAATTCTTTCATTATTGTGGGAAAACAGCATGCAGTTCAGCTCCCTGAGCCACCTTGTTTTCTTCTTTTTTTTTTCTAATCAAAGTAGAAGACTCCATACATGTTGCTCATTCACCTTGTAACTGTCATCCACAAACCCAGCAGCTCTTTGTTGGTCAATTGATAGCTCTTTGTCAGGCTCTGTAGAATCCAGCAGCTCCTCACTGTTCTAGAGTCAGGTGTAGGGTAAAACAGGCTCTCTGCTCATGAGTATCTCCTCCTTGCAGTCCACCAGTAGAATCATCCTTTATAACAGATTTGCACTTTTTCATGTATTTCATATCTTTTGGGTATTGCTTCCCTTATTAGAGCGTTTCCTAGGAACCAGCTCAGATGTCAAGATCAAGTGTCAAAATTACTTCATGTCCTCCATCATAGAGGTAGCTTTAGTCACTGTCCCAGAGCAAGGTCGTAGTACATGCCCCTTAAATAAACTAACTTTGTTTCTTTCTTTCTCTCTCTCTTTCCGTTTCTTTCTTTCTTCTTTCTTCTGTTTATAAAATTTTTGTTTTTCTTTATTTCTTCTAAAAATAACCTGTGCAGAAATTACAGGTTTTTTACGTAGGTATATGTGTGCCACGGTGGTTTTTCCTGCACTTATTGACCCATCCTCAAAGTTCCCTCCCCTCAGCCCCACCCCCAACAGGACCTGGTGTAAGACTGACATGAATGTTCTTCACCCTTTATTTCTGATTTTAGTAATTTGACTCTCTTTTTTTTTTCTTCATCGGTCTGGCTTTTCTTAAAGAACACATTTTTCTTTGTTTCTATGATTTTTCTGTCTTTTTGACTGCATGAGATGCTGCTCCAGTAAATCAAACTCTGTTTTAATATTTAAGTGATGCCAAAAAAGTACAATCAGAGCAGAAGTGCACAGCTTTTTGGCCCCAAAGCTCATCAGGAGATTTAAGATTTCAGCCCCACTGAAACTGAGTTTGAGAGTTATTAGACACTCTAGAATGTAGCAGTTTCTCACAATTCATCCTAGGACAGAGGATCTCTGCCTGTTAGGTAGCAATATTTTATGTTAACCATTTTTATTTTATGATGGAACTCTTTTGGGAAACATTATTTCCATTAGCATATGGGTAGCTTCAGTTAATATTTCATAGAAAGGCAGTAAATGCCCCAGCAAATAGAAATTCTCTAGTTCAGTCATTGTCATTGAAAGGTACTCATAGTTTCTTACTTCAGCCACGATAAAAGCTCCACATAAAGGGACACACACTGGAGGATTTGTCCCAACTAACACTTAAGTGTTTACTTTATATTTTGTGGGCATAGGCAATTTACTAGTTTCCATTTAGTATGTCCAATTAACATTTCCTAAGAGAACATATTTATATGTCTTCAGTTTATAGTACTAGACAGATGAATTATGCCCCAGTTAGCTATAGTACCCACTTCCTTGTTTTGTTTTGTTTTTAACATGAAGTCTCACTCTGTCACCAGGCTGGAGTGCAGTGGTGCCACCTCTGCCTCCCGGGTTCAAGCAATTCTCCTGCCTCAGCCTCCCGAGTAGCTGGGACCACTAATTTTTGTATTTTTAGTAGAGACGGAGTTTTACCTTGTTGGCAAAGTTGGTCTTGACCTCTTGACCTCATGATCCACCCCCTTCAGACTCCCAAAGTGCTGGGATTACAAGTGTGAGCCACCACAGCTGGCGATATAGTACCCATTTTCATAAGACTGTTAGGTAAAAGGGTTACAAATACCTTACATAAAGCTTGTTTACATATGTTAAGTTTTGTAATTATATTAACCTATATGTTACTATATTCTGGTCTTAGGAACTTCCCCCCAACTTTTTTTTTCTTTACTCCCGAGATCTTTTTAACTCTTCAGGTGAAAAAGATTTGGGTTCCCATCAGGAAGTTGCATCTGTATGACCTGTTAGGGATAGCAAATTTGATAAGGCTTTTTAAAAAGTCCTTTGATTCTGTGGGAGAGACACCCATGTAAAAAGAGGCTCATTTAGCCCAGAAATTTACCATGAACTTGTTAATAAGCATATTTGGTGGGAGGATATCTCAGCCATCATAAAGCCAGTCTAACATGACTTGCATATTTAGCATGTTAACTGCTTCATTTGGGGAGCTTCAATAGGTATTGAGGGATAAGAAAAAAAGAACCATTTTGGAAAAACTCAGGCTGCACCTGCACACAGATAAGCAATTTGTATAATTAGTGAAATCCTAGGGAAAAAAAAAAGGTATCTCCCTTTCAGGCATATATGTGGTGGAAATATGCACAGGGCTGAGGATGGCTTATCAAAAACAACCCACTTTATACAAGGAAAATAAGTGGCACTGTGTGCTTGCCTGGAGGCATACCCACAGCTACATAAGATAAGGGGAGTTGCACACACAGGTTTACTGATAAGAGAAGTTACTCAAACTGCTACAGACATGAGAGGAGTTTCTTATAAAAGCTTTCGAATTCAGATGTAACCCAGCAATGCACTCAGACTCCTCTCTGCTGTGGAGAGCTTTTTTTTTTTTTTTTCATATTAAACTTTCACTCCAACTTTATCTTTGTGTTTACAATTCTTAATTTTTTTGTCTTGGATAAAGAACAAAAAACCTGGAGTACTTCTTCAGACAACAAGAAACTTCCAAATTAAGGTGCATTGGCAAGAATGCAACATATTTTGATCCATTGGCTTGGAAGGAGGGAATTCATCAGAAGGGTGAGTAAGAGCCGACTTTTACCTTTAACTATTTACATTCATCTATGAGTCTTCTCATCTATTCCAATCTAGTTTCCTTTCACAGAGGACCTAAGCCAACATGTGGGATTGGAAGAAGGTCCTAGGAAAATTCAAGATTTCTGGCTGGGACTAACCCTCAGTGTTATCTGAAGGTCCTCAGTGTTATCTGAAGACTACTCCAATCCTTGACAGCCCACCAGTGTGTCAGCACAAGGACCTTCCCTCTTACATTTTCCTTCTTTTCTCCCATGGCTATTATGTCACCTATCTCTTCATTGTATACAATGTTGCAGGTGTTTTTTCAGCCTAGAGATATAATCTTGCTTGGTAGAGTAAGTTGGTGTCTTTTTTTGTAACCAGGAATGTAACTTCAAGAAACTGTGTTTTTGTGATTTCCTCGAGACAGAGGAGTTCAAGATTTCTGTCTAAGTATTCACTTAGTAAGGTCTCTTCTACCCCTCAATAATAGACATTCATGACACTATATGGTCAAATATTTCACCCCAAGTGAATATCCTCTTTTCTCTCCATTTGGATTGTTTCTTCCCTCTACATTTGGGTTGGTTTTTCCCTCCCCATTTGGGTTGGTTTTTCCCTCCATGTAAAATCCCAGCATTGCCCAATAAATTTAAACAATTCTTTATGAAACAAGTTAATTTTCTTGTGCTGGGAGGAATATTATAGGAACAGCCAATTAAACTGAAACCTCTTTTTCTAACTTCTGCCTGAAAGGATGGAGTCACAGTTTTTACCTAATATTTCAGACCCTACAGCACTACGTAGGGGAATGGGATTTATTTTTCCCCACTGGGAGCCTTGTTGGCCCTTTGTCTAAAAACTCTGGTTATCTCCCTTTTATATCCCTCTATTAGAGACTAGGCTTCATGCCCCATTTGAAAACAGCAAAGCTCCAGCTTTAACAGTAAGAGGACGGCCATTCCATTTATATGTTCTTTTAAGGCACCTGTTCTACATTCAGCTACATTGGCATTTACACCAGAAATGGGTTTTATGTTTGAAAGTGAATCAGTCTCATTCTTTGGGGTTTCAATGTTTCACTAGGGCCATAGCAAGGGAAACCAAAGATAATACTAAAACACTTCCTCCATTAAGGAGGGAAGTCCAGCAGATGCCCAGATGCAACTGTCACATAGTCTTTCCTGAGACCCATCCATCAAGGAGTGACCCAGACCCAAGTCTACGAGGTCAAAGAATAATCACCATCAGAGGACTAAAGCCACTTGGGTGAGCATGGCTTGCCCCATTGCTTAGCTCCTCTGCTACCATCATTTGAAGGTCACACTTGAAACCACTGGTGGCATATTCAACACAATGCTGGGACCCAGGAGCCAAGGAGAAATAACAGTCTGTGGGACACTCCTACTGTCTTCTTCTCCTCCCTGGGTCACACTGAAAAAAAGCAGGAGACAGAGGGATGCCTCTTTTCTTGTCTATTTTTCTAGAGAGGTGACAGTCCAACTTTAATCTGCACCCCTCTGAGTGCACTCTGAAACTTTTAGAACTACTTTGACCCGATGACTTTGAAGAAAAAGGTGACCATTTTCTTTTGCACGAGAGCATGACATTTTTTACTAAACCTTCACAAGCATTATGAGATCAACCCAGCTTTTTTAACAGTCATGGCAGGTAGTCCCATGGAGAATAATTCCGCAGAGTTAGAAAAGCAATTTCTAAAGAAACCATCTCAGAATGCCCCTTATTAATCACCACCTCAAGTTTTCTTTTCATTGCAGGAACTTACACAAATAAAGGGGGAACTAGGTAGGTTCTCTGATGACCCTAATAAACATAGAGAGGTTTTCCAAAATTTGACCCAAATGTTTCATGTTACATGGAGAGATGCTATGCTACATTTAAGCCAAAACCCTAACTGTTACAGAAAAGCAGGCAGTCTTGCAGGCAGCAGAAACATTTGGAGATAAACAGCGTAACTCCTATAGCCAGTCTAAAAATCTTGAAAGGAAAAAATCTAAGGGATAAAAGAGGATAAGGAGAGACAGGGTCCCCATTCCCAATAGTAAGAAAAATGAGGCTCCCTTAAAAGCCCTAATTGGAGCCTGAGTGATCTCATAAATGAGTGGAAATTAAAAGAATTTCTGATATACATTTAAAAAGACTTGGAAATAAGCAGAACAAGACCTCTTAATTACTCTCAACTGTATGAGTTGCACCAGAAAATATATGGAAATCCACCTGCCTTCTTGGAGAGACTGAGAGAAGCTTTAGTAAGACACACTTCCCTGTCTTCCAGTTCAGTAAAAAACAGGTTCAATACTCAGGCAGCCCCTGATATCAGAAGAAAGTTGCTGAAATAGGCCCTGTCTAAAAATCTTTCTAGTTTTTCTCACCAAACAATCCCACATTCCTAAGCCCTCTCCACTGTACTGTCTCATTCACAATCTTGCAAAACTTGACAGAAGCATTTAGTCTTTTACTGTAACATGGCCTGGTCCCAATACACATTAGATAATGACAGTCGATGGCCCAAAAATCATACCTTTGACTTGCAAATTCTCAGGAAGCTTAACAACTTTACAGCGAGGGATGGCAAATGGCAACTGGTTCTCTATATTCAGGCTTTCTTTGATGTCTACCTTAAATGTAACCTTCCACTGTGTCAAGCTTGCACTGCTCATAAAATCTTTCTTTTTAATAAAAATCCTCCCCAGGTCTTTCCTTACTATGAAACTCCTTTTAACCCAGTAGATAAAGCCCCTCTGTATTCTTATTCCCTGCATCGACTCCTTGCCCATCCAAATCCTCTACCCCAGTGGCCCCTCCTGCCTCCAAACCCTTAGCCCCCAACCCAACTACTCGTTCTCCATCTGTTACCAATTCAAAAATCACATCTGCCTTTCCCTTTCTGGGAAGTGGCTGTGGTTAAAGGCATTGCTCACATTAATTTCCCTTTCTCCATGTAGGATTTGTTGCAGATCAAAGCTGTAAGTATATTCAAAATGCCTTTATATTTTTCTCTTCATCAATGTTGTTTCATTGAAAAGGTATTTTCCCAATTAACTGAATTAATGTTCTCCACTGTGTCTTTCTACTTTTGCTGCATGTATAAAAAACCCTAAAATAATTTATGGTAGCCTGGGACTCCTTGGGAAAGCAGGAAAAGCACTACAAATCCCATTTTGGGAAAAAATTTCTGTTTTCCTTATGAAATCCCTGGAATTAGAGGTGAATAAGTATCTCTCAAAATCTGTCTTTTTCTTCCAGCTATATTTGTTTATTAGTCCATAGAAACTTTTTTCATATTACTGTTCTTAAAGGGTCTCACCTGAAGGCCAGTAATACAATTGGGAAATTAGCAGAAAAAAAAATCTTATAATTACTGAATTTCTTCTTCTTGTCTGCTTGGCTGTATATGTGTTATGTGAGTAATGTCTATTAAAAGAGCTCTAATTAATTGATATATAAAAATTAGCACTGAAATCAAATATTTTTAAGGGAAAGGTAAATGCTGTGAGAACTTTCAGTTCATGTGAAACTTTCCTTACACACCTTGCACATAAACAGTTTCTTCAATAGTTTTAAATACATATTTTACTTTGAAACTTCCTGGTGTATTAAAATAAGAAATCTCTGAAGAGTTGCCAGAATAACTTTCTTTTCTTTCCTTTTCTTTTTTCTTTCTTTTTTTTTTTGTTTTGTTGAGACTGTCTTGTTCTGTCACCCAGGCTGGAGGGCAGTAGCACAATCTCGGCTCACTACAACCTCTGACTCCTGGGTTCAAGTGGTTCTCCTGCTTTAGCCTCTTGAGTAGCAGGGATTATAGGCATGCACCACCACAAACAGCTAATTTTTGTATTTTTAGTAGAGACAAGGTTTTACCATGTTGGTGAGGCTGGTCTTGAAATCCTGACCTCTTGATCTGTCCACCTCAGCCTCACAAAGTTCTGGGATTACAAGTGTAAGCCACCATGCCTGTCTGCCACATACATTTTTTTTGCATTAATTAACTAGGCAATTTCATCCCTATTTCTGGTAAATACTATAAGGTGTGAAAACTTGGCAGAGAGGCTACAAAACTATTACCCACTCCAAACAAAATAATCTTTGCTTGTGTAATTTTTAAATAAATAAAACAGCAATATTTGTTTGATGATGATAGCTACATATTAACCTATTTAGTGAAATATTCTAGCTTACAATCTTCTGGCCTCAGGCAGTCTAGTCCACAGACATGAAGGAAGTTTGTTTTAGGAAAGGACAGTTATCATCACTGATATTAAATAAAAGACAATTTATATAAAAAAGAATCTTCTGTGGTAAATTCTTGTCCTAAAATAATTTAACTGGTTGTTTAAAGAAATAGATATTTATGAAAAGCCAGAAAGTTGGGGCATGTCAGAGACTGTCTGTAAAAGTCAGGAAAAATTTTATAATAGAGAATTTATGCAAGAAATGTTGCACAATTTAAAAGTAATTAGATCCCCTGAATGCTTCATAAAATGTCCCTATACCTCTTAGCTGTACAACTTACATGCTTTGCAGCTAGGCAAAACCTAGGACACATGGAGTTAAATATTGAAATAAGCCAGGCCTTATCTGCAATTCTGTCTAGATCCTAGGCTCTAGACCTATCACATAATTAAAATTCAAAACTTACCAAGGTTTTCAACAAAGGTAAATGTTGCTAAATGTTAACAGTAAAATATGTATTTAAAACTATTGAAGAAACTGTTTATGTGTAAGGTGTGTAAGGAAAATAAAATACATTTTTGGTAAAAAGATTATAAGGAGGCATAAGATGTGAATTTTTACTTGCACGAAAATGTTAAATTGTTTTGAAGGTTTAAGAAACCTTCAAATGCTGTGTATAAATATATTGACTAAAGTTGAAGGGGTATCATCCAGTTTTTCTGTAATTGAGCTTTGAAATAAAGACACATGTGTTTCTGTTAAAGCACTAACCTGTTCTTTAACAAAAATTATAAAGGGTTAAAAAGGGTCTATAAAAAAATCTTACCTTATGGTCAAACATTAAAATTAGGTAAATGTGTCTACAAGGTTTTATTAAAATTGAGTTTAACATTAATAGCACATTAATATAAGGTGGAATTTTAGCTTATCTGGTATAAAATCATACAGGAAGCACTCTCAAATATAAAATGGTGTTTGGCTTCCTTTGAGCTATATTTGTATAAATATATTCATATATGTTTCAAAGTTATGGGAAACTCCTATAATTCTGATACATCTTCATGGACATTATCAGTAAAAATTATAATTGTTACATTAAAATTATTGTGTGTCACAGAGATAAAAGGTATCTTTGTTGATTGCATCTTTAACTATGTCTACCTTAAAACACTTTGTCATCCATAAACAATTGTTGTCTTGTTTTGTTCCTCTTTAGAAGATGGTTTTGTAATCAGCTATAAACCTCTAACAGGTGCTCTGAAATGCAGGTTTCTGATAATTTTAGAGAGTGTAACATCAGAATAGAAGAAAACATTCAGAACACTTGAAAAGCTAAAATGTTCACTAATATCAAGCAGGATAAGAATTAACTGTATTAACTAAACTAAAAGGAGGATTGAGTAATCTCTTTAAAGTTTTGCTTAGAACATTGTTAATTCTTTGTTTTGCTTTTCAAAGTCAAATAAATTTTTCTTTTGAGCTATTAACAGCTTGTAACAATTTAGTATACTCCCGTAAACAAAATTTGGAGCATACTTGTTTCTCTATACCTGATTTTCTACAGAATTTGGAAACTATCTGTTGAGTATTCTTAAGTTATGGCAGTATGGTTATTTCCATAAGTGCAATAAGAATCTGTTTTCTTTTGTAACAGGGCACATTTAGAAAAGCTGGTTATTTTTACCAACACTTTAACTGGAATTATATGCTTTCCTTTAAGGAATCAAACTTGACTTACAAAGCAAAAAGGCCCTTGGAAAACTCACTGCATATTTTGTGTACACAGTCCCTGTACATGGTTTCTGATCTGTGGTAAGTAAAAAAATTACTTTCTAGCAGGCTGGGAAGCCCAAGTTATCTTGGTCCCTCAAGAGAAGAGAAATTCTCCAACTAATAGGTATTGGACAGTAAAAATCCATGGCTGGGCTTCGCTTTAAAAAGGTCTTATCTCAGATTCCTTCTTTGAAACAAAGTGCCATATAAACCAATTTAATAGGCAGATGTAACAAATAATTATTCTTGCTGCACTGTATGCAAATAACTGTCAAGTATAGTAAAGCAAACCAGTCCTATTATAATTTGTCTTTTAATAAAAATGGGAAACTGGAGAGACAAAATTATGTTTCAAAAATGATAGCACATGGATTGTTGAATTCTAGTGTTTCCTAATGTTTTTCTATTTTTATTATTTTCCACTGCTTAAATTAAACTCTAATTTTTCTGGATATAAGTTTCCATATTAAGCTGTGATTTCTTAAAGCCCTACAAACTGAAAAGTAAGTGTTTCATCAAGTACTGCCTCTAACACAGGGCCACCACAGGAATAAATGTCTTCACTGCTGGTGCTGACAACTAATAACTGAGGGTGCTGAGAAAACTTTCCCCCAAAGTCTAGTGAGTCCATGAAATGCAGGGTGATTAAGATGATATCTGATACAGGAGTCAATTCCTAAATACATCACTCAAGTCAAAGCCTAGAAATCTAAGAAAGCAACCCAAACAGCCCAAAGAAACACCCTAAATATCAATGTAAAAAAATAGAAAATATTAAGCTGAAAATCATAAAAGATAGGTGACTAAGTGAAAACTACTCATTTTATTCAGCCTCACACACCTCACCAAATACTTTTGGTGTGTCTACCTCTTTTTTTAAGCCAAATATTAAAACATTTTAATGGAAATTATTTACTTTGCCACCCTTGTGGGAACTGCCTTACTCACTGCTATTTGCAGTAGAACAATATGCTATAGCATCCTCAGGGTGGAATATCAGACAAAAAAATCTCAATTATTATAGCATTTTCCCTAATTATTATCCAGATAGCAGGAATAATAGTTACTAAAAGAAAGTAACACATGAGTTCTTCCAAACACATGCTTCTGCCTCTCATCAGGTAACAAATGTTTCTATAGCAACGAATAGGGCTTAGTAAAAAACACTGCTAAAAACTTAAAGAAAAGGCTAAAAAGCTAAGGGAATATCAAAACAACCGAATAGATTCTTGGTTTGGATTCAAAATCATAGGATGAGTCATCCCATTCCTGGGACCTCTTCTAATAATATACCTGGAACTAATGTTCTTACCTTGCCTAATTAACTTTTTTCAAAGATTTTTAACTGAAAATATCATGGCCATTTTACAGACAACTACCCCAAAATATCTACAAATGACATTGCTCCTACAGTAAACCCAAGACCAGAAAACTCTCCATCCCCTTGTCAGCAGGAAGTAGCCTGCAGTCCCTCCTCCTTTTTATAACCATAGGATCTGGATTGACAGAGCAGGACCACCACCTTGTTGGAACAACCCCTCATTCTAAAGCTGACCTCAATAAAAAACTGCTTAAATCCAAAGGGTGTCAGCCTAATGGCTAAGGTCAGCATGACCATAAACCACAGATAACTTCTCTAACCAGAAACATTCCAAACTCCTCCCCAACCAGAGATAGGGTAGTCCTGAGATAAACTCTGCTCTGGCTGGGAAAATGCTAGCCCTGAGATAACCCCCTTCTTGGTCAGAAAGATGTCTGCCCCAAGATAACCTTACCTCCTGCCAGAGAGATTCCAACTCCGCTATAAACTTCTCCACACACATAAACATTCCAAGCTTGTGATAAGCCCCCTCAACCTAAAAGTGATATATACTCAGCTTTTAAGAGAAAGTACTCCTGACTGAAATTGGCCAGAAGCACCTCTCAGGTTTCCTCTAAAGAAAACCTGTCTTTACCTGCCAGCCGCATTTCTTGTTTCTTTCCTCTTTAACTCCTACAGAAATAAAAGCACAACAAGGTTTTCTTAAGATTTCAATGTGCTTTTTAGAAAATCTTGTGAAGAGTTATAAAAGGTACATGAAAATCTCACATCATGATCAAACTGGTTAAAATTGAATAGGATTACCTATAAGCTTTCATTAAAAATTGGGGTTAACCATTAATAGTAAAATAATGCAAGGGTGAAATTTAACTTGCTTGAACAGGGTTTTCATGTAATAGTAAAGACTGATGAATGGTTTTTGGCTTTTCAAATTTTGACTCATCATTTTGGCAAGACAAATAACTATGTTAATCTAAAATTGTATTTCATAACATCAAGTGTTTTAAATTTCAAATATATTTAACAGGCTTACCAAAATCAAACTACAGTCTCAAGGTTGTCTTTCATGACCTAGGGGTTTGGGTGCTACCGAGGACCCCTGGAGCATCCAGAAGAGAGTTAAACAGGATTATTTAACATGTTTGCATACATGATGTCAGGCCTCTGAGCCCAAGCTAAGCCATTATATTCCCTGTGACATGAACGTATACATCCAGATGGCTGAAAACAACTGAAGATCCACAAAAGAAGTGAAAATAGCCTTAACTGATGACATTCCATGATTGTGAAGTTTCTACCCCACCCTAACCGATCAATGTACTTTGTAATCTCCCCCACCATTAAGAAGGTTCTTTGTAATTCTCCCGACCCCTGAGAATATACTTTGTGAGATCCACCCACTGCCCACAAAACATTTCTCCTAACTCCACCGTCTATCCCAAAAGCTATAAGAACTAATGATAATTCCACCACCCTTTGCTGACTCTCTTTTTGGACTCAGCTCACCTGCACCCTGGTGAAATAAACAGCCTGTTGCTCACACAAAGCTTGTTTGGTGACCTCTTCACATGGATGTATGAGACACATGCAATTGCCAAAATGATATTTAATATTTTCCAGGTTATATTTTGGGCAATAATATTAACATATATTTCAAAATCATATAGGATTTCTAAGGTTCTAGTATCTGAACATGTGCTATTAATCACAATTAAGTGTGTTAAGTTGGTTTATGGTGAACCATAAAAATAACCAAATTTGTCCAACATGTTCTTGACTGTAACTACCCTGGAAATTTTGTCATTTACTGACAATTTTTGTCTTGTTTCAATCTTCTTCTTCTTAAAAAAAAATAGATTATAATCAGCTGTAGAACTTTAACAGGGATTCTTTCAAATGCTGGTTTCTAATAACAGAAAAACTTACAGGACACATGAAAAGTAGAAACTGAACTAGTAGAAAACTAAAGCAATATTCTTGACTTATGCTTGGAACATTGCTGATTCTTATTTTGTTTTTCAGAGTCAAGGACACTTGTCTTGAGCTAGCTACACCCTTTCACAACTCAGTAAGGTATACTCATTTGAACAAATTGTGGAACATGTTTGTTTTTCTCTGTCTGGTTCTTCTAGAATTCAGAAACTTGTTGTATTCTTGACATCAGTGCAATAAGAATCCATTGCATTTTTCAACAGGACACAATTTAAAAAACTGATTGTTTTACCTAGGCTTTGACTGGAATGGTGTTTTTTTTTTCCCTTTAAGGAGTGAAGACTGATTTTGCAGAGCCAATAAAGGCCCCTGGGGAAACTGGCCTCATATCTTGTCATGAAGATTTTATACAGGTTTCCTAACCTGTGGTGAGTAAAGAATGTCCCTCTCTAACAGGTCTACCCCATGCTCTTGGAACCTCAAGAAGAGACAAGTTTACCCAACTCACAGGTATTTGAGGATACAAACCCATGACTGGGCTTGGCTTTAAAAATTCCTATCTGAAATTTCTAGTGGAATAAAGTCTCATCAAATCTAATCTAAAAGGCCTGTGTAAAAATAATTATTCTTGCTGCACTTTATGCAAACAATCAGACCAAGCTTAAAACTAAAGTTTATTTTGCAAACAACTCAGTCCTATCATAATTTTTTTAACAGAACAAAGACTGAAAATAAATAAATTATATTCAAAACTTATCACACCTCTGTCATTAACTTCTAGTCTCATTTGTTGTTTTTAAGTTCTGAGCTGCATTTTAAAATAATCCTGTCTATTTCTGTAACCAGCCAGTGATTTCTGGCTGCAGCTCAGAGGAAATAGAAAGGGATGGGTAACGTGAAAATCTGGTAAAATATTCTAGTTCTAGGTAATTATTCTACAAATTCTGCCAGGTAACCTAAAGCCCCAAAGTTTTTCTGGGGGCTGAACATAAGAAAAAGGAAGCTCAACAAAGCATGGCCCGTGCACCCAAATCTTATAAAGCATAACTATTGCTAGCAATTATCAGGGTGTGTCAGAAGCCTCAGAATTTTAAAAGTTGTTCTTACCCCATTTGTATAATTTTAATACATGTTCTCTAATAACCCACATTTTTTTCTTTCTTTCCCTTTCTTTCTTTTCTTTCTTTCTTTCTTTCTTTCTTTCTTTCTTTCTTTCTTTCTTTCTTTCTTTCTTTCCTTCCTTCCTTCCTTCCTTCCTTCCTTCCTTCCTTCCTTCCTTTCCTTCCTTCCTTCTTTCTTTCTTTTTTTTTTTTTTTGACAGAGCCTTGCTCTGTCACCCTAGCTGGAGTGGAGTGGCATGACCTCGGCTCACTGCAACCTCTGCCTCCTGAGTTCAAGCAATTCTCCTGTCTCAGCCATCCAAGTTGCTGGGACTAAAGGCACATGCCACCACATCTGGCTAATTTTTTTGTATTTTTAGTAGAGATAGGGTTTCACTATATTGGTCAAGCTGGTCTTGAACTCCTGATCTCAGATGATCTGCCTGCCTAGGCTTCTAAAAGTGCAGGGATTACAGAAGTAAGCCACCGCACCCGACCAATTTTTTTTTTTTTTTCACCTGGAGGCTATCAAGCTCCAAATGGTAATGCAAATAAAATGAGACATCAACAAGCCTTTTATTTGAGGCACCTTAAATCAGCCCCTGAAGGAGTCTTAGCTGCTGTTTTCCCACACAACACCCCTCTTCGGCTGGAATTACTCAGAAATCAATATCCAATCTCCCCAACAGCAGTTAGAGTTTCCACTCCTAAAAGGAGAATGAGGTAGAAGAAAAGAAAGATAATTCTGGAAAAACATGAGCTGTACCTGCAACAGATAAGAAACTTTATATAATTAGCAAACTCCCAGGAAAATGTTTCCTCCCCTTTTCAAGCACATACATAGTGGTAAATTGCACAGTGAGGAGGCAGGCTAATTGAAAACAAACCAATAGTTATACAAACAAAAGAAGTGGTGCTTTGTGTTTGCCTAGAGATATTTCCACAGCTGCATAAGATAAGGGGAGTGGCACAGAGAACTTAACTGGTAAAAGAAGTTACTCAAACTGCTACAGAGATGAGAGGCATATCTTATGAAAGTTTTTGAATGCAGCTGTATCTGGCAATTCACTTGGACTCCCTTATCTGCTGTGAAGAGCTTCATTTATTTCACTTATCAAACTTTCACTCCAACCCTATCTTTGTGTCAATGTTCCCTAAGTTTCCTGGATGTAGGACAAAAACCTGGGGTACTAATAGAGACAAAGAGAAAATCCTACATTAAGGTGCTTTGGTGAGACAGCAACCGTGTTTTATAGGAATAGTTGGGCAGTTCTCTTTTCACTGAAATAGATTTTTCATAGCAAATAGACTTTACAATGGTAGTATCTGGCCCACTAAGCTGATTTATTTCTCAGGAATTCTGTGTATTTGAAATATATGTATACTCAGTGATTATTAAGTAATGAGCTGTGGGTTTCACATTAATTCAAAAAAGCTCTGAAAATATGTAGCATTTAAAATTAAGAAATTTGTCCTTATTGTGACTTTTTAAAATAGAAGAAGCAACTATATACTGTAGCCAATCTTTTCTTTTAATGGTGGAAGTTAAGCCATTTACATTTAAAATACTTTTTGATAGGTGTGGCTTTATTCTATCATCTTGTTAAGTTTTTGATATTTTTGTATGTCTTTGTATACCATTTTTAATGCTTATCTTTGGAATGTTGTGTTTGTCCATAGTGATAAAATGTGATTCATTTTTTATTTCTCACTTCTGTATCTTTTCTTCTAAGAAGTGTTAGTTTAAAGTATTTCCATAATGGTAGATGTAGACCATTTACTTCAGATGCAGGAATTCTTTCTAAATTTCTAGCAGAAAATACTTCATTTATTTTTATTTCTGAATGATAGTTTTGCAATGTGTAGAATTCTAAGTTGATTTTTTTTTTCACTCAGCTTCTTGGTAATACCTTTCCTTTATGTTCTTCCCTTTAAATTTTCTGCTGAAAAATTAGGTCTTAGTTCAATAAGGGAAGTTCTTATATTTGACTTGACACTTCTTTTGTGTTTTAAAAATGTGTTGTCTTTTGCTGGATGGTTAGACTATAATTCACATCAAGATAAATGTTTTGTGGTTAAATTTATTTGTGATTTCTGGAGCTTTCCATATCTGTATGTCTACATTTTCTCCAGTATTTGGACTGCTTTTAGTTATAATATTATTAAATAAGATTTTATGTTTTTTATCCCCAATATTTGAATATCTTTATGTTCTCTTGTATGTCACTTGGACTTTCTTCTATATTTAATTTTTCTGTTTGTGTATAATATCACTTTTTAAAATTGTCCTCAAATTTTGTGTTTATTTTATTTCCTCTGCTTTATTTAGTGTATTTCTGAGTATCCTGTTTGCATTTTTTATTATTGTTTTAAAAATATCTCTTTTGCTCCCTTACAAACAAGTGCTCACTGCTGCAAAGAAGAACAAGCACACAGGCAAAAAGTTTTCCCAGCAAGGTAATTTGCTTCTGCAGAAGGTTGCTGCCTACCTCAGTCACAATTGCAAGAGCACCCCGAATAAAACAGAGAAGGGATTTTTATCCGTAATACAGTTCCTGTCCCTGTGTCCTTCCCTTATTGGCTGGGATTGAACTGCACAATCTAAACTGATTTGGGTTGGCTAAGAATTAAACTTTTCTAAATGGGGCAAATGCACAATTTGTAAGAGAAGAAGCAGGTAGGAGGGATCTGTTTGTTGCAGTACAAGGCATGTCTGAACATGTCTGGGCATGGCAGGGTGCAACTGGAGTGGGAGGGTGGTTTGCAGGCTGGAAACAAGAGTACAAGGAGGTTAGGATTTTGAACAAAGGAAAATAACATTACGCAATTAAACCTTTTGAAGAGGAAATTATCATTCCTAACAATTTCCCCATTTGTCTTTTGACAATTCTTCCTCTTCAAGTTTTTGTAGCATGATTTAGCCTTGTTTCTCCTCTTGATCATATAGGGACAAGAGCTTCTCTGAGTATTGAGGAAGAGGGATAGGGGAGGGTTATGTGAGAGCTGTTTCTGTAAGTCTTGACATTATCTCACAGATACAGGGTATGATGCAGCATCCTACAAAAATGAGTACACTTATGACAATTAAAAGACAGGTTAATATTGAAGACATAAGCCCTTTCCATTTACCGAATCTCCTTTTGATGAGGTTTGTGAAGGGGTCATTTCTTCCAGAATTTTTGGCTAACTCATCTGACAAGGAGATAAGGCCTTGTAAGGCCATTGTAATTGTTCCATCAAGGGCTGTGTTGTTAGGGATAAAAGTACAGCATTTGACCCCATTCATGACACAGAGTCCACCTTTTTCTGCTAACATCATGTCAACAGCTATTCCATTTTCCTGTGCCCTTTGGCTGGTGAGGGAGGGGGCTAATTGTTCATCTATTCTATTAATGGTATCTTTGTGTTATAGTATAGTATAATTGACAAATGGCTGTTGATTATATTAGATGTAGCTTATCCGATCTTCATTTTTGTTTATAATTGGCGACCAGAACACTGCAGATTTGAATCCCACAGCTGTTTCATTTCAAGCTTTAAATTCATCTGGTAACCCTCATGGAACTCCAATAGCATCTATATAAATGTGAGTGTCAAAAGACCAATGATGAGCACTTCTTTGTATCCAGTTCTCTTTCTTTTTATGTTGACAGAATGCCAGGGTGAAAGGAAAGATCAATTGGACCAGAGCACAAGTGCTGCTCCAGTTACTTGGCAGAGTACCTAATAGTGATCCACCACAATACCACCATATATCTGTTTGGGAATAAACAAGGGCAAGTTGACTGGTAAGCTCTAGGAAAAGCTTGGTTTCACTGCACTCTTTTAGGTCTCTGAGAGATGTTAATCTTTCCCTCTGCCATGAGAGATATGAGGTAAAATTAACATCCAAACCTGGAGGCCAGGTGACCATGAGGGGCTGACCTGAAGAGTCTATAACTTCAGGAAATAGCAGTGAGTGAGTCTTGAACACCTCACTGCCTGAGGCTGTGGGGTTTTGAAAGAGACTCACAAAGTAACTCATGCCCAGTTGATCAGGAGACCATCTGCATGGGAAGTGGATTATCTGGGCCTCTGGCCTGCCTCTCTCACAAGTGTAACAGTCACTTTTGCTTAACTTGAAACAGAATACTTAATCAATTCTAGCCAGGAATATGCATCTTGGTATCCCATTTCAATCACTAAAATTTGCTTTAAATCTTTGATGTCTACAAAGTCTACCATAATTTTGTCATTTGGTATGGAAACAACAACTATTTCATTGGAAAGAGGTTCAGAATAAGGAGAAGAAAAGGATGGAGGAGCAATGAAGCATATCTCAAAGGATTCTATAGGGTCTATTCCAGTAACATCAGCTTCTAGTCTATAGAAGTGACCTAAAGTGGGGTTAGTGTCAGTAACAGTGGGAACAGTGATAGAGATTTGCACAGGGTTAAATTGTTGGAGTTGACAATTGAGGGACTTGTGTCTTTGGTAAATTGGATGTAAGGTTTTAGGTTATGGCAACCTCCTCCTAGGGAGGTCCAGCCTTGACACTTAGTGGTCCAGGCCACATCTCCCCCGTCTCCCCAACCAAAACAGAAACAGAACTTCCACTGACTGTCTTATGCTCATTTGGCGCAAGAGTCACTTTTTCTTTTTCTTTTTTTTTTTTTTTTTTTTGAGATGGAGTCTTGCTCTGCCACCCAGGCTAGAGTGTAGTGGCACGATCTCTGCTCACTGCGAACTGCACCTTCCAGGTTCACACCATTCTCCTGCTTCAGCCTCCCAAGTAGCTGGGACTACAGACGCCTGCCACCATGCCTGGCTAATTTTTTGTATTTTTAGTAGATGTGGGGTTTCACCATGTTAGCCAGGATGGTCTCGATCTCCTGACCTTGTGATCCACTCGTCTGCCCTCCCAAAGTGCTGGGATTACAGGCCTGAGCCACCACACCCAGCCCACTTTATTTATTTATTTATTTATTTATTTATTTATTTATTTATTTATTATGGGATGAAGTCTCGCTCTGTTGCCCAGGCTGGGGTGCAATGGCAAAATCTCGGCTCACTGCAAGGCAAGTTCCACCTCCTGGGTTCACACCATTCTCCTGCCTCAGCCTCCCTAGTAGCTGGGACTGCAGGCACCACACCTGGCTAATTTTTTGTATTTTTAGTAGAGATGGGCTTTCACCACATTAGCCAGGATGTTCTCGATCTCCAGACCTCATGATCCACCTGCCTCAGCCTCCCAAAGTGCTAGGATCACAAGCATGGGCCACCACAGCCTGCCAAGAGTCACTCTTATAGGCAGTTTTATTTATACTGAAAGGGCAAAGTTACTTTTCTGAAGAGGCTAGCTTTCTTTGGCTTCGGAGATCTGCACAGGCACAACAAACAAGCATCAAAGGTAATGATTTGAGGGGAAGTAGACCTAGTTATATTAATAAGAAGATGTGAGGTAGCTGGGAAGAAGAGGAAAAGGTGGGAGAGGCAGATTAAAGTTTCCTTTCCAACATTACCCTGCTTGGGGTGGGTCCTTGAACAGCTATCCATGACTCTGGAAGGAGTGATACTTTTTGACTCAGGTGATTGGTGCATCCCTTCTCAATGGTTCAGAGTGCCATTTCAGTTGTTAGGAGCAGTATATCAGGTCTTCCCAAGTGGGTTTGAGCTTTCCCTTTTTCCAGCTTTTGAGAAGGATGTGATCTCTGGGTTGGTGTTGGTGAAATGGTAATTCAAAGCATGCAGTTTGCAATAGGAGGCCTTGATTCCTGAGGGAGGAAATGGTAGAATACAGACCAAATACATAGTTTTTAAGAAACTGATCTTTGGTTTCAAATGTAGAGAGATCAGTGGTGTAATTTAAATAAGTTAGTCCATAAAGCATTTCATAAGGTTATAGGCCAAGATCCTTTCAAAGGGCAGTTTGAATTCTTACTAAGGCAATAGGGAGGCATTTTGTCCATGGTAACCAGGACTCCAAGAATAATTTGCTTAGCTTTTTTTTTAGGATTTGTTTCTTTCTTTCTACATTTCCTGATGAGGTTGGATAGCAGGGAGTGTAATATTCCCATTTTATTCCCATACTTCAGTTAGCCCTTTAATGATGTATTCAATGAAGTGGGTCCCATTGTCTGAATCAGTGTTTTCTATTAGTCCAAACCTGGGTATGATATGTTCTAACAGGGCCTTAGCTATATTACTGGCTGTTGCACTTGGGAAGGGAATGGCTTCTATCCAGTTGGTATGGTTCAATATTACTAACAAATACTTGAGATGGCCCACTGGGGGCATTTCAGTATAGTAAACCTGGACACTTTGGATTGGCCTTAACCCTAGATTTCTTCCCCTGGGAGGTTGCCTTTTTAAGGTCTGCTTACTGCTTTTTCTGCACACTATGCAACTATTCACTACTTGTCTACGGAGGGTGTATATTTCTATGCACACATAGACACTAAGAACTGCATCACACATAGCTTGAGGACCCTATGATCCTTGATAAAGTTGTAACAATATTAACCTCATAAGAGATTTCAGTAACATTTTCTTTCCATCTGGTAATACTTTTCTCTGGGTTTTCCTTAGCTCCTAATTTCTTTTTTTTTTTTTTTTTTTTTTTTTTTTTTTTTTTTTGTATACCGTGTAAGGTAATGGTCCAACTTTATTCTTTTTTTTTTCTTTTTATTCTTATACTTTAAGTTTTAAGGTACAAGTGCACAATGTGCAGGATAGTTACATATGTATACATGTGCCATGCTGGTGTGCTGTGCCCATTAACTCGTCATTTAGCATTAGGTATATCTCCTAATGCTATCCCTCCCTCCTCCTCCACCCCACAACAGTCCCCAGAGTGTGATGTTCCCCTTCCTGTGTCCATGTGTTCTCATTGTTCAATTCACACCTATGAGTGAGAATATGTGGTGTTTGGTTTTTTGTCCTTGTGATAGTTTACTGAGAATGATGATTTCCAATTTCATCCATGTCCCTGCAAAGGACATGAACTCATTCTTTTTTATGGCTGCATAGTATTCCATGGTGTATATGTGCCACATTTTCTTAATCCACTCTATCATTGTTGGACATTTGTGTTGGTTCCAAGTCTTTGCTATTGTGAATAGTGCCACAATAAACATACGTGTGCATGTGTCTTTATAGCAGCATGATTTATAGTCCTTTGGGTATATACCCAGTAATGGGATGGCTGGGTCAAATAGTATTTCTAGTTCTAGATCCCTGAGGAATTGCCACACTGACTTCCACAATGGTTGAACTAGTTTACACTCCCACCAACAGTGTAAAAGTGTTCCTAATTCTCCACATCCTCTCCAGCACCTGTTATTTCCTGACTTTTTAATGATTGCCATTCTAACTGGTGTGAGATGGTACCTCATTGTGGTTTTGATTTGCACTTCTCTGATGGCCAGTGATGATGAGAATTTTTTCATGTGTTTTTTGGCTGCATAAATATCTTCTTTTGAGAAGTGTCTTTTCATGTTCTTTGCCCACTTTTTGATGGGGTTGTTTGTTTTTATCTTGTAAATTTGTTTGAGTTCATTGTAGATTATGGATATTAGCCCTTTGTCAGATGAGTAGGTTGCAAAAATTTTCTCCCATTTTGTAGGTTGCCTGTTCACTCTTATGGTAGTTTCTTTTGCTGTGCAGAAGCTCTTTAGTTTAATTAGATCCCATTTGTCAATTTTGGCTTTTGTTGCCATTGCTTTTGGTGTTTTAGACATGAAGTCCTTGCCCATGCCTTTGTCCTGAATGGTAATGCCTAGGTTTTTCTTTTAGGGTTTTTATGATTTTAGGTCTAACATCTAAGTCTTCAATCCATCTTGAATTAATTTTTGTATAAGGTGTAAGGAAGGGATCCAGTTTCAGCTTTCTACATATGGCTAGCCAGTTTTCCCAGCACCATTTATTTAATAGGGAATCCTTTCCCCATTGCTTGTTTTTCTCAGGTTTGTCAAAGATCAGATAGTTGTAGATATGCGGCATTATTTCTGAGGGCTCTCTTCTGTTCCATTGATCTATATCTCTGTTTTGGTACCAGAACCATGCTGTTTTCATTACTGTAGGCTTGTAGTATAGTTTGAAATCAGGTAGTGTGATGTCTCCAGCTTTGTTCTATTGGCTTAGGATTGACTTGGTGATGTGAGCTCTTTTTTGGTTACATATGAACCTTAAGTAGTTTTTTCCAATTCTGTGAAGAAAGTCATTGGTACCTTGATGCAGATGGCATTGAATCTGTAAATTACCTTGGGCAGTATGGCCATTTTCACGATATTGATTCTTCCTACCCATGAGCATGGAATGTTCTTCCATTTCTTTCTATCCTCTTTTCTTTCATTGAGCAGTGGTTTGTAGTTCTCCTGGAAGAGGTCCTTCATGTCCCTTGTAAGTTGGATTCCTAGGTATTTTATTCTTTTTGAAGCAATTGTGAATGGGAGTTCACTCATGATTTGGCTCTCTGTTTGTCTGTTGTTGGTGTATAAGAATGCTTGTGATTTTTGTACTTTGATTTTGTATCCTGAGACTTTGCTGAAGTTGCTTATCAGCTTAAGGAGATTTTGGGCTGAGACAATGGGGTTTTCTAGATATACAATCATGTTGTCTGCAAACAGGGACAATTTGACTTCCTCTTTTCCTAGTTGAATATCCTTTATTTCCTTCTTCTGCCTAATTGCCCTTGCCAGAACTTCCAACACTATGTTGAATAGGAGTGGTGAGAGATGGCATCCCTGTCTTCTGCCAGTTTTCAAAGGGAATTCTTCCAGTTTTTGCCCATTCAGTACAATATTGCCTCTGGGTTTGTCTCATTATTTTGAGATGTGTCCCATCAATACCTAATTTATTGAGAGTTTTTATCATGGAGGGTTGTTGAATTTTGTCAAAGGCCTTTTCTGCATCTATTGAGATAATCATGTGGCTTTTGTCTTTGGTTCTGTTTATATGCTGGATTACATTTATTGATTTGCATATATTGAACTAGCCTTGCATCCCAGGGATGAAGCCCACTTGATCATGGTGGATAAGCTTTTTGATGCACTGCTGGATTTGGTTTACCAGTATTTTATTGAGGATTTTTGCATCAATGTTCATCAAGGATATTGGTCTAAAATTCTCTTTTTTGGTTGTGTCTCTGCCTGGCTTTGGTATCAGGATGATGCTGGCCTCATAAAATGAGTTAGGAAGGATTCCCTGGTTTTTTTTTTGATTGGAATAGTTTCAGAAGGAATGGTACCAGTTCCTCCTTGTACCTCTGGTAGAATTCGGCTGGGAATCCATGTGGTCCTGGACTCTTTTTCGTTGGTAAGCTGTTGATTATTGCCACAATTTCAGAGCCTGTTATTTGTCTATTCAGAGATTCAAATTCTTCCTGGTTTAGTCTTGGGAGGGTGTATGTGTTGAGGCATTTACCCATTTCTTCTAGATTTTCTAGTTTATTTGTGTAGAGGTTTTGTAGTATTCTCTGATGGTAGTTTGTATTTCTGTGGGATCGGTGGTGATATCCCCTTTATCATTTTTTATTGCATCTATTTGATTCTTCCCTCTTTTCTTTTTTATCAGTCTTGCTAGCAGTCTATCAATTTTGTTGATCCTTTCAAAAAACCAGCTCCTGGATTCATTAATTTTTTGAAGGGTTTTTTGTGTCTCTATTTCCTTCAGTTCTGCTCTGATTTTAGTTATTTCTTGCCTTCTGCTAGCTTTTGAATGTGTTTGCTCTTGCTTTTCTAGTTATTTTAATTGTGATGTTAGGGTGTCATTTTGGATCTTTCCTGCTTTCTCCTGTGGGCATTTAGTGCTATAAATTTCCCTCTACACACTGCTTTGAATGTGTCCCAGAGATTCTGGTATGTTGTGTCTTTGTTCTCGTTGGTTTCAAAGAACATCTTTATTTCTGTCTTCATTTAATTATGTACCCAGTAGTCATTCAGGAGCAGGTTGTTCAGTTTCCATGTAGTTGAGCAGTTTTTAGTGAGATTCTTAATCCTGAGCTCTAGTTTGATTGCACTGTGGTCCGAGAGATAGTTTGTTATAATTTCTGTTCTTTTACATTTACTGAGGAGAGCTTTACTTCCAAGTATGTGGTCAATTTTTGAATAGGTGTGGTGTGGTGCTGAAAAAAATGTATATTCTGTTGATTTTGGGTGGAAAGTTCTGTAGATGTCTATTAGGTCCGCTTGGTGCAGAGCTGAGTTCAATTCCTGGGTATCCTTGTTAACTTTCTGTCTCATTGATTTGTTTAATGTTGACAGTAGAGTGTTAAAGTCTCCCATTATTATTGTGTGGGAGTCTAAGTCTCTTAGTAGCTCTCTCAGGACTTGCTTTATGAATCTGGGTCCTTCTGTATTGGGTGCACATATATTTAGGATAGTTAGCTCTTCTTGTTGAATTGATCCCTTTACCATTATGTAAGGGCCTTCTTTGTCTCTTTTGATCTTTGTTGGTTTAAAGTCTATTTTATCAGAGACTAGGATTGCAACCTATACCTTTTTTTGTTTTCTGTTTCCTTGGTAGATCTTCCTCCATCCTTTTATTTTGAGTCTATGTGTGTCTCTGCACATGAAATGGGTTTCCTGAATACAGCACACTGATGGGTCTTGACTCTTTATCCAATTTGCCAGTCTGTGTCTTTTAATTGGAGCATTTAGTCTATTTACATTTAAAGTTAATATTGTTATGTGTGAATTTGATCCTGTCATTATGATGTTAGCTGGTTATTTTGCTCATTAGTTGATGCAGTTTATTCCTAGCCTCAATGCCCTTTACATTTTGGCATGATTTTGCAGTGGCTGGTACCGGTTGTTCCTTTCCATGTTTAGTGCTTCCTTCAGGAGCTCTTTTAGGGCAGGCCTAGTGGCGACAAAATCTCTCAGCATTTGCTTGTCTGTAAAGGATTTTATTTCTCCTTCACTTATGAAGCTTAGTTTGGCTGGATATGAAATAGTTCCTAATTTCTTTAGTTTTTCCTGGACTGTATGAGAAAAGCAGGGAGTACAGTTAGAGGAGAAAGACAAAGGATTAAATAAAAAACGGATGTAGTTTGGGAATAGACAGAGTGCTTGGCTATTTGGTCAGCTAGCTTATTTCCCTGACTTTCAAAGTAGAGGCTCTTTTGATGTCCTGGGACATGAACAAGACCTGTTTCCTCAGGTAGTTGAAGATTACCTAATACTTGTATTATTAACTATTTATGGATTAGATTTTGACCTTTACTATTAATAAGGCCATGTTCAGGCCAACTTTTTCCAAAGATATGTCCTACTCCAAACACATATTTGGAGTCAGTATAAGTTCTTCCCTCCTGTTTCTGTAACAAATTTAAGGCTTGATTTAAGGCAAATAGCCTACGCATTTATGTGGACCAGTCATTTTGTAGGTTCTAGTTTTGTGAGGGTATGTCCATCCACTACAGAGTATCTGTTATGCTTTTTTCCTTCAATTACCCAGGAGGAATCATCTACAAAAAGATGTTTCCCTGTTTGGAAAAAAGTTTCACATAGGTCGGTCTAACTTAGGTTTGGTAACTAATTAAATCTAAACATTTATGATCTCTTTCTTTTGGGTGTGGATTCTCTGTTACCTCTGGGTTTGGATTTCCTGTTAGGAAAGCAGCAGGATTTAAAGAATTTTCAGTGGTCAGTGTTAGGTCATCTCTTTCTGGCACGATTGCTTAATGTTTTAAAATTCTTGAGTCAGTAAGCCACCTCTCTGCCGTTTGGTTGAGGATTGTTCTAACTTGGTGAGATTTCCCCCAAAAATTAATTTTGTGCTTTCTTCTGTTAGTAAGGCAGTTGTTGCTACAGATTGGACACATTCAGACTAGACACAAGTTACTGGGTCTAGCAGTTTTGACAGAAAGCTTATGGGGGGGCTGGTGGTCCCCATGTTTTTGGGTGGTTACTTCTAAAGCCATTCCCTTGTTTACACTGATGAAAAGATAAAATGGCTGTTCCAGGGAGGGTAGAGTTAGAACAGGGGCAGTAACTAGTAAATGTTTTAATTTTTCTATTTGTTGCATTTCTGGTTGGGTCCAGATAAGGTGTTCTGGCTCCCTCTGGGTGAGTTTTTGGGATAGTGGTTTTGTTTCTAGGGTATAAGAATTGATCCATAGGCAACAGTGTCCAGCTAAGCCTAAAAACTTTCTAAACTACTGTTTTCTTTCTGGGAGAGCTAGGATATAATACCTTCAATTGGTTCATACCCAATCCTGCATTGGCCTTTGCTGATTAAAATTCATAAATACTTTACTTTGGGCTGTACAAACGGAAGTTTGCTTTTTGAGTCTTAACCTTTCTCCGCTTAGAAAATTAAGAAAGTTTGTTGAAAAAGCTGCTACCCATTCTTTCTTTGTTTTCCCCAGAAGTAAGCAGGACATCTATGTACTGGAGTAGACATATGCATGAGGGAAGGGAAAATTATTCTATGACTTGTTTTAAAATTTGACCAAAAAGATTTGGAGAATTTGTGAACCCCTGGGGTAAAACTGTCCAATGGTGCTGTTGCTTTAGATGAGTGGGGGTTTCCCATGCAAAGGCAAACAAGTCTTGGCTGTCCTCTGCTAAATGGCAAACCCAGAAGGCATTTTTCAGGTCTATAATCTGAACCATTCAAGCTCAGGTGGGATAATGATGTAAGATTGGGAACAACAGGATGTGTAGTTTTAACTGTTTGATTAATAGTCCGGAGGTCTTGCACTAGGTGGTATGACCCATCTGGGTTCTTTACAGCTAATATTGGAGTATTATAAGAAGATACACAGGGTTCAAGAAGTCTATCATCAGCAAGGCTTTCAATTATAGGTTTTAAATCTATCCTAGCTTTCAAAGGAAGAGGGTACTGCTTTCTTTTTACTTCTTCCCCAGAAGTTTTTAATTTGACCTTTATTGGGGGAACTCATGATTTTCCTCAATTTCCTCCTTTTGACCAGATACTGGGGTGAATATACTCTTCACCTATGGTAGTGAGTAAGTTTAGGGAGGTAAAAAATTTTTCCTGGTTAATATAGAGACCTAAACCTAAATGTAGCATTAAATCTCTTCCTATTAGGTTAGTTCCTGCCTCTGGTATTAGCAAACATTTTACATTATCCAATCTATTTTTATATGTGACTTCTGTTTCCTCTAAAATGTTGCTTTAAATCCTTCTCTCTTTACTCCTGAAATAAGGAGTTCTTCTTGTGAACAAATTATATTAGATGGAGAATGACAAACAGAGGAGCAAGCTGCAGCTGAGTCAGTTAAAAAGTTAATAAGCTCAGAGTTGTGTCCCACCTCTAGATTTATCAAGGGCTCTTGGTGGGACTCAAGGTAGTAAAGACAGAGCCCCTGAACCCGTATTCTTCCTCAAAAGCTGTAAGTGGGATGACTTCCTTTTCGTCTTCCCATTCAGGGCATTCTATTTTTAAAGTGACCTAATTTTCCACATTTTAAGCATTTATTTGTACTTTTTCTCTCTTTATTTTCTGTTTTTCTGGCTTGCTCTCTTTGACTCCTGTGTTAGGTCTGACAGCCATGTACTGGAAGGCTTATAAGTTCTATTCTCCTGGGCTGTCTGTGGAGGAGTTCCCTGACGTAAGGTAGATAGCATAATTTTTGCCTTTTGTTTTTACTTTTCTTTGTCTCTCCATACATATACCTTTTGGCCCTCCCTTAAAAATTTCTCTATGGGCTGGTGGTCTTCCAATTTTCTATCTTTTGTAATTTCCTGGTAATATCTGGCCAACTATTGGTGAAAAAGTGGAGCTTTAACATTCCCTGCCCAAGGTGGTCTACTAATTTAGGCCAGCATGTTTTTCCATCTGCTCTTTATGTCTCTCTCAAAATTCCATAGACCTTTCATCCTTTCCCTGTTGTATATTAAAGGCTTTGGTAACATCCTTGGTGCAGGGCACTGATTCTCTTATTCCTTTAATTATCATTTTTTGGATATCCCTCATATTCCCTCAATAGGCTATATTTTTGTGACCCAACTGGGGATCTCGGCAGAAACTTTTTGTTCAGCTGCAGGAACGTTTTGACCTGGGGTGTGCTCATGCTCCCAAATGGTCATAGTGGCCCTATGGATCATGCTTCTTTCCTCTCCAAAAAAGAGGATGCCAAAGATTGACATTAACTTGGTCCAACTATACAACTGTGGTCCTAAGAATTGATCAATTTGGTCTGCCATTCCATAGAGACTATTATTCACTTTTTAGGCATTGGACTTCTGAACTGGCTAATAGGGTGTTAAAAAAGCCAATCCCCGCCTCCCACCCGCCCCCGCCCCCCACCCCACCTAGAGACACTTATCTTAAGGGAAAAAAGGTTTGTGGCTGATACTCTGGAGGTAGTGGGCAACCGGAAGTATTAAATATTCTTCTAATGTTGTTCTATCTCACACTGAAGCACTCCTAAGGGAGGGCATTCAGTCTAGGGATGACTCCAAGAGTCAGGGTTATAAGGGGGAGGAACACTGTGAGTAAGGGAAGGGGCAGAACTACGGGCAGCTGCATTTACTTGCAGGGTATGGAGGTTAGAGGCAGTGGTGGTGAGAGCAGGTGCAGATGGAGGAAGGTAGTCTAAAGGGTTGCACGTGCTAGTGCGTGGTTTGGGATTAGGGATTTTAATTTCCTGAGGGGAAGTAATTCCCTGCTTGTCTCCTGTAGTTTTTAGGGGATAGAGAAAAACAGACCCCTCCCACCAACACAGAGCACAGTCTATTTCCTCCTGGGAGACAGAACATTTGTCATTGTCATACTCTATAAAAAGTTAGCAAATCCAGTCCTCACTAGATCCAAATTTTGCACAGAAAACTGAGGGTTTGAGGATAGGTACTTTGGTCCAAATAAAACAA
This sequence comes from Homo sapiens, assembly GCF_000001405.40. Taxonomy (NCBI): domain Eukaryota; kingdom Metazoa; phylum Chordata; class Mammalia; order Primates; family Hominidae; genus Homo; species Homo sapiens. Next base: position 21,164,006 of record NC_000024.10, read on the forward strand.
TATTTTATCATTTGTTGCTTTTTCTTATATTCGGTTCTCTCATTATCCTTCCAATATTTTAATATGAGACCAAGAACGCTATCTGAGGGGATTTTATTGTCTATCTTTTCCTTTTTATCCCCTAACTTGCTTGAGCTATTTCCATCCTGGAAGTTTTTAGTGTTTCCTTGAGTGTCCCAAGTGTGTGGGCCTTAACCTCTCTTGCTAGAGACTTCTTGCACCCTCAGCTCTAGAGGCTCAACCCAGACTGCTAGAGGTTTCTCACACTCTCTGCTCTGCAGGCTCAAGTTCACCTGCTGGAGGTTCCTTGCACTCTTTTACTTTTACTTCATCTGTCTCTGGCCACTTACCCAGGTGTAGTTTAAACCCCTCTTAGCATTAGCATATCATTATAAACCCCACAATAGGAATCCGCCATAAGCCATTGAGGTGATCACAGAACCAAAGATCAGGACCACACTCACTTGGAGCTCAATTGTGCATCTCACTCACACACTTTCAAGCCCCAAGATGTTCTGACCACCAAGAAATACCTTACCATCCCCATTGTTTTTCTTACCTAGGTCTGTATACAATGTTACTCGGTTGCATGGTATTTGAAGGCATTTTCTTCCCATATTGCTGAGAGTCTCAGTTTATGCATGACGTTTGGTAGGTTCCAATTCCCTACCCTTGAGGCCACCGCCATAAGGCCATGGGACATGCCTCTTCATGAGAGGGGATCAGAGACCCTTCCATGGAGGAGAATGGGAATCCCAGATGAGCCCCAAGATTGTTAGAAACAAGTGCTTGATGCTGCAAAGAAGAACCAGCAGTCAGGCAAAAAGTTTTCTCAGCAAGTCAATTTACTTCTGCAGAAGAGTCCTGTCTGCCTTGGTCACAATTGCAAGAGAACCTCAAACAAAGGAAAGAAGGGACTTTTATCCTTTCCAAGTTCCTGTCCCTCTGTCCTTCTGTTATTGTCTAGCGTTGAACAACACAATCTAAACTAACCTGGTAGGCTAAGACTTAATCTTTTCTAAATAGGGTAAACGTGCAATTTGTAAAAGGAGGGGGTAGAAGTGGTTTGTCCATTGTAGTATAAGGCATGTCCCAAAGTTATGTATATAACTTTAGTATAAGTTATGTCTGGAAATGTCAGGGTGCAACTAAAGCAGCAGTGTAGTTTGCTGGCTGGAAACAAGAGAGTACAAGGAGGTTGGGCTTCTAAACAAAGGAAAAAAATACACAATTAAACCTTTTGAAAAGAAATTTATCATTTCTAACAGTTCTTTTTCAATAATATCTCTCTGTTCGAATTACTCATTCAGATTATGTTTTATTTATTTCTAGTTTAGCCATTATACATTTTATTTATTTTTCTCTTTAGATCTTTAATTCCTTGTTTTGCATTGAGTAAGATCTCTTTTTTTTTTTGTGAGGTGGAGTGTAGTTCTGTCACACAGGCAGGAATGCGGTGGCATGATCTCAGCTCACTGCAACATTCATCTCCTGGGTTCAGACAATTCTTCTTCCTCTGCCATCTGAGTACCTGGGATTACAGGCATGTGCCACCATGCCCAGCTAATTTTGTGTTTTTAGTAGAGATGGGGTTTCTCCATGTTGGTCTGGCTGGTCTAAAATTCCCTACCTCAGGTGATCGGCCCGTCGCAGCCTCTGAAAGTGCTGGGATTACAGGTGTGAGCAACCATGCCTGGCAGATCTCTTCTTTTTTAAGTCTGTTTACTTAAGGACTATTGTGTTCCCCTAAAGGTGTGCAGGTTTTCTTTTTCTATTTTTTCCCCATGGGTCATGGGTTCTTACATTGATGTTTACACAACTGTTGCAGCTTTTCCTTCTGTCAACAATATAGAGAATCTTTCAAAGGAAAATATTTCTTCTGTAGATATTTTTATAATTTTTATTAGGTACAGTTCTTTGGTTTTGGTTACGGGTGGCAATCATAGTCCATATAATTAACTTAGCTGTAATTAGCATTAACTTTGTTTGTACTAATTTTATTTTTATGGCTTAGACTGTTTTGTTTTGTTTTGTTTTGTTTTGTTTTGTTTTGTTTGAGGAGGCTGGGCCAAGATATTGCTGGAACAGGGGCATCAATTGAGTGGACGTGTGTGGAAGGTAGTAATAGTGTTGTTAGGGAACCAGTAGGCCAATCCTTCAGTGTGAGGTGCCATGTGTGAGTCTGGCAGTGATATTGGTAAGCAGAGATAACTGATCCTCATATACCCAGGTGGCTTAATGGGTGATGGTATTAATACCTTGTGTAGACCAATTCTTGGGAGCTTGGATGGAATTTATGGGCCCTAGGAAGTAGGTAGTATGCTTCTTGGGTCAATGGATTTGGCATTCAGTCACCAGTGGTTGATTCTTGAGCATCCCTGTGGGGGATTGGGTCCTGGAGTAGGCTGGTGTAGCAGCCAACAAGTAACACAAATGGGCACTGATATAATGATGGAAAACCAAGTGGCACTTTGAGGACTCATGAGTTTTGTGCAGAGGGTCCAGTAATGTCCACAGTAATCTGGGTGGGTCAGTCTTTAGGTTGTCTATTGTGTTACACTGGTGCTGGTGATATATATGATGGCTGACCTGGGTGGTTTCCTGCTCACTGTCCTTGGATCCTAAGCATGGCAGTAAACATAGCAGGACACACAATTGTTCTCTGAGAAAGAAAGTGAGGCAGGAGGTTGTGTTGTGATCCTACTGCTGAGTGAGAGAAATGTGGTTGTGGTGGCTGTAAACCAGGAAGATTGCTCTTGGGCTCAGGAGGGTGCACACTTTGCTTTTCTGAATCTAGAGCACAGCCTATCTAATTAGCTGGACTACCCACTTCTCAAGGTAATGGGCCTTGGCAGGCTTATAGTCCAGTGACTTGGCCATATCAATGAGTACAGATATTGCCATGACACTCAGACCTCTGGGTGTGTGTTGAAGGATGTCAGCAAGATGTCAGAAATGTTAAACCCCAGGGAAAAATTTAGTCCTTTATTGGTTCTATTTTCTAAATAGTGCCTTAATACAACAGCAGCTTTGGTCTCTAGGGCAAAACTCAGCATATAATTCCTCTCTACAGCAACACAATCAAGTGGACTTTAGCACCCTTCATTCAGCATAACACATACTTATATCAACAAAATATTGTCAAAGATAAAATGTAATTAAGCTGCACTAGAGATCAAATATTTTACTCAATAGCTCTAGAACATGTATATTTTTTACAAGTACATAAGACATTAAAAATAATACACCATATATTGGGCCGCAAAACAACATTCATACATAATTTTAAAAGATTAAAAAACTTTTAATGGCTAACTATAAAATAAATACACTCAACACAATAAAGACCATATAAGGCTAACACAGGGCTATCATCACATTGAATGGCTAAAAGCTGAAAGCCTTTCTTCTGCAACTGGAACTAGGTAAAGAGTGTGAACTTTTACCACTCTTATTAAATATAATAATGAATTACTCTCCAGAAAATTAGGCAAGAGAAAGTAATGAAGACCATCCAAATACGAATAAAAATGTCAAACTGTCCCTCTGTCATTGATATACTCCTCATACTAAAAGAACCTAGCATCTCCTTGAAACCTGCTTAGAAATAATAAACAAATTTAGTAGAGTTTCAAGATCAATAGAAATTAGCAACATGTCTATAGCCATTAATTAATTAAATAAATAGAAGTAAAGAAGAGAATCCTATTTATAACTGCTATAAGAAATAAAATACCTTCTTATTTTACTAAGAAGGTAAAAGATCTCTACAATAAAAATGACAAAACACTGATAAATATATTAAAAATAGCTAAAAATGGACAGACCACAGGGTCATACACTGGAGGAATTACTTCTGTTAAAATGACAATGCCACCTAAATAATATTTATATTTAGTGTAATCAAAAGGAAAATATAATACCAATGGCATGATTCACAAAAATAATCTAAAATTAGTAGGGAACCAATGAAAGACACCAGAGTGAAAGCAAGATGAAACAAAAAATAATGCTAGGAATGTCATACCATGTGATAAGAAAATATCTACAAAGAAATAGTAAACAATAACAGTAAAAGAATTATATCAACATAAAAGCATACAGATAGGCAACAAATACACAATGGGTAAACAGCAGTTCCTTTAATAAACAATAATGAAAAAAGGTCAGAAAAAGACACTCATACATTGATACTGAAAATGAAAATTAATATAGCCATTATGGAGAATAGTGTGAAGTTTCTCACAAAGTGGACAAACATGAAACCTATTATATGATCCAGAAATTCCATTATTCAGAGAGAAAAAAGCAGTATATTGGAGACACCTGCAATTTCATGTTTATTGCAGCTGTACTCATATAGTTGACATATACTGCTAATCTAAATGTATGTATGTATGTATACACACACACATACACACACACACGTGAGAGGGAGAGAGGGAGAGAAAGAGGAAGAGAAAGAGAAAGAGAGGTGAAAATGGAATACTATGCACCCATAAAAACAGTAAAATAGTACAATATGTGGCAATGAGAGTAAGACTGTAGTACCTTAGGTAAAGTAAAATGAATCAAGTGAAAAAATATAAAACATACAAATCACATATGCTTTTGAATACCAAAATTATTTCATATAGGTAGAGAGGATAATTGTATTGGTTTGACACTGGGGTGTTCAGAGAATGGGTAAATCAGGAAAGAGTGGGCAATAGGTACCAGCTTACAACTAGATGGGAGTAGAAAAAAGTTTTGGTGTTCTATAGCAGTGCAGAATAGATATAATAATTTCATGTATATTTTCAAAAATGCAGAAGAGATAATTTTAAATGTTCACAACAAATATAAATTATAAATACTTGAGATGAATGACATTCTAATGGTCTGATTTGATCATTATTCATTCTATATATATATCACTTTATGTCCATAGATACATAGAGTATTACATGACACATAAATTTTATAAGCTTCTGCACAAGAAAACAATTACAACCACAACAGTGAAAGCTTACAACAGAGAAAAGGACCTACAATAGGGTAAAAAAATTTCACGATTTATTTAATAGGGATTAATAGCCAAAATATATGAGAAAAAATGACTTATTGGCAAAAACAAACAAAGGCTGAGGTGGGAGAATAGGCTGAAACTGGGAGGAGATATCACAGTGAGCCAAGATCATGCCACTGCATTCCGTCCTGCACAACACAGTGAGACTCCATATGAAAAGAAAAAAAAAAAGGAAAAAAAATCAGTGTGTTGGAAAAATATCTTTACTCCCATGTTTATTGCAGCAATATTTACTATAATGAAGATATTAAATCAATCTAAGTGCCAATCAACACATTTTTGTTATTTATGACAACATAGATAAATGTTGAGAACATTTTGCAAAGTAAAATAAGTCAGGTACAGAAAGACTTATATCCCTTAGCTCAAGCATATGTAAATTTGAGAAAAGTTTATCTTACAGAAGTAGAGAATAGAATATCAGTTACCAGAGGTTGTAAAGTGTAGAGGGCAGAATTGATGAGAAGAGCTAAATAATACACCTAAGTTTACTCTTAGGAGTTCTGTAATGGACGCTAGAAATTGTCTTCACTGATAACAAGTAACACTGGGGAGAATGTGGTGTGGTTAAGACTTAGACCAACATACTCCAGCACCTTTGCTGCACCCTTGTTTTTCTCCAAGATATATATTGTATCATAGTATGTAAATCCAAAATGGCTGGAATGTAAACAGAGGCCTGACCTACAGAAACATCACTACTTTTCTCAACTTCTTCAAGCAGTGCTATGACCATACTGTAACAGGATACAACAAGACAACTACTGAGGGGATGCCTTGTGGGCATCAGTTGACATGATTTTGGTGGATTTTCCAGTTGTTTCAATTGTTAAAGTTCTTGAGGGATGAATGTTAATCTTAACTGTGCATTTTATCTGGCAGCTTAAGAGTGATGACATGCAACTCAGTCTCTTGCAACACCACCTGAGAAAAGGAAGCACTAGCAGGAAGAACAAATTGATGGAGAGGAAAAGTGATGAATACAGATAAGAAGCACAGCTGGTGGAGGCTCATGTGCCAGTTTACTGGGCCTCAGGACATTCTCCTCTAGAAGGAGGAGACAGCATGACCCCCACTTTCTTTTATTTTATTATAATTTAAGTTTTAGGGTACATGAGCACAATGTGCAGGTTAGTTACATATGTATACATGTGCCATGCTGGTGTGCTACAGCCATTAACTCATCATTTAGCATTAGGTATATCTCCTAATGCTATCCCTCCCCCCTACCCCTACCCCACAACAGCCCCCAGAGTGTGATGTTCCCCTTCCTGTGTCCATGTGTTCTCATTGTTCAATTCACACCTATGAGTGAGAATATGTGGTGTTTGGTTTTTTGTCCTTGTGATAGTTTACTGAGAATGATGATTTCCAATTTCATCCATGTCCCTACAAAGGACATGAACTCATCATTTTTTATGGCTGCATAATATCCCATGGTGTGTATGTGCCCCATTTTCTTAATCCAGTCTATCATTGTTGGGCATTTGGGTTGGTTCCAAGTCTTTGCTATTGTGAATAGTGCCGCAATAAATGTACGTGTGCATATGTCTTTATAGCAGCATGATTTATAGTCCTTTGGGTATATACCCAGTAATGGGATGGCTGGGTCAAATGGTATTTCTAGTTCTAGATCCCTGAGAAATCACCAAACTGACTTCGACAATGGTTGAACTAGTTTACAGTCCCACCAACAGTGTTAGTCCATTTACATTTAAAGTTAATATTATTATGTGTGAATTTGATCCTGTCATTATGATGTTAGCTGGTTATTTTGCTCGTTAGTTGATGCAGTTTCTTCCTAGCTTTGAAGGTCTTTACAATTTGGCATGGTTTTGCAGTGGCTGATACCGGTTTTTCCTTTCCATGTTTAGTGCTTCCTTCAGGAGCTCTTTTAGAGCAGTAATCTCTCAGCATTTGCTTGTCTGTAAAGTATTTTATTTCTCCTTCACTTAAGAAGCTTAGTTTGGCTGGATATGAAATTCTGGATTGAAAATTCTTTTCTTTAAGAATGTTGAATATTGGCCCCCACTCTCTTCTGGCTTGCAGAGTTTCTGCCAAGACATCAGCTGTTAGTCTGATGGGCTTCCCTTTGTGGGTAACCTGACCTTTCTCTCTGGCTGCCCTTAACATTTTTTCCATCATGTCAACTTTGGTGAATCTGACAATTATGTGTCTTGGAGTTGCTCTTCTTCAGGAGTATCTTCATGGCATTCTCTGTATTTCCTGAATCTGAATGTTGGCCTACCTTGCTAGATTGGCGAAGTTCTCCTGCAGAGTGTTTTCCAACTTGGTTCCATTCTCCGCATCACTTTCAGGTACACCAATGAGACGTAGATTTGGTCTTTTCACATAGTCCCATATTTCTTGGAGGCTTTGTTCGTTTCTTTGTATTCTTTTTTCTCTAAACTTCCCTTCTTGCTTCATTTCATTCATTTCATCTTCCATCACTGATACCCTTTCTTCCAGTTGATTGCATCAGCTCCTGAGGCTTCCTCATTCTTCACGTAGTTCTCAAGCCTTGGCTTTCAGCTCCATCAGCTCTTTTAAGCACTTCTCTGTATTGGTTATTCTAGTTATACATTCGTCTAAATTTTTTTCAAAGTTTTCAACTTCTTTGCCTTTGATTTGAATTTCCTCCTGTAGCTCGAAGTAGTTTGATCGTCTGAAGCCTTCTTCTCTCAACTCGTCAAAATCATTCTCCATCCAGCTTTGTTCCATTGCTGGTGAAGAATTGCGTTCCTTTGGAGGAGGAGAGGCGCTCTGCTTTTTAGAGTTTCCAGTTTTTCTGCTGTGTTTTTTCCCCATCTTCGTGGGTTTAACTACTTTTGGTCTTTGATGATGGTGATGTACAGATGGGTTTTTGGTGTGGATGTCCTTTCTGTTTGTTAGTTTTCCTTCTAACAGACAGGACCCTCAGCTGCAGGTCTGTTGGAGTTTTCTAGAGGACCACTCCAGATCCCGTTTGCCTGGGTATCAGCAGCGGTGGCTGCAGAACAGCAGATTTTCATGAACCACGAATGCTGCTGTCTGATGGCTCCTCTGGAAGTTTTGTCTCAGAGGAGTACCTGGCCATGTGAGGTGTCAGTCTGCCCCTACTGGGGGGGTGCCCCCCAGTTAGGCTGCTCGGGACCCCCAATTTGTTTGTGTATCTCAGGGTGAGTTTGTGCCATTTTCTGTTAGCCTTATTGGTCTCTGTGTCTGTGGTGCACTTCATTCATCAGCGTCTGTGTTTGTTTGCATTTTTTACTTGTCTCTCCATCTATTTCTCTGATTTTGTTACATTTTACATTTTAAGTTTCATTATATTTTCCATTCACATATTATACATGCACAACTATATGGCAGACCATGTTATTTTAAAACATGCATACAATATACCAAATAATGGTATTTATTCATCTCCTCTAATGTTCCTCGTGATTAGAACCCTAGGAATTCTCTCTTCTATTTAGAAATATATAATGCATTGTTATTAAAAATAGTGACCCTGCTGTGCAATGGAATACCATTGCTTCTTTTTTTTCAATTTAACTACTTTTTTTGTATTTATTTACCAACTTCTTCCTATCCCTACATTTCTAATTCTTTCTAGACCCCCATAACCACTATTCTTCCCTATAATTCTATGAGAAAATTTTTTAGATTCCACATATAGGTCAGATAATGTGTTATTTTTATTCCTACACCTAGGTTATTTTGCTTAGTTACATGTAAAGGAATATACATGGTATGTGGCATGGCAAATGATAAAAGTTCATTTTTAATAGATATATACTATTTCATTGTGTGTGTGTGTACATATACCACATTTTAAATTCATTTGTCTGTTTATGAACATCCAGGTTTAATATTGTATTGTTCATGGTGAATAGTGCTGTAATAAACAAAAAAGAGCAAATATTTATTTGACATGCTAATTTTCTTTCCCTTGCCTACATACTCAGTGGTGCAGATTGTTCAGTCATGTGGAAACTTTCATGTAAATTTTTTAGAGATCTACAGAATGTCTTCCATACTGATTCTACTAATTTACATTCCATCCAAGAGGATGTTTTGTGCAGTTCCCCACTTTTCTTTTCTCCACATCCCTGGCAATACTTGTTATTCTTTTGCAATTTTTAGTTATATCCATTATTATTCTAATAGATTCACTGAGCTGAAAGGACTTGTCATATTTTCTTATGGGTTTTCCTGGCATTTCTCCAATAAAAATTATGTTGAACTTTTATTTAGAAATGTGTTGGAAGTATCTGTGTCATTTTTGGAGAAATGTCTATTTACATCTTTTGAACATTTTTAATTAGAAAATTTTTGGCTATTGTTTCTTATTTGTTCTGGATACTAAGTTTTTTTCTTTTTTTTCCTTTTGTTTTGGAGATGGAGTCTTACTCTGTCACCCAGGCTGGAGTGCAGTGATGCAACCTTGGCTCACGGCAACCTCTGCTTCCCAGATCAAACGATTCTCCTACCTCAGCCTCCTGAGTAGCTGGGATTACAGGTGTGTGCCACCACACCCACATAATTTTTGTATTTTTAGTAGAGATGGGGTTTCACCAGGCTGGGCTGAAACTTCTGAATTCATGATCTGCCTGCCTATTTTTCATGTGAATTTTGTACTCTACATATTTACTGAATTTGTTTATTAGTTCTAATAGTTTTTTAAATGGATTATTTATGGTTTTCTATGTAAGATGAAGTTATCTGCATACAAGGGATGTGTAGCTTCTTCCCTTCTATCCAGATATCCCTAGTATTTTCTCTCATTTACATAACTGCTGTGGCTCAGACTTCTAGTATTATGTTGAATAGATGTAATGAAAATGCCCTCTCTTGACTTCTTTCAGACCTTAGCAAAAGCTTGCAACTTTTTCCCATTCAGTATGATGTTAGCTGTAAATTTGTCATATATAATTTTCACTGTGTTCAGATGAATTTTTTAAACATAACTCTTGACAGTTTTTATCATGAAGCAATGTTAAATTTTCCCAAATGCTTTTTCATTGATGGGGTTCAATTAGGTTGATAGGGAAAATATTAAAGATAGTTATAGTAATAGTCAAAAACTGTCTTCAAAGGCCTGAGAGTTTGCATACCTTCAGAATGCTCAGCTGAAGGCAGCCAGGGTCTCTTTGCAAGAGCCAGAAAGATTAGGGTGCAGTACCAATGAATGTGGAAAGCTTATTTTACTAACCTGTTTAGTTATATGGGCTTATGACTAACCTTTGTCCTACCTCAAGTACTTTACTGCCTCCAACTCAGGGGGTCGGCAGAAGTTTATTACCCACAAATGGTGTTTGCTTTAGGCCTCAGAACCTAGCTTTTAATCTTTATCTTCTAGCGGTGTTTACTCACAATTTTTGTTAATTCGCCTTACTGAATAAATGTGACCTTTACCTGCAGATCAGGGCCGAGTCACAACCGTTTACAGAACGCAGCTTGGAGCCTGTAAGTGGCTTGGGCCTTCAGCTAGACTGGCAGAGCAGAATATCTGTGTGTCAGTGTACGTTTATTCTTCTGTTGCCAAATCAGAGGTCTGCAGGAACAGACTCCCTGCATCTAGTGTCTCTGCAAAAGGAGCACTGCCTCAAATGGGGACCTGCGTGAGGACCTGTGTCAGGGGTCTGCAAAAACAAACCCCCACACTTGGAGCCCCACTTGCACTTGTGGCAAGCTGCAAAAGAAGTGTGGGGACTGTTCTCATGAGGAAAGCTGTGAAGGAAGCATGAAGTAAATGCAATAGATCCCTTAAAAACAAAGGTGAAAAAAGGAACCATGTGGTCAAGCAAGTGAGTAATTAATCAGTAAGTCATTGTTGCTCACTCAAGGTTACCAAGTTCTTGGGGAAGTTGAGTCAAGCTGAGATTTCATCATGGGACACAGTTACCAGCTCAACAGAAACAATATATAAAAGTGTTGAAATAGTTGCTTAAGGCTACCATAACATCAGTTTTGCAGACTCATTAAGGGACATAATGCAAACTGTTGTGATCCCAAGCCCATGGTTCCCAGAAGAAGGAATGCTAAATGTAGAACTGTGGGAACAAGTGAGAAGTCTTAAACAACAACAGGTGCAAAGGCAGCAGGCCCCAGTGTGTCTGGAATTTATTCCTTCTTGTGGGTTCTTGATCTCACTGACTTCAAGAATAAAGCCACGGACCTCGTGGTGAGTGTTACAGCTCTTAAATGTGGCCTATCCAGAGTTTGTTCCTTCTAGTGGGTTTGTGGTCTCAATGACTTCAGGAATGAAGTTGCAGACCCTCATGGTGAGTGTTAACAGCTGCTAAAGTTGGCATGTCTGGAATTTTTGTTCCTCCTGGTGTGTTCATTGTCTTGCTGACCTCAGGAATGAAGCCGCAGACCGTCGCAGTGAATGTTACAGCTCATAAAGGTAATGCAGACTCAAAGAGTGAGCAGCAGCAAGATGTATTGTGAAGAGTGAAAGAACAAAGCTTCCACAGCGTGAAAGGGGGCAAAGTGGGTTGCTGCTGCTGGCTGGGGTGGCCAGCTTTTATTCCATTATTTTTCCCTGCCGATGTCCTACTGATTGGTCTATTTAACAGAGGGCTGAATGCTGAGTTTGCTCTCCTTTAGCTAAACACAAAGTGCTGATTGGTGCATTTTTATAGAGTGCTGATTGCTGTGTTTACAATCCTCTAACTGGACAGAAAATTCTCCAAGTCCCCACTTGACCCAGGAAGTCCAGCTGACTTCACTTCTCAATGCCCTGTCTAAACAGGAAACCCCAGCTGCTGTTGGGAATTGGGTGGTGACCACTCTAGATAGGATAGGGGCAAGAAGGGGCCCTGCAGTTGTAGTGTCGTCCAGAGGGGAACTCTTTAGTCCAATCAAAGGGCCAGTGAGTAGGTCCAAGGGTCCTTGGTAGAAGTTGTTACTTGAGCTCATTTGGAGTTCCATTTGTAAGATCATCATATCTTGATGTCCTCGATCCTAGAGGAAATAAATGTGACAACAAGGTTAAAAATACAGCATCCAAAGGCAAGTAATAGCAAGATGGCTGTCATGGTTACATAGAAAGGGGAGAAGCCATGTCACCCAGCTCCAGAGGTTGGTATAAGAGTTTGAAAGGTGTTGTCTGATTTCAGAAGACATTTCCTTTAAATGTCAGGTGGCATCTCATACTATCCCTGACTGGTTAGTGTAAAAACAACACTCTTCCCCTAAGAAGGTACAGAGTCCTCCTTTCTCAGCAGTGAGGAGGTCTGGGCAGGAGTTTTGGAGAGTCACTGCTGCCAAAGAGTCTATTTGGGATTGTAGATTAAGGAGAGATTCTGTTATTTCTTGTAAACTCTCTGAGAAATCCTTTGAGAGTGTGTGGTTGTAGGACAATGAAGTAGATATACCAGCTATTCCAGTTCCTGTAGCAGTGGCCATTTCTAACCCTATAAGTAGGGGTATTAGTTGTATGGCCCTGCACTGATGGACTTGAGCTTTGAGGGGCACTGATAGGATCAGATTCCATGAGATTAAAAGTTAGGATAATACATGTTACACTGGTAACTTATAGCAAACTTTACTTTTGTTGAACATCTTGTAAGTTTGGGATTTTAATTTTTATTTGCTATTAATATGACTCGTTCAGTCCATATTAACTTAGAATTTGTATAGATGGCTCCTTCCTGATTCTGTAAGTACTTTAAGGTTTGGCTGAGTACAAACAACTTGTATGTTTGAGCAGACCAATTGTTAGGCAATTTTCCTAACTCTACTTCTACAAGAGTTTCCTTATAGTTTACTGAATACCCATTGTGTCTTTTTTCCTTAATCACTCAGGAGAAACTACCTATCATCTTGTCCTAAAGGGAGTTCTTCCTAGGTCTAGTCAGACCTTTGTATGGTAATTAATTAAGATTTAGATCCCCTGTTAAGAAACCTGCTGGGTTAAGGATTTTTGATAGGAAGGCTATGGGTTGTCAGTGGCCTCAGTGCTTTTGGGCTACGCCCTTGTTTACACAGACAACAAGGTGGTGTTGGACTATTATAGGGTCACTAAGAAGACCTTCAATTATGAATTATAGGTTTTAAATATACCCTGGCTTTTAAAGGAATAGTGTACACTGTTGTTTTCTTTATTACTTCTATCTCTCTCTTTTTCTGTCTTTGATTCCTTCTTTGTCTCTTTCTGACTCCCTCTTTGTTCTCTTCCTCTCTCTCTTTGTCTCTCTCTTTCTTTCTCTCTCTCTTTCTGTCTTTATTTATCTTCCTCTCTCTGTCTCTGTCTTTGACTCCTCCTTTTTCTCTGTCTCTTCCTCTGTCTGTCTCTCTCTCTTTTCTCTTTCTCTCTTTCCTTTCTGCTGGTTTTTCTCTGTTGCTGCCAGACACTTATGCTGCTGTTCTCCCCTCTCCTTCCCCTTTTGATGGCTTTGGCAGTGTAAGACTGCCACCTCCTTGGGTTTTTGCCCTGTGTGCAATAACTCCATGGTTTCCTTTTGATATTTAGTGGGGGTTCCCCCAGAGGTTAGGAACTCCCTTTCTTTCCATATTGCAGCATGGGCATGTAAGATTAGATAAGCATACTTACTATCTCTAGCAAAGTCTCCCAATTACAACTGAGGAGGGGGAAGAAATACCTTGTTACAGGCCATCCCAGGATTCCTCAGATAGTAACAGACCTTGAGGACAGCTGTCCGGGACAGGAAATTAATACTGAGAAAGCTGCACCAGTGTCCATGAGGAAGTCAATTTCCTGGCTCTCAATGGTTAAAATTCCCCAGGGCTCAGTGAAAGTGATGAAATGAGCTGGTGCTTGCTCCAGGCACCCTCAGTCCTGTTGTTGGATCATCTGGTTGGGGGCTCCTGGCCCAGAGAACCTTTGTCCTCTAGGGCAGTGCACCTTCCAGTGATTGCCTTGGCATAGTGGACATGGCTGAGGGGGCTGCTTGTTTCTTGTTGGAAACCTTTTTTAAGGTGTCCTTGCAAACCACACTGGTAACAAGCACTACCAGGTGATTGGCCTGCTCCATTTTCTGTCCTCTCTGAACCACCAAAGTTTGTCTGAGGGCCATGACTAAGGCTGCGGACTTTCTGTAAACTTGCTTTTCCTTTTTGGCCTTTTCCTCTTGGTCCCTATTATAAAACACCAAGGTTGCCAGGTTTAATAATGCCTCCAGATTTTGTTGAGGGCCCAGGGGTCACTTTTGGAGCTTTCTTCTCATATCTGCAGCTGATTGGGTAATAAACTCATCTTTTAGCATCAATTGACAATTGAGTGAGTCGGGTGACAGGGCAGTATATTTTCTTAAGGCCTCCATAGCCACACAAGGAAGACAGAAGGATTTTCTTCCTTTCCCTGAATTATGGTGGACATCATTGAATAATTCATGGGGTTTTTCCTCATTCTCCTTAGTCTTTCTAGAACACATGTCAGCAGATGTTTACAACTCCAGTCCCTATGATCTGAGTCAAGGTCTCAGTGGTGATTCATACTGGGATGGCTTGCTGACCAGTAGGGAATTTGTCCCTTTCTTTGGCTGTCATTCTATCATTTATTTGACAAAGATACCAGATATCTCCAAACTCTTGGACTGCAGCTAAAGCTGCATTCTTTTAATTAAAGGCCAGTGTTTGATCTAACAATAGCATGACAACTCTTTTAGTGAGGTCAAAGGTTTGGCCTAGATCCTATAGGATATCTATGTACCTATGAGAATCATCTGAAAACATTCCCAGGTCTGCCTTTTTCTGCCTTAAATCAGAGAGGGAGAAGGGGACATGTAACCAGGTTGGGCCAAGTTCCTCTCTCCTTACAGCTTGAAGGGGACATAACTGATAGCCTGGGGGTTTTTGTGGTCCTTTGGAGATTTCTTTTCTTGTTTCCTTCTGGGAAGGGGAGATTAGAGGGGGATTATCATTAATAGGAAGGGGAGCTATTAGAGGGAGATTATCATTAATAGGAAGGGGAGCTATAGGGAGGCTAGGATATGGAGGTAAGCTGAGAGGTCCTCCTGTGGGGTGTAAATTGCAAGCTTTGCATAGTTGTAGATTCTCCTTCAATGAAAAGAAAGCTTGAACATATGGTATTTTACTCCATTTGCCTTCTCTCTTACAAAAAAGATTCAGGCTGCAGGACAGTGTTGTAATTTATACTTCCCACAGGTGGCCATTTTTCCCCATCAGAGAGAATACTGGGGCCAAGCCATAGTGCAGAAAAAAATGAGCTGCCTCTTTTCCAGATTTTTCAGGTCAAATTGGTCCCAGTGGCTTAGGATGCATTTCAAGGGTGAACCTGTTCCTGCTTGAGTGTTTCCCATCTGAAAAACAAAACCACCCACAGTTTTGGTTTATTTGTTTCAACACCTCCATCAAAGCCCAGGAACCCTCAATGGTCCCTAGACCTGCTGATCAGAAGAGTTGCACTCACCAATGTAGCAGTATAAACACCTGTTGCTCAGTAACATGCAATGGTCCCTGGACCCTGCTGATTGGAATAGTTGCACTCACCAATGCAGCAGCAGAAACCATAGTTTTCCTCCTAGACCACAAGAGGACTGAGGAAGGTAAGATTTAGTGGCCCTTATCAATGCATTCTCAAAAACATGCCCCCTTGCCTGTCCTCCTAGACCACAAAAGAGGACCAAGAAAAATTGGATTTAGTGGCCCTTACCAATGCATTCTCAAAAACCTGTTAGAGTGCTAAGCATTCTCCTGTTAGTATTGGGACTTTATTGTTATCTTATAAAGATGCTGTGCCCCAAAAATATAGTGGAGGGCCATACCCTGAGGGAGGAAAGGGATCTCCAGGGTTGGAAGAGTGATGTCTTTTGTCCTCGCTTGAATAGGAAGGATATCATTTCTGAAGCTCCCCATATCCTAGCTTCAGGAATAGCTTTTGTTAGGCCTGCTTGTCTGAGGAGGAATACTAAAATTCCAGATAGGTCCCTTCCTGGCAGGGCTTTGGGCAAAAATTATGCCTTTCTGATTGGTAAGCTGGGGTGCCTAAATAAGGGAATAGAGTCCTGGAGTTTATACTAGAAATCATTCTTATACGAGAAAGTAGAAAAGAACCAGAGACAGGAGTGGTTTTTAGAAGTGGGATGAGCCTCAGAGAAGAGAGGCAAGAGGAAGTTTGTCTGACAGGCTTTAGGAGCCAGGAGGCAAGGGTCAGTATAGACAGGACAGATGAGCAAGTCTCACTTGGGCGATGTGACTTTGACAGCTCCACTCATCACTACAGGGTCAACCAACATTTTGTTGGGATCCCAGAGCTGAATGGCTTTCCTCTCTGTTGATCCTCAGCTTACCCAGAAGTACAGGAAAAGTGGAAGCTGGTTCCAGACAAGCCAATGCTCCCAACTCCAAAGAGTCAGGGGTTGTTAGAGGGTCCTTTCCTAGAAGCTTGACACCCATGTCTGTAGTCCAGTGGCTGCGCTAGTTGCTTTTAACTGGCCTACTGGTGCCCAGTATTTAGCCCCAGAATTCTAAGGAAAAATAGGACAGAATAGCAAGTGATAGGGGCCTGATGGTATTCACCACTTGGTGTTGCTCCCTTTGTGGTCACCAAGATGTGTCCTATATGGGTCACCAATATGTGTCCCCTTGCGGTCACCCAGACCAGTAACAGCTTTAATATTATGGGCTTTAAAGCAGTCTTGGCTCTGTTACACACAGAAAAGTCTGAAAAGGGACAGGAGGAGGAAATGTCACCTGTCTTATCACCTCCTATTCCCTCAGCCCTAGTATCACCAGGTTGAAATAACAAAGGGAAACAGAGGTCTTACCTAAGCCTCCTACTCCAATAGGTAAGAAAAAAGACTTTGGATCTGCTATAGCTATCAGTCTCTTGTCTTAAGCAGGCAGAACTAAAAGAGAAGCTCTTAGCCTGCCCAGTAATCCAATATTGGCAAAGTGATCAGGTACCTAAATGGCTAAGAAAAGTCATTAGAAGCCAAAGCGACACAGCCAAGTGAACAGTAAGTAGAAAGAAAAACTCCACCCACACTGCAGCTGCAGCAACAAAGAGCCAAGCCACTGTCAGTGCTAGCCTGCTAGGGAGGGGCAAAAAGCACTTGCAACAGAGTTGATCTAAGCCGAGATGCACCCTGGTGAGCAACAGCCACCTGGAGGTGGGGAGAGGGAGCTGGCGCAGAGGAAAAATGGCACAGTAAAAAAGATGCACCTTTATAAATGTAAAGCAGCCTCCACCGCGGGACCCAACTGATTGGCTCACTGGCTCTGCAGGCAACCCATGGCAAAATCACATGTGCTTCTTGTTTACTAGCAACATCCCAGATTATAATTTTTTGATAAGATTTAAATAAAATATAAGAATTTGAAAGATCTTTTTGTAATAAAAGCCTCTGTTGTTATCTCTCTCCAAATTCATTTTAAATAAAACAGTAACCTCTAGAAGGAGAGTCATTACAGAAGGCCCATGAGTCAGTTTAGGAACAATTAAAAGCAAATTATGCTCCCCTGAAGTGATTCCTCAAGATTGGCCTACAATTGTTAATGACTTAAAAGATTGTTTCTATATACGATTCCTCTAGCAGAACAGGACAATACCATCTATTTTTTTTTTCTTTTTTTTTTGAGATGGAGTCTTGCTCTGTTGCCCAGGCTGGAGGTCAGAGGTGTGATCTTGGCTCACTTCAAGCTCTACCTCCCAGGTTCATGCCATTCTCCTGCCTCAGCCTCCCGAGTAGCTGGGACTACAGGTGTCTGCCACCATGCTTGGCTAATTTTTTGTATTTTTAGTAGAGATGGAGTTTCACCATGTTAGCCAGGATGGTCTCAATCTCCTGACCTTGTGATCCACCCACCTTGGCCTCCCAAAGTGCTGGGATTACAGGTGTGAGCCACCATGCCAGGCCAATACCAGCTATTAATCATGACAAACCAATTTGTCAATTTCATTGGAAAGTGCTTCCTCAAGGAATGCTAAACTGTCCTACCATGTGTCACTATAATGTAAATCAAGCTTTGCTCCCTAGTAAAAAAAAAAATTTCCTGACTGTAAAACTATTCATTTTATGGATAATATTCTACTAGCAACCCCAACGGAGCAAATAATTTTACATTTGTTTACCTCTGTCGTAAAGACTACAAAGCTAAAAGGTTTAGTCATTGTGCCTTAAAAAGTACAAATGTCTTCTTGGAAATATATTGGATATCTGTTAAGCTCTCTGTCAGTAAGATCTCAAAAAGTTAAGCTAAATACTAGCAACTTAGGAGACATTAATTGATTCCATCCCACTTTAAGGATTTCTACTGACAAACTACAAAACCTGTTTTCTCTCTTAAAGGGCAATCCAGCCCTGGATTCTCCCAGATATTTAACCCCTGCAGCAAAAAGGGAAATTGAGGAAATTGAGCAAGCCATCTCTCAGAGGCAGCTAGATCTCATTAATCCACAGTATTCAATTCAGCTGTTTATCTTTGTCACCAAATACTTCCCTACAGGGTTACTAGGACAAATGAACCCTGGGCTATGTTTCAAATAATGGGTTTTTTGCTTACATACTGGGACTAAAACACTCTCTTCCTATATTCAGTTAATTAGTAAAGTCATTTATTCAGGTCACAAATGTTGCAATCAGTTTCTAGGTTATGACTCCGGTGTTATCAGTCCTTTAAGTAAAAAGCAATTTGAAATGTATTACCTTTGTCAATAAATCTGCAAATAGTTTTCTCTGATTACATAGGACAAATAGAGCATTTGCTCCCTGCTAATAAACTACTTCATTTTATATCTCACACTCTGGTAATATTGCCTACAAAAACAGTTTACTTTCCCATACCTAACGGTTTAACACTGTTTACTGATGGGTCTGGTAAACACGGAAAAGTGCGAGTCTGGTAAAGACTAAACAATTCACTCAGTCTAGGTTTGCTAGTATTCAGACAGCTAAGGTTACTCTGCTTATTATTAAAAAACTTTTACAGCCTTAATTATATCTTTTTCTTCGACTTCAGCAACTGCAAAATTAACACACACATGCCATTTTTATTACACACATTCGAGCCCACAGCTCACTGTCTGTACCATTGGCTTATGGCAAAGAACAAGCAGACCTTCAGATTATGACATCACTGCTTGACCAAACCCCCTGTTGCATCAATTTTTCCACCAAAATTGAAGAAACTTATGTAAACAAATTCAACTTATTCTGAGTGTGACTAAACAAATTTTCCTGCAAGGCCCAGATTGTCAGCTTGAGAGGTGACAATGTCCTAGCAGCGGTCACTCACTCTTGGTGCCTCCTCAGCCTCGGCATCCACTCTGGCCATGCTCGAGGAGCCCTTCAGCCCACTGCTACACTGTGGGGGCCCCTCTCTGGGGCTGACCGAGGCCAGAGGCAGCTCCCTCTCCTCAGGCAAAGGTGTGGAGGGAAAGGCATGAGTGGGAGCCAGAGCTGTGCGCAGCACTCGTGGGCCAGTGCAGGTTCTGGGTGTGTGCAGGCTCAGTGGGCCCCACACTCGGTGCGGCCGGCTGGCACCTGCTGGGCTTGATCAGGGGATGAGCTCCCTCTGGGCTGCCAGCATGCCTGCGGAGGGTGCCAGTAAGAGGTGAAACCGGCTGGATTTCTGGGACAGGGGGGAACTTGGAGAAATTTTCTGTCTAGATAAAGGATTGTAAACACACCAATCATCACTCAGTGTCTAGCTAAAGGTTTGGAAACTCGCCAATCAGTGCTCTGTGTCTAGCTAAAGGTTTCTAAATGCACCAATCAGCATGCTGTCAAAATGGACCAATCAGCTCTCTGTAAAATGGACCAATCAGCTCTCTGTAAAATGGACCAATGAGCAGGATGTGGGTGGGAGCAGATAAGGGAATAAAAGCAGGCCACCTGAGTCAGTAGCAGCAACCTGCTGGGGTTCCCTTCCACTCTGTGGAAGCTTTGTTCTTTCACTCTTTGCAGTGAATCTTGCTGCTTTTCACTCTTTGGGGCTGCACCACCTTTATGAGCTGTAATACTCACCAGGAAGGTCTGCAGCTTCACTCCTGAAACAAGTGAGACCACAAACCCACCAGAAGGAATGAACAACTCCAGAAGCTCCGCCTTTAAGAACTGTAACACTCACTGTGAAGATCTGCAGCTTCACTCCTGAAGTCAGCGAGACCAAGAACCCACCAGAAAGAAGAAATTCTGGATGCATCTGAACATCTGAAGGAACAAACTCCAGACACACCATCTTTAAGAACTGTAACACTCACCACGAGGGTCTGCAGCTTCATTCTTGAAGCCAGTGAGACCAAGAACCCACCAATTCTGGTCACAGGTTCACAGGCATGTCCCCTCCTTCTACAGCTGTGAATTCTAGAGGATTGGAACCTAATTAGTTGTGGCAAACAGACATTACACACATCCCTGAATTTGGATAACTAAGATATGTACATGTATCTGTTGCTACCAACACTCATTTACATAATGTAGTCCTAATGAATTATTAACATGAAGAAGAGGGTATGTTTATGTTCACATCCCCTTAGGTCCTCTTTAGATTCCTGCATGATGCATCAAACCATACCATGGAGTGGCTAAGAACCCATCCCGGTACTGGAAATGAAGACAATGACCCTACATAACTTCCAAAATCAGACAGAAACAGAAAGATTAATGAGAAAAATAAAGGGAAAGAGTGAGTAAGAAATAGACTAAAAACAAAAAGCTGAGAGACAGACACAGCAATTAATACTAAGGAGAAACATAAAAGAGGATGGAGAGAGAGAAATATTAAGTAAGTTATAAGAATGCAACTTTAGCAAGGAAAGTTATAAAACAAAATTAGAAAGTTAAGGCATGTAAAAGATTGTAAAAGTTGTGAAGAATGTTATAAAAAGGAATTTCTGTGGAAATGTTATATAATCTTTGTTTTGAAGGTCTAAGCAAGTTGTAATTGTAGAAAATATTCTGTATGTAAACATATTGGCTAAAGTTAAAAAAGTATTCAGTTTTTCTATATGCTACAGATTAAAATAAAGCACAAGTTGTTCTTAAAACAATAACCTGCTCTTTAAACATCATACAAACTCTCTTAGCCCAGTCACCACCCCTAGAATTTCCAACACCAGATTGGAAAGTATGTCCTCATCAAAGGATAGAAAGAAGAAAAAACTTGAGCCAGCCTCAGAAAGACCCTAGGACCTGTAGCCTCAAACAATGCAGCTTGCTAAGACAATGCATGCCCTGGACAGAATGCTGAGGAAGATGACTCAGAAGACTGTATGAGTCCTGCTCTGGAAACAGACAGCATTCACTCCAGATAATTTATTTCATTTTAATTTTCTTGCTGTGCCTATATCTATACCTGCTACACACTATTAAGCTCATCTCTTAATTCTGCCTTTTTTCAGCCCTGTTACTTAAGCAGACACTCCCTTTCCAGCTTTTAACAATGTAACTGTTTGCCTGGAAGGAGTTAACAAACACCCAGTGGAGTTCCTTGGTAGCAGCACACATCAAACTAACATCCAAGTAACACTAAAGGTAATTCTTTGACTGGAAAAGAATGCTGCTAATTGTACTCATTTTTGTGTGTGTGTTATTTGCTAATTCTGGGATGAAAGCCAGAATAAGAGCAGTGACGGCCTCTCCTGACAAACCTGTGGCTGCATATATCTGCTCTCTGCAATCAAAAAGACATGATACAGAGACCAAAAAACGGGGGAAATGTTGAGGTTCTGCCAGGCTGGTGGGGAAAATATTAAAGATAGTTACAGTAGTAGTCAAAAACTGTCTTGGAAGGCCTGAGAGTTTGCATACTTTCAGATTGCTTGGCTGAAGGCAGCCAGGGTCTGTTTGCAGGAGCCAGAAAGATTAGGGTGCAAGAACAGATGAATGTGGAAAGTTTATCTTACTAACCTGTTTAGTTATGTAGGCTTAAGGCTAACCTTTGTCCTGCTGCCGGTATTTTACTGCCTCCTATTTAGGGGTCAGCAGAAGTTTATTATCCACAAGTGGTGTTTTTTTTATGCTTCAGAACCTAGCCTTTTTTTTTTCTTTTTTTTGATATGGAGTCTCACTCCGTCGCCCAGGCTGGAGTGCAGTGGTGCGATCTCAGCTCACTGCAAGATCGGCCTCCTGGGTTCACACCATTCTCCTGCCTCAGCCTCCCAAGTAACTGGGACTACAGCTGCCTGCCACCAGACCTCATGATCCCCCTGCCTTGGCCTCCCAAAGTGCTGGGATTACAGACCAGAACCTAGCTTTTAGTCTTTACCGTCTTGCAGTGTTTACTCTCAACATTTGTTAATTAGTCTTACTGAATAAATGCAACCATGACTATCGGTTGAGGGCTGAGTTGCAACTGTTTACTAAACTCAGCTTGGGGCCTGTAAGTAGCTTGGACCACCAGCTGGACTGGCAGAGCAGAGTATCTGTGTGTCAGTGTACATTTATTCATTGGTTGCCAAATCAGGGGTCTGCAGGAAGAGATCCCCACATCTAGTGGCCCTGTGAAAGGAGCAATGCCTCATTCATCTATGGAAATGATTATATAATTTTGCCTTCCATTCTATTACTGTGATATTAATTTGAATATGTTAAACCATCTTACATCTTTGGGGTACATCCCACTTGGTGATAGAGAATGAGATTTTTTAATGTGTTGATTCATGTGGTTTGCTAGTAATTTGTTGAGAATTTTGCGTTTGTGTTCAACAGGGACATTCACCTACAGTTTTCATTTTTGCCTGTACTTTTTCTGGCTTTGGTATTATAAACTGATACCAAACTGGTATAAAGTGAGTTTAAATATTGTTTAATCTTTAACTCTTTGGGTAATGAGTTTGAGAATTGATATATATTGTTCTTTACATATTTGATAAAATACAGCTGTGGAGCCACCAGATGCAAGGCCCTTCTTTGATACATAGTTGCTATTGCTAATTCAACTTCTTACTGATTGACTTTTCTTTTTCTTTCCATCATTCAATCTTAGTAAGTGTGCCAAGAAACATTACTGTCTTCTGAATTATCCAATTTGTCTTGAGTATGCAATTGCTTTACACCAAAACATATTAGCAATTGCAGTTGTCAATTACAGCACCTACGATCTTCTTCATTTCTATGGTATCAGTTGTTATGTCTTATTTATTTCATATTTTTATTTGAGCAATTCTGTTTTTCATCTTAGTTCCCCTTCCTAAAGGTGTGATAATTTTGCTTCTCTCTTCCATAAACCTACTCTTAATTTTCTTGATATTTTGTATTGTCTCTCTGGTTTCTAATTCTGTTACTGTTGTTCTAATATTTTCTGTCTGCTAACTTTGGTGATAATGTTAGGTTGTTTATTTGATGTGTTTCTTGGTGATATAGACATTGATTTTTTAAAAAATATGACTTTATTACTTTTTCTATTGACCTATTTATAGTTTTATTTGTTTAATTTCAATGTAGTTGTGAAATAATTCAAAAGTGCCTTGAACTGTTGTTAATTTCTTGTCTGGCACCATTGCATTAAGAAAATACATTTGATATGCTTTCTATTTTAAGATGTGCTTAGAATTGCATTCTGGCCTCAGAATAAAATTTCTCCTGGGGAATATGCCATATTCAGTTGAGAAAATACTGGAGTTTTGTGGCTGAATGATGCAATGTTCTATTCATGACTGTTAGGTTCATTTGGTCTAAAGAGTAGTTTAGGTTGAATTATTTGTCTGCTAAATTTGTGCATTGCTTATGGTGTGGTGTTGGAGACCACTACCAATACTGTATTGTAGTCTACTTCTCCCTTCAGGTCTATTAGTGCTTGCTGTATTTATTTACATGTTTTAACGTTGGGTGTATATATATTTATAATAGTCATATAATCTTATTGTGTTGGTACTTTATATAATGAATTTCTATGTGTCCTATTACCAGTTTTTCCTGAACTCTTATTTTGTCTGCTGTAAATATAGCTGCCTCTGTGTTTTTTGGTTCCCATTCACATAACTGCCTTGTTCTATTTCTTCACATTTAGCCATCTGTGTTTTTATAGACAAATATCTTGAAGCAACACAGGTTGAATGTTTAAAGGCTATATGTTTTTTACATTCATTTTAAGTTCAGGGGTACATAGGCAGTATGTACAGGTTTGTTACATAAAGAAACATGTGTCATGGGATTTGTTGTAGAGATTATTTCATCACCTAGATTTTAAGCCTTGTACACATTAGTAAGTGTTCTTGGTCATCTCTGTCCCTCCAGCCTTCACCCTCTGGTAGGCCCCAGTGTGGTTTCTTCCCCTCTATGTGTCCATGTGTTCTCATCATTTAGCTTCCAGTTATGAGTGAAAACTTGTGGTATTTGTTTTTCTCTTGCTGTGTGAGTTTGCTTTGGTTAATGGTCTCCAGCTCGAACAAAGTCCCTGAAAAGGACATAACTTGATTTTTTCATGGCTGAAGAGTGTTTCATGGCATATGTGCACCACATTGTCTTTATCTGGTTAATCATGGATAGGCATTTAAATTGATTCAATATATATGCTTTTATGAATAGTGCTGCACTCAACAAATGAGTGCATGTCTTTATAATAGAATCATTTCTATTCTTTGGGGTATATACCTAGTAATGGGATTGCTCGGTTGAATGGTATTTCTCTCTCTAGGTCTTTGAGAAATTGCCATACTGTATTCCACAATGATTGCACTAGTTTACCCAAGAGTGTAAAAGCTTTTTTGTTGTTGTTCTTCACAACCTTGCCAGCATCTGCTATTTCCTGACTTTTTTTTTTTTTTTTTTTTTGAGATGGAATCTCACTCTATTACTCAGGCTGGAGTGCAGTAGTGGTGCTATCTTGACTCACTGCAAGCTCTGCCTTTCAGGTTAATGAAAGGCAATTCTGCCTTTCATTTTCTTGCCATTTCCAGGCTCCCGAGTAGCTGGAACTACAGGCACCCACTACCACACCCGGCTATTTTTTTTTTTTGTATTTTTTAGTAGAGAAGGGATGTCACCATGTTAGCCAGGATGGTCTCCATTTCCTAACCTTGTGATCTCCTGAGCCTCTCAAAGTGCTGGAATTACGGTCATGAGCCACTGTGTCCTGTATTTTCTGACATTTTAATAATGGCCATTCTGACTGGTTTGAGATAGGACTTCATTGTGGTCTTGACTGACATTTCTCTGATGGTCACTGATGTTTTTACTGTTTTATTTTTTTAATTTGTTTTGGTCATAAATATATCTTCTATTGAAAACTGTCTGGTTCATGTTTTTGTTTGTTTGTTTGTTTTTTGCCCAGTTTTTAATGAGATTGTTTGTTATTTCATTTGTTCCAGTATTTGTCTAAGTTCCTTAAAGATACTGGATATTAGAAGTCTGTCAGATGCATAATTTACAAATACTTTTTCCCATTCTGTAGGATGTCTATTTATTTTGTTGATAGTTTCAAGCTAACAGAAAAAAGCAGGAGTTGTAATTCTACTCTGTCAAAATAGAATTTAAAATATTTTTACTTAAGTAAGTAAATAGGCCCCTGACTGAACAATTTTATCATCTGCTTACACTGAAAGTGATTATTGATTGGTAAGAACTTATTAATGTCACTTGTGAATTGTTCTGGATGTGATTTCCAATAACTTATTTTTTTTTCCTCTCTTATTTTATTTTTCATGTGTGTGTTTGATGTTTTCCTGTAATGGTATTTACTGAACCTCTTATATGTCCCCTACAGTCAAGACTTATGTAAAAATTCTTGAGGCAGTATATGGCTGTCATAGGTTAATAATAATGAATGACACTGCATGCACTAATTGTGACCTCTATCTCCTGCATCTTTTCTAAACTTTATGTTTTTTAATTTCAAAATATATAATTTAGTTATTTTTACCCCTTGTGAAATTAATGCAGCTATCATTACTTGTAATCATTTTGTCTTTTTACATCAAAGATAGATGTTATTGACACACCTTCATTATAGTATCAGAATATTATTTATTTTGCTGAGTGCTTTTACCAGTGAGCTTTATAGTTTCATATGTTTTCATGTAATAATCTGTGCTCTTTTTCAGCTTCAATCTCTCTTATCATGTCTTATGAAATAGGTCTGATGGCTGTAAACTTCCTCAGATTTTGGTTATTTGAGAAACACTTCATCTTTTCTTCATTTCA
Source organism: Homo sapiens (assembly GCF_000001405.40). Lineage (NCBI taxonomy): Eukaryota > Metazoa > Chordata > Mammalia > Primates > Hominidae > Homo > Homo sapiens. The sequence goes on from NC_000024.10 coordinate 21,190,130, forward strand.
GAAGAAAAGCTTTATGTGTACATTATTCTTAGTAGGGAGTATTTTTTTCTCTTTTTCTTCATATTATTAATATGTAAGTAATATTGTCCCACTATTTCCTGACTGCAGGGTCTCTACTGAGAAATCTGCCAGCTGTTATGTACTCACTTATATGTTATTTTATTTTTTGTGTTGCTGCTTTTAGGATTGGCTTTGTTTTTTAAAAAAATTATTATAAAATATTTTAATGTAACTTTGTATAAATTAATCTGATTGGGAAACTTTGACATTTGTATATCTGGATATTTATATTTTGCTGCCAGTTGAAAAGTTTTCTGCTATCATTTGAAAAAAATGGCATTTCTACCATTTTATCTTTTTCTTCTTCTCTTGTTACTCTTATAATTAACAACGTTACTGTCTTCATGCTGTTCCATAGATCTCATAATCTCTCTTCATTCTTTATTACCCTTTTCTCTTCTGACTATATATTTTGAAATAACTTGTTTTTGAGTTACCAAATTCTTTCTTCAGCTTGATTAATTTTGGTGTTGATGTTTTTTGTTGCAGTTTAAATTTTTATATATATATTTTAGTTTCAGATTTTCTGATTTATTTATTATGCTTATTATTTTATAGTCTCTGTTAAATTTTTTGTTTTGCTCACTTACAGCTTTCTCTAGTTAATTCCTAATTGAATTGTTTCTTTTTATTTTAATAAAGTTTACTGACCTTCCTTAAAGCAGTTATTTGACAAATGTTATTTAGTCAGACATTGTATACGTCTCCATTCCTCTAGGGTGAGTAATTAGCACTTTATTTTCACTTGATAATGCCATCTTTTCCTGACTTCCTGATATCTGTGGTCATATATTGGTGTGCACCCATTTGGTGAAGTACATACTTTTCCTAATAATTGCAGACTGGCTTTTCTGGGAAAGCCTTTCAATAGTCACCCTATCTGTAGGTTCTTGGCACACTTTCTGGTGTGGTTCTGATAATGAAAACTTCCAGGGGTGGTGAGGCACTAGGTCGGGCTGAAATCTCAGGATCACCAATGGCTCTCTCTATCCTGTGGAGACTGATTGTAGATGTGGCCTAAAGACTGGGGCTGTGTGATGTTATCTGGTGCCAGGGTGGGTCTGGCATCTTTATGTTTAGGTACCAGTCTGGAGTCTGGGTCTGTGAGAACCTGCCCAGTTCTCTGTGGCATGCCCATGTTGGAGTATAAGCCAAAGTTTGGTCATCATTTTACTGTCTTCCAAATAGCCAATTTCTCTCTGTGCACTGTGCTAATGAGTTAGGGAAGGGATGATGCAGGTAATATAAAACTGCCCTTACTATGCTCTTCTCACCAAATCAGTATCCATTATGCAATAGTTACATAGCTGAAAATTTCATAACTATGTCCAATAATAATTGTTGTCAGGCTGTATTTTGTCAGAAAATTATCTTTGTATACACAAACTAAGGAGGACAGATATACAACTAGAAAATCCACACCCACAATAAGAAAAGTACTCTATCAAGATTTTTGAATAGATAAATCCATGTACAATTTCAACATGAAGAACTAAAAGGATGTAGAGAGTCAATAAGAAGAAATAAGAAATAGAAAACTTCAGCAATCAGCTCCCACTTACAGAAGCATCACTATGAACAAATATCCTCACTTGAAAATATGTGTCCATAAGAACTGAAAGAAACAGGTTGGCAAAAACAGTACTGCGTGGTAGCAAAATAGTAAGAAAAGACACATGGACTTCTCTTTTTCTGCATATTGAAGTCTGCTTTCTGACTTATAAATGCTGAACTCTTTATTTCTTGGATATGGATTAAGCATCCTTGGTTTATAAATTGCAGAATTGTTCCTTGAATATGAGCATACTGATATTTTCATCTCTTGCCAGTGGATAGAAGTTGTCCAGTTGAATAAAGTCTGGCTGCCTTCTTTTTGATAAAGGACTATAATTAATATCTGTAGAAAAACTAAACAGGTGCTTCTTGGAAAAATGAAGGCTTCCAATCTGTGTATACCATGGTCTTTCAACTTAGACTTGGATGGAAAGTTTACACCCAGTGAGCTGTGACTGAATTTTATAAAATATGAGTGTGTGTCCCATCCATACCTAGCTCTCCTCTTTGCCTCTATATGGCTATGAGGTTTCTGGCAGTCTAAACCTTAATCTCTCTTACCTTGGTCATAAACATGCTCTTCAAAGAATAAATCTGGCTTTATCAGTTCTTGTTTATGGATACAGAAAACTTGGCAAAATAAACTTTGGCTTCCTTCTTTGAATAGGAAATATGAGCTCTCTGGAGATATAATGAATGGGAGTTCTCCACCTGTACAACTGATTATCTTTTTTGGACATGGGATGAGATTTCTAGGGGTATATACCACAAAGTGCAACTCAGCTTTCCTGCTGTATAAACACTGCCCATCTTCTTTCTTGTGACTGATTTGAGATTCACAACATAAACCCAATCTCACTCCTTGGGCAAGGATGTAAGTTCCTGACTCTGTACAACCTGACAGTCTTAATTGTTGCCTAGAGATGTTACAAAATTGGCTTTCTAAAGTCTGATTACTTTCTTTTGACAATGTCATAAAATTTTCAATGCTATAAGGCTTGTTTGTTTGTTTTCCTCACTTGGGTATTTCTATGAAATTTCCAGTTGTATAAATTCTGACTTCCTTCTCCCCAAGATAAAATTGAGATATCCTGTGTGTATAAAGCTCGGCAAACTTTCTTTTTAGATATCTTTCACAGCTCTTTTGGCAATAAGCACTGACCTACTTCCTCTTTGCTTAACTATGTACACTTTCTGGTTGCTTAATGTCTCTTATTAAGTATGAATCACATAATGTATACACCCTAGACTTTTCCTACACACACATACACTGCCCCCCACACACACGCATATGTATATGCACCCAGGTATATTTTCATAAGGCCAAAGCTGACCGGCATCACAAACCAGCATAAACAAATTCATCATCATAGCTAATTTGTATAGTGGACACGGGCATATTTAGCTATATGCAAGATTATAAGATATTTTCAAAGTGTGTACATAGTCATCTGTGTTTGTGATATGGTTTGGCTGTGTCCCCACCCAAACCTCAACTTGACTTTTATCTCCCAGCATTCCCATGTGTTGTGGGAGGGACTCAGGGGAAGGGAATTTAATCATGGGAGCTGATCTTTCCCCTGCTATTCTTGTAACAGTAAATAAGTCTCCTGAGATATTATGGGTTTATCAGCATTTCCACTTTTGCTTCTTCCTCATTTTCTGTTTCTGCTACCATGTAAGGAGTGCCTTTTGCCTACCGCCATAATACTGAGGCCTCCCCAGGCATGTGGACGGTAACTCCAATTAAATCATTTTTTCTTCCCAGTCTTGGGTATGCCTTTATCAGCATTGTGGATACAGATGAATACAATAAATTGATACCAGTAGAGTGGAGCATTGCTGAAAATATAACCAAAAATATGGAAGCAAATTTGGAACTCAGTAACAGGCAGAGGTTGGAACGATTTGGAGGGCTCAGAAGAAGACAGGAAAATATAGGAAAGTTTGGAACTTCTTAGAGACTTGTTGAATGGCTTTGCCCAAAATGCTGATACTGATATGGATAATGAGTTCCAGGTTGAGGTGGTCTCAGATGGAGATGAGGAACTTGTTGGAAGTAAACTGGAGTAAAGGTGACACTTGTTACATTTTAGCAAAGAGACTGGCAGCATTTTTGCCCTTGAACTAAAGGCTTGTGAAATGTTGGACTTAAGAGAGAAAATTTAGGGTATCTGGCAGGAGAAATTCCTAAGCAGTGAAACTTCAAGAGATGACTTGGGTACTGTTAAAAGCATTCAGTTTTATAAGGGAAGCAGAGCATAAAACTTTGGAAAATTTGCAGCCTGACTATTCAAAAGAAAAGAAAAAAACATGTTCCAGGGGAAAATTCAAGCTGGATGTAGAAATTTGCATAGCTAGCAAGGAGCCTAATGTTAATCCCCAAGACCATGGGGAAAATGTCTCCAGGCCATGTCAGAGTCCTTCACAGTATCCCCTTTCATTACAGACCTGGAAGCCCATGAGGAAAAAGTGGTTTTGTGGGCTGGGCCCAGTTTCTCCATGCTGTGTGCAGCCTAGGAACTTGGTATTGTGTGTCCCAGCCACTCCAGCCGTGGCTGAAAGGGGAAACATACAGTTTGGGCTCTGGCTTCAGTGCATGGAAAGATCAAGCCTTGGCAGTTTCCATATGGTGTTGAGCCTGGGTGTACAGATGTCAAGAATTTAGGTTTAGGAACCTCCACCTAGATTTTAGAAGATGTATGGAAATGCCTGGATGCCCAGGCAGAAGTTTGCTTCAGTGATGGTGCCCTCATGGAAAACATCTCCTAGGACAGTGTGGAAGGGAAATGCAGTTTCAGAACCCACACACAGAATCCCTACTAAGGCACTGCCTAGTGTAACTGTGAGAAAAGGGTCACCGTCCTCCAGACTCCATAATGGTAGACCCACTGACAGCTTGCAGCATGCACCTGGAAAAGCCACAGACACTCAGCCACAACCAGTAAAATCAGACAGGTGGGTGGCCATACCCTGCAAAGCCACAGAGGTGGAGCTGCCCAAGACCATGGGAACCTATCTCTTGCACCAGTGTGACCTAGATTTGAGACCTGGAGTCAAAAGAGATCATTTTGGAACTTCGAAATTGTACTTCCCTACTGGATTTCACACTTCCATGGGCCCTGTAACCCCTTTATTTTCACCAATTTCTCCCATTTAAAATGGCCATATTTATCCAATCCCTGTACCCCAATTGTTTCTACGAAGTAACTAGCTTGCTTTTGATTTTACAGTCTCATAGGTGGAAGGAACTTGCCTTGTCTCAGATGAAACTTTGGATTGTGGACTTTTGGTTTGTTGGGAAGGCATAATTTATTTTGTAATGTGAGGACATGAGATTTAGAGAGGTGGAATAATATGGTTTGGCTGTATCCCCACCCAAATCTCAACTTGAATTGTACTATCATAATTTCCACATGTTCTTATTTATTTCTTGCCTTCTGCTAGCTTTGGAATTTGTTTGCCCTTGCTTCTCTAGTTCTTTTAATTGTAATGTTAGGGTGTCGATTTTAGATCTTTCCTGCTTTCTCTTATGGGCATTTAGTGCTCTAAGTTTCCCTCTACACACTGCTTTAAATGTATCCCAGAGATTCTGGTACATTGTGTCTTTATTCTCATTGGTTTCAAATAACACCTTTATTTCTGCCTTCATTTCTTTATTTACTCACTAGCCATTCAGGAGCAGGTTGTTCAGTTTCCATGTAGTTGTGCAGTTTTGAGTGAGTTTCTTAATCCTTAGTTCTAACTTGATTGGACTGTGGTCTGAGAGGCAGTTTGTTGTGGTTTCTGCTCTTTTACATTTGCTGAGGAGTGCTTTACTTCCAACTATGTGGTCAATTTTGGAATAAGTGTGATGTGGTGCTGAGAAGAATGTATATTCTGTTGATTTGGGGTGGAAAGTTCTGTAGAAGTCTATTAGGTCTGCTTGGTGCAGAGTTGTGTTCAATTCCTGGATATCCTTGTTAACCTTCTGTCTGATTGATCTGTCTACTATTGACAATGGGGTATTAAAGTGTCTTGCATGTTAGCTCCAAAACCATAAAAACCCTGGAAGAAAACCTAGGCAATACCATTCAGGACATAGGCATGGGCAAGGACTTCATGACTAAAACACCAAAAGCAATGGCAACAAAAGCCAAAATTGACAAATGGGATCTAATTAAACTAAAGAGCTTCTGCACATCAAAAGAAACTACCATCAGAGTGAACAGGCAACCTATAGGAGAAAAATTTTGCAATCTACCCATTTGACAAAGGGCTAATATGCAGAATCTACAAAAAATTTAAACAAATTTACAAGAAATAATTGAACAACCCCATCAAAAAGTGGGCAAAGGATATGAACAGACACTTTTCAAAAGAAGACATTTATGCAGCCAACAGACAGATGAAAAAATGCTCATCATCACTGGTAATCAGAGAAGTGCAAATCAAAACCACAATGAGATACCATCTCACACCAGTTAGAATGGCGATCATTAAAAAGTCAGGAAACAACAGGTGCTGGAGAGGATGTGGAGAAATAGGAATGCTTTTACACTGTTGGTGGGAGTGTAAACTAGTTCAACCATTGTGGAAGACAGTGTGGCGATTCCTCAAGGATCTAAAACTAGGAATAGTATTTGACCCAGAGATCCCAATATTTGGTATATAACCAAAGGATTATAAAACATGCTACAATAAAGACACATGCACATATAATGTTTATTACAGCGCTATTCACAATAGCAAAGACTTGGAACCAACCCAAATGTCCATCAATGATAGACTGGATTAAGAAAATGTGGCACATATACACCATGGAATACCATGCAGCAATAAAAAGGATGAGTTCATGTCCTTTGTAGCAACATAGATGAAGCTGGAAACCATCATTCTGAGCAGACAATCACAAGGAAAGAAAACCAAACACCGCATGTTCTCACTCAGAGGTGGGAATTGAAAAATGAGAACACTTGGACACAGGGCGGGAAACATCACACACTGGGGCCTGTCATAGGGTGGGGTCATGGGGGAGGGATAGTATTAGGAGAAAACCTAATGTAAATGATGAGTTAATGGGTGCAGGAAACCAACATGGCATATGTATATACCTATGTAACAAACCTGCATTTGTGCACATGTACCCTAGAACTTAAAGGATAATTAAAACAAAAAACAACAACAACAACACAAAATTTTGTAGTTATGATTAAACCAAAAGTAGAGCAAAAAAATAAATAAATAAATAAATTAGTTTCCACGTGTTGTGGGAGGGACCCACAGGGACGAAATGTAATCATGGAGGTTGGCTGTTCTTATTCAGGCTATTCTCATGATAGTGAATAAGGTTAATCAGATCTGATGGGTTTATCAGGGGTTTCCACTTTTGTTTCTTCTTCATTTTCTCTTTTCAGCACCATGTAAGAACTGCCTTTTGCCTCACATCGTTATTCTGAGGCCCCCTGACCATGTGAGACTGTAAGTCAAATTAAACCTTTTTTTCTTCCCAGTCTTTATCAACAGTGTGAAAATGGACTAATGCACAACACTCAGTTGTGCAAATGCCTACACATATCTATGGTTACTGGCACATGACCTTTACCTATATACAGGTGGCTATACAAATACTTTAAAATGTTCTAGTGCACATTCATAAGAAACATTGATGGTTATTAAGGTTATCCAGACGACAGAATACATATATAATATGTGTATTTTAAATAAGTGTATGAGCATTTTATTTAAACACCTCTGTATTTAAATAATATTTTATATATACTACAAATATGTGTAATGTGTATATAATATATTTTTTTCTTTCTGCTGCTAAAAAAGAATGCTGAAGATTGGAGAATTTGTGTTTAAAAAGGCATTTTATTACAAAGGCTAGGAAATTTGAGACTAAATCAGTAGCATCTGGAGAGGTTCTGGTTTCTAGAAAGCTGCTTCTCCCATGGGGAGAGACTTTGTGTTCTTGCATGAAAAAAGAGCAAAAAGTGAATCAATTTCTGCAAGACTTTTTAATGGCAACATTAATTCATTCATGAGGGGAGATCTTTAATGACCTATTGTGACCTACCTTTCAACACTAGTGCACTAGGATTAAGCATCCATAACATAAAAATGGGAGGAGACAGGACATCATAGCATTCTGCTCCTGGAATCTCAACATGCATACCTTTCTCACGTACAAAGGTGGTTGACTATTGATATGGTTTACATCTGTGTCCCCACCCAAGTCTCACAGTGAAGTGTAATCCCCACTGTTGGAGTCTGGGCTTGGTGGGAGGTGATTGGATAATAAAAATGATTTCTTATGGTTTAATGCCATCTGCCTTGGTATTAACATGACAATCATGAGTTCTCATGAGATCTGGTTTTTAGAGATGTGTGGCATCTTCCCTTACCCCTTTTGTTCTGTTCCTTCCATGTAAGATGCCTGCTCCTAGTATGCCTTCTACCATGAGTCAAAGGTCCCTGAGGCCTACCCAGAAGCAGATGCTACCATGCTTCCTGTTAGTTGATTAAGCCTCTTTTCTTTATCAATTTTGGTTTCTCAAATATTTCTTTATAATAGTGTGAGAACAGATGAATATAACCATTGAAAACTATGGGCTATGCAGATGGAAATTTATAAGTGAATTTTCTTCCTCCTCTGCCACCCCTGAGACAGCAAGTCTAACCTCCCCTCTTCCTCCTCTTCCTTGGCATACCCAATATGAAGAAGATATGAGAGAAGACCCATTTCTGATATTCATACCCATTTCTCTATCAAATGATCACTTGCCCATACCCTTGGTGTTGTCTTCTCATTAGGTATTATTATTATTATTATTATTATTATTATTATTATACTTTAAGTTCTGGGATACATGTGCAGAACATGCATGTTTGTTACATAGGTATACACATGCCCCCATCGATCAGTCATCTACATTAGGTATTTCTCCTAATGCTATCCCTCCCATAGCCCTCCACCCCCTGGCAGGTCCCGTCGTGTGATGTTCCCCTCCCTGTGTGCATGTGTTCTCATTTTTCAACTCCCACTTATTAATGTAAACATGTAGTATTTAGTTTTCTGTTTCTGTGTTAGTTTGCTGAGAATGATGGTTTTCAGCTTCATTCATGCCCTGTCAAAGGACATGAACTCATCCTTTTTTATGGCTGCATAGTATTCCATGGTGTATATGTGCCAAATTTTCTCTATCCAGTCTATCATTTACGGGCATTTGGGATGGTTCTAAGTCTTTGCCACTGTGAACAGTGCTGCAATAAACATGTGTGTATGTGTCTTTATAACAGAATGATTTATAATCCTTTGGGTATATACCCAGTAATGGGATTGCTGGGTCAAATGATATTTCTGGATCCAGATCTTTGAGGAATCACCAAACTATCTTCCACAATGATGGAACTAATTCACACTCCAACCAACAGTATAAAAGTGTTCCTATTTCTCCACATCTTCTCCAGCATCTGTTGTTTCCTGACTTTTTAATGATCACCATTCTAACTGGCATGAGATGGCATCTCACTGTGGTTTTGATTTGCATTTCTCTAGTGACCAATGATGATGAGTCTTTTTTCTTATGTTTCTTTGCTGCATAAATGTCTTCTTTTGAGAAGTGTCTGTTCATAACCTTCACGCACTTTTTGATAAGGTTTTTTTTTTCTTGTAAATTTGTTTAAGTTTCTTGTAGATTCTGGTTATTAGCCCTTTGTCAGATAGAGAGATGGCAAAAAATTTCTCCTATTCTGTAGATTGCCTGTTCACTCTTGATAGTTTTGTTTGCTGCACACAATCTCTTTAGTTTAATTAGATCTCATTTGTCAATTTTGGCTTTTGTTGCCATTGCTCTTGATGTTTTAGTTATGAAATCTTTGCCCATTCCTATGTCCTGAATGGTATTGCCTAGGTTTTCTTCTAGGGTTTTTTATGGTTTTAGGTTTTACATTTACGTCTTTAATCCATCTTGAGTTAATTTTTGTATAAAATGTAAGGAAGGTGTCAGGTTTCAGTTTTCTGGTTATGGCTAGCCAGTTTTCCCAACACCATTTATTAAATAGGAATCTTTTTCCCATTGTTTATTTTTCTCAGGTTTGTCAAGAATCAGATGGTTGTAGATGTGTGGTGTTATTTCTGAGACTCTGTTCTGTTCCATTGGTCTATATATTTCTTGTACCAGCATGATGCTGTGTGGTTACTGTAGCCCTTCAGTATAGTTTGAATTCAGGTAGTGTGATGCCTCCAGCCGTGTTCCTTTTGCTTAGGACTGTCTTGGCTATGCAGGCTCTTTTTTGATTCTATATGAAATTTCAGGTAGTTTCTCTTAATTCTGTGAAGAAAGTAAATAATAGCTTGTTGGGGATACCATAATTTGGACAGTATGGCCATTTTCACAATATTGATTCTTCCTATCTGTAAGCATAGAATGTTTTCTCATTTGTTTGTGTCTGCTCTTATTTCCTTGAGCAGTGGTTTGCAGTTCTTCTTGAAGAGGTCTTTCACATCCCTTGTAAGTTATATTCCTAGGTATTTTATTCTCTTGGTAGCAATTATGAATGGTGGTTAACTCACCATTTGGCTCTCTGTCTGTTATTGGTGTATAGGAATGCCTGTGATTTTTGCACATTGATTTTGTACTCTGAGACTTTGCTGAAGTTGCTTCTCAGCTTAAGGAGCTTTGGGGCTCAGATGATGTGGTTTTCTAAATATGCAATCATGTTATCTGCAAACAGAGGCAATTTGACTTCCTCTTTTCCTATTTGAATACATTTTATTTCTTTCCCTTGCCTGATTGCCCTGGCCAGGACTTCAAATACTATGTTCAATAGGAGTGGTGAGAGAGAGCATTCTTGTCTTGTGCCAGTTGTCAAAGGGAATTTCTCCAGTTTTTGCCTATTCATTATGATATTGGCTGTGGGTTTGTCATAAATAGTTCTTATTATTTTGACGTACGTTCCATCAAGGCCCAGTTTACTGAGAGCTTTTAGCATGAAGGGGTGTTGAACTTTATCAAAGGCCTTTTCTGCATCTATTGAGACAATTTTGTGGTTTTTGTCACTGGTTCTGTCTATGTGATGGATTATGTTAATGACTTGCATATGTTGAACCATTCACGCATCCCAGGGATGAATCCAACTTGATTGTGGTGGATAAGCTTTTGATGTGCTGCTGGATTCAGTTTTCCACTATCTTATTGAAGATTTTCACAATGATGTTCATCAGGGATATTGGCCTGAATTTTTGTTGTTTTTGTGTCTCTGACACATTTTGGTGTATTATAGTGGGCTAATAAAATGAGTTATGGAGAAGTTCCTCTTTTTCTATTGTTTGGAACAGTTTCAAAGGAATGGTACCAGCTCCTCTTTGTGCCTCTGCTAGAATTTGGCTGTGAATCCATCTGATTCTGGGCTTGTTTTTGGTTGGTAAGCTATTAATTACTACCTCAATTTCAGAACTTGTTATTGGTCTCTTCAGGAATTTGACTTCTTGCTGGTTTAGTCCTGTTAGTGTGTATGTGTCGAGAAATTTATTCATTTCTTCAACTAGAAAGTTCATCTGTGTAGAGGTGTTTATAGTATTCTCTGATGGTAGTCTGTATTTCTGTGAGATCAGTGGTGATTTCCCCTTCATCATTTTTTATTGTGTTTATTTGATTCTTCTCTTTTTTCTTTATTAGTCTGGCTAACAGTCAATCTATTTTGTTAATCTTTTCAAAAACCAGCTCCTGAATTCATTGATTTTTGAAGGGTTTTTTTGTGTCTCTATCTCCCTCAGTTCTGCTCTGATCATATTTATTTCTTATCTTCTGCTAGCTTCAGGATTTCTTTGCTCTTGCTTCTCAAGTTCTTTTTAATTGTGATGTTAACGCTCTCAATTTTAGATCTTTCCTGCCTTCTCCTGTGGGCCCTTAGTACTACAAATTTCCCTCTAAACATTGCCTGAGCTGTGTCCCAGAGATCTGGTACATTGTGTGTTTATTCTCATTGGTTTCAAAGAACTTATTTATTTCTACTATAATTTGGTTATTTACCCAGTAGTCATTCAGTAGCAGGTGGTTCAGTTTCCATGAACTTGTGCAGTTTTGAGCGACTTTCTTAATCTGGAGTTCTAATTTGTTTGCACTGTGGTCTGAGAGACTGTCTGTTATGATTTCCATTCTTTTGCATTTGCTGAGGAGTGGTTTACCTCCACTTGTGTGGTCACTATTAAAATAAGTGTGATGTGGTTCTGAGAAGAATGTATATTCTCTTAATTTGGCTAGCATCATAATTACAGGATCAAAATCACACATAATGACATTAACCTTAAATGTAAATGGGCTAAATATCTCAACTAAAAGACAGGCTGGCAAATTGGATAGAGTCAAGACCCATCAATGTGCTGTATTCAGGAGACTCACCTCATGTACAAAGACACATACAAGCTCAAAATAAATGGATGAAGGAATATTTACCAAGCAAATGGAAAGCAAAAAAAAAAAAAAAAGAAAGAAAGAAAAAGCAGGGGTTGCAATTTAGTGTCTGATAAAACAGTCTTTAAACCAAGAAAGATCAAAAAAGGCATATAAAGGTATCAATGCAACAAGAAGAACTAACTATCCTAAATATATATGCACTCCATACAGGAACATCCAAATTCATAAATCCGAATTCATTCATCCAAATTCATAAAGCAAGTTCTCAGAGACCTACAAAGAGACTTACAGATTCACACAATAATAGTGGGAGACTTTAACACCCTACTGTCAATATTATGCAGATCAATGAGACAGATTGATGAAATTTTGTATTCGTAAGGATATACAAAACTTGAACTCAGCCCTGGACCAAGCAGACCTAATAGAAATCTACAGAACTCTCGACACATATCAATGAAAGGTGCTTTTTAAAAATTATGTGTTATATATTTTTGGGAATACATGTAACATTTTTGATACACATATACGATATGTACTAAATGAATTGTGATAAATGAGATATACCTCACCTCAAACCATTAGTTCTTTGTGCTAAAACACTGCAATTCTTCTAGCTACTTTAAACATTCTATTAGTTGTGTTTCCCTATAAGCTTTCTATTGTATTGTGGAATACTGAAACTTATTTATTGAATGTAACTGCATTTCTGTACCCATTTACCAACTTCTTTTATTGTTGCTTTCTCCTATCATTTCCAGGCTCTGGTAACCCGCATTCTTTCCTCTAGTTTTTTGCTTCCAAATATGAGTGAGAACATGTGGTCTTTCTGTGTCTGGCTTATTTCACTTAACATAAAGACATTCACTTCCACCCATTTTGCTGTAAGTGACAGAATTTCTCTTTCACATTTCTGAATAAGATTCCACTGTGAATATATGCCACACATTTTATCAACTATTTTATAGATCAACACAAGTTGATTTTATATCATGGCAACTGTGTATATTGCTGTCATGAATATAAGAATGCAGCTATCTCATCAATCTGCTGATTTTCTTTTTAAAATGTTTATACATACAAGCAACTGCTACATCATGTGTTAGTTAACTATTTCCAGGTTCTTAAATACATTCCATAAGTTGACCATAGTGGGTGTGCTGCTTAACCTTCTCAGAAATACACACACACACTCACACAAAATATATATTTTACATACTTATTATATAATGTATTATATAATTCATATATATGCATTCCATTTTATCTGCATCCTCATAAAAATTGGTATTTTGTGTCTTTTTTCTAACAGCTACGTCAAGTAAAATTAACACTACTGAGGCAGAAATAATTTTATAAAGCCTTATTGAAAGCCGAACGTGATGAGTGACCTCTGAAAGAAAATTGTAAGAGTACCGGAGGCTACTAGAAATCAAAAGGTTTTTATGGTAACGTTTAAAATGCTGGAGAGGTCTTTTCATACAAGAGTAATTCTCCTTTCATTGACAGGTACAATACAGGGGTTACAAATAATACCTATAGATTGCGACATACAGACTAAGAAATATCTCTGTGCAGGTCCGTCTGTAAAAGTTCACAGTTCAACTAATTTGAATTTAAATCAGCATTCTATTCAGTGCCTGCATCTTATACTTTAATCAATACTTATATTGATTAAATATAATTTATAATTCAGGACAATTTAGGGCAATACATAATTCAGAGCAATTCTAATAACAGGTACTGCCTCAGCCAAAAATTTAAAAATGTGTGGTGAGCTGCAATGGATATTAGAGTGTCTTCAGATGCCTGACCGATGGCAGCTGACAGGTTTTGAATTGTATTCCTATTGTCACACTTCTGTCCTTGGATTTCATATTCTTCAAATATTTTGATTGTGTTGTCACCACACACTACTAACCAAGTACTCTTAGTTCTGTAATGGTAAGGAAATGTGGGTCTTTCCATATTGTTATGCAAGAAAAAAGAGGTTATAAAATGCCCCATCAAGCATAAGCCTTCTATCTGCTAGAGATTAAGGTATAAATATGTCCATCGTTTTTTAGGAAGATCATTCCGTATGCTACATAAAAACAAAAACCAGGGGTAGCACTGGTGATTCCTTCTAAGGTACCTTCATCAATAAATTCATCCTGAGAAGTGCTGGCAATGGCAAGTTAAACGGCTTTGTCCAGGGCAAGCCTTCCAGCATCAATTTTCACAACAGCCTGTTGATTTATATTGTTCACATAGTAGAGACATATTATATTTTTATTTTCTTTAACATCTTTTGTTAACCCATTACCACAAAGATTTAGAAGGTCACAGGGTGTAGCCTGGGTTACGACTAAAACCAAGGTTAACAAGAAATAAAAGATTAAAATGAGGAGATGGCAGTATCCCCATTATTAAGTAGTTGGACCTGAAAGACAATCAAGAAGGAGGTTGCTTTTAAATAACTGGTGACCTTAACTGTGATATTTCCACTGGTGTATATTTTACATAAATGAATCAAGGAATCACCTGGTGAATCCAACAATAAGGCAGGTTTTATCAAGTAGTAACATGTTGGAGTACTTTATCCCAAATATGACTATGTCATTATACACATTAAGACAGAGTAACAACTCTATGGAAGTAAATAAATGTCATATGCAAATCAGACATTTAATGTAACAATTGTGTAAAGTTCAAAGGAGCAATTATTTTTCAAAGCAGCAGCAATAGTCCAAAATTTTTGCAAGCTTTTGTATAGAAATCTAGCATACCAATAATCCTCGATTGAGAGAGTAAACTCAAAAGATTTAGCCTTTTTAAAATGAGAAACATGAATCTGTACATTTTAACTGTGCAGCACAAAGGTTGGTATGGAGTAACCCTCATCCCTTTTCAACGCAGATGGTTGGAATTCTTAACAAGATATGATTTTCAGTACAGAGTGTCAATGGTTTGTAAGTTGTAAATTTTTAAATCTTTTTCTCCTGGAAATGAACTGTAGAAAAAAAACATTTCCAGCCAGCTATTATCTTCAAGAAATGTAAGAAGGAATTTATAATAATGCAGAATTTCACCTTTGTGTCCTGTTTGAATTGAAACTAGGGTTTTATAATAACAGCATCATAATAATTGATATAGTTAACATATTTCATTTGAAATAAATTCATATGGAGACTTTTTTTTCCAGAAAAAAATCATAATATAAAATATGCTTGTGGTATCTATAATATACATAAAAACCAAACAACTAAAAAGCCTCAAACAAATAATTCCATTAAAAAGAAGGTGAATACATGTTTTTATAAAGAAGACATACGAATGGTCACTGGGGATGTAAATTAATGCTTAACATTAGTAAATATTAGATAAATAAAAACTCAAATCCCAATGAGATATCATCTTACTCTAGTGCAAATAGTTGATATTATAAAGACAAGAAAATAACATACACTGGTGATAATGTGTAGAACTCTCATATACTGCTGATGGGAATGTGAATAATTAAAACTACTATAAAAATAAGGAAATTTCTTAAGAATTAAAAATACAAGTACCATGTGATATAGCAACCACACTACTGGGCATTTCTCCAAGGGGAAAAAAAGTTAGTTTATTGAAGAAATACCTGTATTCTCTTGTTAACTGCAGCACTATTTATGATACTGCAGACAGGAAAGCAACCTATCAGCAGGTGAACAGACAAAGAAAAAGTGGAATATATGTGCAATATTAATATTATTCAACAATGTTATTCAGTCATCAAAACAATAAAATTCTGTCCCATTCAGTCACATAGACAGACTGGTGTTATAATGTTAAATGACATAAGCTAGTCACAGAAAGACAGATTCAGAATTTTCTCACTCATATAGGAAAATTAAAATCAGTTCTAATGAAGACAACAGAATGGATTGATTTATGACTTCTAGACAAAAATGTGAAGACAAAATCTTTAAAAAACATATGGGATAGCATTAAAACATTACTCAGAGAGTAGTTTATAGCAGTAAATACCCTTATCAGTTAAAATAAAATTATAGTAGAGGAAACTAAAAGGAAAATAACAAAGTAAATAAAAATTTGTGAAAAAATTAAAGTTCAGAGCAGGTACAAATAAATAGAGATTAAAAATTACAAAGCTACAAAAAAAAGGGTTGGCTTTTAAAGATGTAAATAATTGATAATTACCTGACTGACTAAAAGACAGAAGCCAAAACTTACAGAAACAGAAAATAAGACATTATAAGTGTTACCACAGAAATAAAAAATATTATGACACTATTGTGAACAACTATACATAAACTAAAAAATCTAGAATAAATTTATGAGTTACTGAAGCACACGACCTACCAAGATTAACTTATAAATAATTACAAAACTTATATAGATCAATAATGAGAACCAAAGGTGAATTTATAATAGTCTTCTATCAATTAAAAGTTTAGGCCCTGATTGTATTATTGCAGAACTCTGCCAAATATATAAAATACATATGAACCTACAAAAGACTTCATAACACCTAGGTGATATATGGATATATCTCAATGCTGAAGGCATCACAGTAGTCAACTTAAAAATATAAGATAAAGCAATAGTTAAAAAATTAGTAATAATCATAGTGTTCCCAGATCAAACTGAGGGTCAAGCTGCTATTTCTCATGGCCCAATAACGAGATACAGATGGAAGGAAGAGAGTTTTTATTTCAGCAACGGGTTACAAGGAGAAGGCCTGAAAATTATCAGCAGACCAACTCAAAGTTACAAAGTTGTCCAGAGCTTATATACTTTCTAAATTATATGGCTATGTGTAAGTATGCAATCATCTAAAAACATAAATGATTAACTTCTTTTAATCTATAACGTAAGTTCTAAGTCCTGAAGACCTTCCTCTGGAGTCTCAGTAAATTTAATCAATCTAAATGGGTCCATGCGTTGGGGTGATTACTCTTATCTTGTCTCCTGCTAAATCATGGAGGTTTGGGGAGTTCTTCCAGACCTCCAATAAACTTGTTTTATCCTAAATAGATAGTTAAGAATTTCTTCAGTAGTTTTTCATGTGTTAGGGCCCGGAAAAAGCCAACACAAAATGCATGGTGGGCTTTCGTCACATTCCAGCTTTTGAATAAGAGTACTGGCTTATATTGGGCTTATAATATTTAACTGAACCACTCAGCCAGTAGTGAAACAGTTGTTATGTGGTCATCTTATGTTAGTGAGAGCCAGCCTGCCGCAGTAGCACTGGAATAAAAGCAATCATGTACACAAGTGGAGCAAAACAGGAGCTCAGAAATAAATCCATGCATCTACCATCAACTGATTTTTCACAAGGGATTTGAGAAAAGGAGAACATCAAACTGTCTTAAGAAAAAAATAGTACCTTCAATGCAATGTGTGGGAAAACTGGATATTCACATATAGAAGCAGAAAACTACACTTCTATTTTAAGTAATGTTCAAAGGTCAGCTCAAAATGAATTAAGGATTAATATGACATAAAAAACTATAAAACTAGTCAAAAAAGGCAAAAGAAATTTTTTTATAATGATTTTCTGGGCAGACTTTTTGGATGACATCTGAAAAACCCAGAAAACCAATGAAGAAAATAAACAAATGTGATTACATCCAACTAAGAAGATTGTGCACAACTGAAGATACAACAAATAAAGTGA
The DNA here is from genome assembly GCF_000001405.40 of Homo sapiens. NCBI lineage: Eukaryota > Metazoa > Chordata > Mammalia > Primates > Hominidae > Homo > Homo sapiens. Next base: position 21,207,812 of record NC_000024.10, read on the forward strand.
AGAGAAAACCTAACAAACATTTAACGTATTTGAAAACTATGCATCTGGTAAGGGGTTAATACTAAGAACAAATAAGACATATAATTCAACAGCTGAACAAACAAACAAACAAAAAACACTAATTTAAAATGTTCAAAAGATGTAAACAGACAAACAGACTTTTCTCTGAAAATGACACAGATACTTCAAACAAATATATAAGAGAAATGCCACGAAAATCCATAAGGAAATATATCAAGTCACTTTAGTTGAGTGAATCTATTAGAAATATGGTGGATATTACTTTAAAAAAAAAGAATAAGTACTGCCAGTAACATCAGGAAAAGGAAGGTGTGGAAACTGCACAAAACACACTCTTGGGGGGAATGTAAATTAGTAGAACCAGTACAAAACACATTACATAGATTTCTCAAATAATTCACCTGAAAATTACCACAAGGATGAGTGGGGCCAGGATGGGTGACTAGAAACAGCAGTGTTCAGAGGCTCCCATTGATAACAAAGCATAAAAGGCATGTGAACACTTCACTGGCAACTTGGTATCCATGTTCACTTTATAGAACTGACCAGGAGGATGGTGCGACCCAGGGAGAAAAGGAAGAACAGCGTGGTGCAGTGTCCCACCTGAGAGGCACATGGGGTATGGGAGCCAACTCCCTCAGCCAAGGGAGGAGGTCAGTGAGGCTGTGACCCAGCTGGGAAATCGTGCTATTTCTACAGAACTGTGAAACCCACAGATCAGAAGATCCCATCCGCAAACCCACACCACGAGGGCCTAGCATCACCGCCCCAGAATGCACCTACTCTTAATGGTGTCTCAGCTGGGATCTGCTTAAACCTACTGAACTCCCAGTGGCGAGGAGCGACCAGTGCCATGGCTGAAATTGCCTGCTATCTAAGCCACTTTAGCTCCAGGGGGAAAGGTCAGCAGGCAGCACTAGGACTCATAACTGCCTAACTTGCTAAGCTCCCTGGGAAGAGGAAGAACAGCACCCATCTCTAGAGTTCCAGGCTGTGCTTTTACCCTGCTGGAGCAAGGGAGGCTGGAGGGCTTGATCCCAAGACTTGTGACCCACTGCCCAAGACATTAGCTGTGGCATTCTGTGACCAGAGTGCCTCTTCAGGCCTGACCCTGACACATCTTTCTTCACTGGGTGGGGCTTCCCTCAGGAATTCCAATAACTAGCCAGAGTTTCAGAGACAAAACACAAATCACCCTGGGCCTGCACCCATAGGGGAGAGGTAGCCACAGTCTCTGCAAACCAGAAGAGACTGGTCAGTTCTGAGGAATCCAGGCAGCCCAGATGAGTGGGTTTTCCCCCCAGGAAGGCATACCCCCTCCACCAAAAAACAAAGAGCTTTGTTAAATGCATTCTATTTCCCATGTCGCCCAACTGGGTGAGAGTCTCCAACAGGGATTTTCAACACCCAAATAGCAGCAATCCTACTAGCATCTGGTTGGTGTCCCTTGAGGTCAGAGGTCCCAGAAGAATTGGCAGGCACCCACTTTGCTCTGTCAAGTCAGGTTCATCCCTGAGTTGCAAAGCTGGTTGAACATACACAAACCCATAAATGTAGTCCATCAAATAAACAGAATCAAAGACAAAAACCACATGATTATCTGAATAGATGAAGAAAAAGCCATTGATAAAATTCAACATTGCTTCATAATAAAAACTCTCAGTAAAATAGGTATTGATGGAACATAACTCAAGATAATAACAGCTATTTATGACAAACCCACAGCCAATATCATACTAAATGGGCAAAAGCTGGAAGCATTCCTGTTGAAAAGTGGTATGAGAAAAGGATGACTCTGTCACCATTTATATTTAACATAGTATTGGAAGTTCTGGTTAGGGCAATCAGGCAAAAGAAAGAAATAAAGGGTATTCAATTAGGAAGAGAGGAAGTGAAATTGTCTCTGCAAATGGCATGATTGTATGCTTCACTTGACTAGTCTTAAAAAATAAATAAAAATAAAACTATATACATATGCATATAAAAGACAAATACAATAGATGAAACCAAAACCATACTGAATAAAATATGGCACAAAGATAGAAAAAAGAAAATCCCATGATCTCAGCCCCAAAATTTCTCAAAATAATAAGTAACTTCAGCAAGCTGACAAGATACAAAATCAGTATTCAAAAATTACAAGCATTTTTTCACACCAACGATAGACAAGCAAGGAGCCAAATCATGAATGAACTCCAATTCACAAATGCAACAAAGAGAACAAAATACCTAGGAATACAGCTAGCAAGAAGTGTGAATGACCTCCTCAAGGAGAACTACAAACCGCTGCTCAAGGAAATAATAGAGGACACAAAAAAATGGAAAGCATTCCATGCTCATGGATAGATAGAATTAATATTGTGAAAATAGCCATACTACCCAAAGCAATTTACAGATTTAATGATCCTATCAAACTACTCTTGACATTATTCACAGAATCAAAGAAACCTATTTTAAATTTTATATGGAATCAAAGAAGACCCTGGATAGTCAGGACAATCTTTTTTTTTTTTTATATATGGAGTCTCTCTTTGTCCCCCAGGCTGGAGTGAAGTGGTGTGATTTTGGCTCACTGCAAGCTCCACCTCCCAGGTGTATGCCATTCTCCTCCCTCAGCCTCTTGAGTAGCTGGGACTACAGGCATTTGCCACCATGCCTGGCTAATTTTTTGTATTTTTAGTAGAGACGGGTTTTCACTGTGTTAGCCAGGATGGTCTCAATCTCCTGACCTGGTGATCTGCCCACCTCAGTCTCCCAAAATTCTGGGATTACCGGCATCAGCCACCATGCCTGGCCAGTCAGGACAAACTTAAGCAAAAGGAACAAAACTGGAGTCATCATGGTACCTGACTTCAAACTATACTAAAAGGCAACAGTAACCAAAACAGCATGGCAATTACACCAAAACAGACATATAGACCAATGGAGTAGGACAGAAACCTCAGAAATAACACCACACAACTACAACCATCTGATCTTTGAAGACAAACCTGACAAAAGCAAGCAATGGGGAAAGGATATCCTATTCAGTAAAGGGTGCTGGGAAAACTGGCTAGCCATACACAGAAAACTAAAACTTGACCTTTTCCTTGTAACTTATACAAAAATTAACTCTATATGGATTAAAGACTTAAATGTAAAACCCAAAACCATAAAAACCCTAGAAGAAAACCTAGGCAATACCATTCAAGACACAGGCATTAGCAAATGCTTCATTAAAAAAGCCAAAAATAATTGCCACAAAAGCCAAAATTGACAAATGGGGTCTAATTAAACTATAGAGCTTCTGAACAGCAAAACAAACTATCATCAGATTGAACAGGTAATGTACAGAATGGGAGAAAATGTTTGCAATCTATCAATCTGACAAAGACCTAATATCCAGAATCTACAAGGAACTTGAAGAAATTTACAAAAATAAAAAATAAAAATAAAAAAACACACCTCCATCAAAAAGTAGGCAAAGAATATAAACAGACACTTCTAAAAAGAAGATATTTACACAGTCAACAAACATATGGAAAAAAGCTCAACATCACTAATCATCAGAGAAATTTAAATCAAAACCACAATGAAATACCATCTCACACCAGTCAGAATGGTGATTATTAAAGGGTCAGGAAACAATGGGTACCAATCTGTCTGTGGAGAAAGAGGAATGTTCTTATACTGTTGGTGGGAATGTAAATTAGTTCTACCACTGTGGATTACAGTATGGTAATTCCTCAAGGATTTAGAACCAACAATATGATTTGACCCAGCAATCCCATTACCAGGTATACACTCAAAAGAATATAAATTATTCTAGTATAAAGACACATGCACACATATGTTTAATGCAGCACTAAGTACCATAGCAAAGACATGGAACCAACAATGCCCATCAATGATACAATGGATAATGAAAATGTGGTAGAAATACACTGTGGAATACTATGCAACCATAAAAAGGAATGAGATTATATCCTTTGCAGGGACATGAATGAAGCTGGGAGCCATCATCCACAACAAACTAAGATAGGGACAGATAACCAAATACCACATGTTCTCACTCTTAAGTGGGAGTTGAACAATGAGAACACATAGACTTGGAGAGGGAAACAACACGTGGTCAGTAAAGAATGTCACATTCTAACAGATCCAAGATCTCTAAGTTTATCTTGTGACCTTAAGAGAAGAGGATTATCTAACTCACAGGTATTTGAGAATAAACCTAAAACTGTCCTTGGCTTTAAAAGGTCTTATCTGAGATTGCTTGTGGAACAGACTTTCATCAAAACCAATCCAAAATCCTTACGTAGGAATAGGTATTATTGCAGCACTCTATGCAAATTATCAGGCCAAGTATAAGGCTAAAGTCTATTTTGCAAAACACTCAGTCTTAAAATTTTGTTTAACAAAAACAAGGAGTTGATAGAGGGAAATAATGTTTCAAAACTTATTTTACATTTGTCATTAATTTCAAAATTTATTAGTTGTTTTTTAAGTTTTCACCTATACTTTTGACTAACCCTGCTTGTTCCTGTGAATCTACCAGCTCTGGCTCTGGCTGCAGCTCATAAAGAACAAGAGAAATAGATAATGTAAAAATCTACATCAATATCCTAGTTCTGAGCAATTATCCTGAAAATCTTGCCAGGTTATGGGAATAAATAGAATACTTATCAATCAGAGGTTTCCTTTTGGGAAAGTAACATTGAAGGAGCTAATTGAGGCTAAGCACTATGCACCCAAATCCTAGAAAGCATAACTATCGCCATCAGTTATTTGGGTGTGCCACAAGACATCTGTTTCTCTCCCTTGTTGGAGGAGAACTGAGTTCCATAGTTTCACCTTAGCATTCGGCTTATGATAAGGAGTCTTTGAGATACCTCCCCAACTCCCTGCTGACACATTTTTTCCCAATCTCAATTCCAAGCTTTGGATTAAAGCACTAGGGGAAAAAAATGGACCTGAGCAATCCTAAGGCAGATGAAAACACAGGTTAAAAGGCACAGCACAGGTAAATGTGGGTTATTCCTGATAATTAAGCCAACCCCAAGCTTCCTGTTTCATGGATAAAGGCCATATTAGTATCCATGGGATAAATGAGGTCTAGGGTATCCAAGGTTACTGAAAGCCAAGAAGATAGAGTGTACATGGGTAAGAGTGGATAATTCTCACCTCCTAGGATCCTCTGCTTCATGGGTGCAAGCCACTTTAATACCCATGGCAGTGCCTGCCAAGGTCATTGGAACTTGGAAATACAAGAAAGAATGAGGGAAAGAGGATGCTATTCCATCTCTCCCTCGTGTACCTCAGGTATCTGCTAGGAAGAGAAGGAAACCAGGGATGCCTGATTCCCTCTTTCTACAACGGTATCAGTTCATCTTCAGTCTGTACCCCTTTTGAATGCATCCTGAACTTCTGAGACTCCTTTAAAATATCCCTTCTCTTTTACTTTCTCCTCCCCAGCTCACTCTTCATGGTTAAATAATTGTGTCTCTGCAATACAAGTCACTCACCTCAGAGGCCTTTTCCAAACTGAAAAGAGAAAATTTCTCAAACGTTAAATGGTTGGCTTAAAATTGAGCTCAGGGGAAGGAAACCCTGAAGCCCTACAGGCTGGCAAAATGGTAAAGTTTTTCTAGTTAGTCAGGTTTTTGACCTCCCTTTGATGCAAACTGCTAAAATGCTTTGAAACTTTTGAGCACTTCTAAGCCCTCCCTTTGTTTCATTTTCATACATGTTTTCTAACAACCTGATTTGTTTGTTCTTGCCTTCAGACTGTAAAACTCTAAATGGTAATTCAGCTGAAGCCTCTGATGATGGCCCTTTATGTTCCTCCTCTAGGGACTCTTAAATAGGCCTCTGAGAGGGGTCTGACTGCCATTTCCCCAAAACAGTATCCTCCATCAGTAGGAAGGAGTTAAGTTTAGTCTTTGTCTGTATTCTTATTTTTATATTAACAGAAGTTAGATGTACTTCTTTAGTACAAAGAATTAGATAGCCAGGTGAAAGGGGTTCTCCAGAGAATCTCCAACCAGCCTGCACACTAGAAGGAATGAACACTGTGATGAGCCTCAGGAACTGTTGCAGAAATTAGAGAATCAGAGAGACCAAATGGGTGTTATAGTAGGATTTGTATTAAGGTGTACACAGGCTCAGTGGATTCGCATCCAAAAAGCTGAGCCTAGAACAAAGACACGGCTTGATTTTTATAAGCAAGCTTACAGAAGCAGAACAAAGACAGTTAATTAAACAGTGACAGGTCTCATAATCTCTACTGTAGCTTGTAACCTTGCATCTGCATCTAAGGAGAAACAGGAACTTACAAAACTTGCAAAATATTTATGGGGAGGGGATAAAGGGCTAAAAGAGGAATTTTGTTTTACTTATCCTTATGATGGGGAGTGCTAGGGAGAGTCTCTGGAGCACATTTCTTTTGGCTCCTGACCTCTTAGATAGTGTTACCAGGACCTCGCCTGGGCCTGGGCTGTGTCTGTTACTGCTTTTTGGCATGAGATAGCCTAATACAGAAAAATTTGTTTTTTTCTTTTAGTTTAATTTTATTTTCATTTCTTTCTTTAATTTTATGCCTCAGAACATTGTACCATTTGCAGTAGCAATGAGCCTGGCTCCTCCTCTTATTGTGTGGAAGTAGGGAAACAGGCAGGCAGGAAGCCCACTAGTAGGAACTCTGGCCTTGCAGGAGTCACTGTTTCTCCCTTTTCTTCCCTTTTACCCAATAAAACCCTGTGTCTGTCTTATCATTTAAATTGTCTGTTAGCTGAAATTTTCATAGCTGCAGGACAAATAACCCTGTTTTTAGTTGAATAAGGGAATGTCCTGCAACACTGCGGGCTAAAAAGAGTATGAATCATAGGGATAGAAAGAGATTAGTCAATGGATACAAAAAAATGCAGTTAGATGGAAGAAATATGTCACAGCAGGGTCACTGTGTTTAGTAATAATGCATCGTAGGCTGGCAAGGTGGCTCATGTCTGTAATTCCAGCACTTTGGGAGGCTGAGGCAGGAGAATCACAAGGTCAGGAGTTTGAGACCAGCCTGGCCAACATGGGGAAACCTTGTCTCTACTAAAAATACAAAAAATTAGCTGGGCATAGTGGTGGGCACTTGTTATCCGGCTGCTCAGGAGGCTGAGGTAAGAGAATCACTTGAACCTGGGAGTCAGAGGTTGCAGTGAGCTAAGATTGCACTATTGCACTCCAGCCCAGGTGACTGAGTGAAACTCCATCTCAAATAATAATAATAATAAACAATAAACAATAAAAATAATAATGCATTGTATATTTCAATGTAGAAGAGAAAATTTCTAGGGTTCTCATCACAAATTATCAACCTTAGAGGTGATGGATAAATACCTTTATTTGATATATGTATGCATGTATAGAATAACATGGTCTTCGATATATAAGTGTGCATTTATTATATGTCAATGGAAAATATAATAAAATTTAAAATGTAAAAAGTAACATAGTGAAAGAAATAGATGGAGAGGCAAGAAAAAATGCAAAACAGGCCAGGCACGATGGCTGACTCTTGTAATCCCAGCACTTTAGGAGGCTGAGGCGGGTGGATCACGAGGTCAGGGGATCAAGGCCATCCTGGCTAACACGGTGAAACCCCATCTCTACTAAAAATACAAAAAATTAGCCAGGCGTGGTGGCGGGCACCTGTAGTCTCAGCTACTCCAGAGGCTGAGGCAGGGGAATAGTGTGAACCTGGGGTCGGAGCTTGCAGTGAGCCAAGATTGTGCCACTGCACTCCAGCCTGGGAGACAGAGCCAGACTCTGCCAAAAAAATTAAAAAAATAAAAAAAAAGAAAAGAAATAATGAAAAACAACACAGACACTTATGAATGTATATACATGCAAATTCAGAAAAAAAATAAAATGTACCAGAGACATAAAGACAAATAAAGCTAAGAGAAGATGGCACAAACTCACACTGAGTACATAAAGAAAGCTGGGGGTCACTCCCTCTCCTCTTTTGAGTGCCTGTTTATTCGAAAATAGTGTCCTGATTATGATACCTCTGCTGCCAGGAGGCCAAGGTGGGTGGATCACCTGAGGTGGGAAGTTCAAGACTAGCCTGACCAACATGGTGAAACCCCCTCTTTACTAAAAATACAAAATTAGCCAAGTATTGTGATGCATACCTGTAATCCTAGCTACTTGGGAGGCTGAGGAAGGAGATTCACTTGAACCCACGAGGCGGAAGTTGCAATGAGCTGAGATCACGCTATTGCACTCTAGCCTGGGCAACAAGAGCAAACCTTCATCTAAAAACAAAACAAAACAAAACAAACAACAACAACAAAAATGAGAAAATAGTGTCCTGAGACCCAGTAAACTGGCACAAGGGGCTCCACCAGCTGTGCTTCTTATCTTTACTCTTTATCACTTCTCTTCTCCACCCATTTGTTTTTCCTACTGGTGCTTTATTTCTGAGATACTACTGCAAGAGACTGAGCTGCATGTTATTACTGTTAAGCTGCTGGAGAAAACGACACTGTTGAGATTAATGTTCATCCCTCATGAACTTTTACAATTGAAACAATTGAAAAATCCACCAAAATCATATCTACTGATGCCCATTATGCATCCCTTCAGTAGTTGTCTTGCTATATCCTGTGATAGTGAGGTCAGACCACTAGTTAAATAAGTTAAGACAAGTAGTGATGTTTCTGTAGATCAAACCTCTGTTCATATTGCAGCCCTTTTGAATTTACATAGAATAATACCATACATATCTTGGAGAAAAAGAAGAATAGAGGGAAAAGTCTGGATTACTTTGGCTCTTACCTCAACCATGTTCTCCTCAGTGTTACTTCTTATTAGTGAAGATAATCTTGAGTGTCCATTCTACAACTTCTCTCTCTCCATCTTTCTCTGTCTCTATCTTTCTCTCTCTCTCTGTATACATATATGCAAACATTTAGGTTGATAATATCTCAACTTTTCTGATTAAAGCTGGGATGAACATGATGGTGTAAGTATCTCTTTAATATACGTTTTTCTTTTTCTTGAATAATGAGGTTGCTGGATCATACAGTAGGTTTTATATTTGTTTGTTCACCTTGTGAGAAACCTCCATACTATTCTCCATAATGGCCAGCTCAGACGCAGTAGAATAGGCTACCTAAGGTTTTTTTATTTATTTTTATTTTTATTTTTGAGATGGAGTCTTGCTCTGTTGCCCAGGCTGGAGTGCAATGGTGCAATCTCAGCTCGCTGCCACTTCTGTCTCCTGGGGTCATACCATTCTCCTGACTCACTCTCCTGAGTTGCCGGGATTACAGGCACACCCCACAATGCCTGGCTGTTTGTTTGTTTGTTTGTTTTTGTATTTTTAGTAGAAACGGGGTTTCACCATGTTAGCCTGGTTGGCCTCAATTTCCTGACCTCGTGATCCGCCCACCTCAGTCTCACAAAGCGCTGGGATTACAGGAGTGAGCCACTGCTCCTGGCCAGTGAAGTTCTCTACTCTAGTCCCTAGTTCTCATTTCATCTCTGGATCTGTCCATGACCTAGGGGAAATTTCTGCCCTCAGTGGAAGGAAAAAAATCTGGTTGTCTTTATAACTTGTTTATGTAGAGCCATAGGTTCTTTAGCAAACATAGGCAGTAAATGGTTAATAATTAGACCTGGTTTTGTGCAAGACCTAGTGCTGTCCTGGCTTCATGTCTGTCCCACAGTGGAGTCCCGGGGTGGTGGACACAGGGGTGTTATTTTTACAGAGAAGGGGAGAGGGAGGGGGAGTGGGAGAGGGAAGAGGGAGAGGGAGAGGGAGACGGAGTGGGAGATTTGTTTGGAAAAAAGCAGGGGAAGAGGACTAAAGCATCTGCCTGCTAATTTATAAAGTTCTTCTAGACCTCATTTAAGACCATTCATCTATGTGGTGCTTTTTACACATCTATAAGAATCACAACATTACTGGGCTTAGGAAGCTCCCTAATGCAGATAAGGTTTAGATAGTAACACCAAAGTTTTTTTCAAATATCTGTAAGCCTTCCCCTGTGCTGGTATAAGCAAGCTCAGACTGTGAAGACAACAATAACTCTTCAATGCCCAGAAACCAATGAACATCAACAACCAGCAAGACCACCAAGGAAAAATTGACTGTCCCAGACAAACTCAGCACGACATTAGGGATCAATCCTGAAGAAACAAAGATATGTGGTCCTTCAGACTTAGAATTCAAAATAGTTCTGTTTGGAAGATAACACAGAAAAGAAATTCAAGATAAATTCAGCATAGCACAGAGAAGGATGACAGAATTTGAGAAAACACTGAGAAGAAATACAGAATTTTATCAATTTGAAATTAAAATGTTAAAATTCATCATTTTACAAAATAATTTACATAACTAAAAAGAGCCAAGCAGCATTTTAGAAGGTAAAGTATAATTCAAAAACAGAAAAATGCACTGTCTTTTATTTATTTATTTATGTATTTATTTATGTATTTATTTATTTCTGAGAAGCAATCTCACTCTGTTGCCCAGGCTGCCATGCAATGGCACAATCTAGGTTCATTGCAAACTCTGCCTCCTGGGTTCAAGCAATTCTTCTGCCTCAGCCTCCCAAGTAGCCGGAGTTACAGCCATGCACCACCATTCCTAGTTAATTTTTGCACTTACTTAGAGCCAGAATTTCACTGTATTGGCCAGGCTGGTCTCTAACTCCTGACCTCATGATCCACCCACCTCAGCCTCCCAAAGTGCTAGGATTACACACATGAACCACTGCACCTGAATACATCTGTGTCTTTTGTAGAATAACTGATCAAGCAGGAGAAAAAAGTAGTGAGCTTGAAGACAGATTATTTGAATACAGTCAGAGGAGACAAAAAAAAAAAAAGAAATTAAAGAAATTTAAAAAAAGAATAAAGTATTCCTACAGGATCTAGGAAGTAACCTCAAGGGGAAAACTGAGAATAATTGGCCCTAAAAAAAGGCAGAGAGTGAGAGAGAGCTAAAACTTTATTCAAAATCATAACAGTAGAGAACTTTTCAAACCTATAGGAAGATATTTGTTTCCAAGTTCAAGAAAGTTGTATAGAACACCAAGGAGATTTAAACCATAGAAGGCTACTTCAAGGCATTTAATAAATAAAGTATCAAATAAAGTATAATAAATAAAGTATCAAAGAACCAACTTTAGTAAAGTTGGAGGATATGAAATCAACCTACAAAAAAAGTAACATTTATATATGTCAATGGCAAACTGTCTAAAAAAAAATCAAGAAAGTAATCTCATTTACAGTAGCTACAAATAAAACACCTAGAAACTAATTTAAGCAAAGAAGTGAAAGATCTGAAAACTATAAAAAATTGATGCAAGAAATTGAAGAGGACACAATAACTAGAAAGATATTCTATGTTCATAAATTGGAATAATTAATACTGTTAAAATATTTATACTACCAAAATCAGGTTTAATGAAACCTTCATAAAAACACCAATGACTTGCTTCATAAAAATAAACAAAGAAACAAATTAGTATGGAACCACAATGACCCAGAATAGCCAAATCTGTTTTAAGCAAAATGATCAAAGCTGGAGGAATTACATTACCTGATTTCAAATTATTCTATAAAATGATAGTAAAAAATTAAAACATAAAAAGCTACATGCTACTGCCATAAAAACAAACACATTGACCAGTGGAACATGTTAGACAATGCAGAAAAGAATTTATACATCTACAGGGTACTCATTTTTAACAAAGTTCCCAAGAACATACACTGGAGAAAAGACAGTCTGTTCAATAAATGTTTCTGGGTAAACCAAATATCCATATGCAGAAGAATGAGAATTAAATCAATATGGAGTAAAGACTTAAGATGTAAGACCTCAGATTATAAAATGGCTAGAAGAAAACATTGAAAACAAGGCCCTCAGGACATTGGTCTGGGCAAATATTTCTTGACCAAAACTCCACAAAAAAAATTTCTTTACCAAAACCAAAGCAAAAATAAAAAGTGAGATCAAAACAAATTAGAAAGCTTCTGCATAAAGGTGGGCAGATCACGAGGTCAGGAGATCAAGACCATCCTGGCTAACATGGTGAAACCCCGTCTCTACTAAAAAATACAAAAAAATTAGCCAGACCTGGTGGTGGGCAGCTGTAGTCCCAGCTACTCGGGAGGCTGAGGCAGAAGAATGGCATGAACCCAGGAGGTGGAGTTTGCAGTGAGCTGAGATTGTGCCACTGCACTCTAGCCTGGGTGACAGAGTGAGACTCCATCTCAAAAAATAAAAGCTTCTGCATAATAAAGACAACAATCAACAAAATGAAAAGACAACCCACAGAACGGAAGAACATTTTGCAACCTACTTATCTAACAAAGGAGTAATGATCAGAATATATGTTTATATATATCTGATGACTAATCAGAATACAGGAGCTCAGACAACTCTAAAAGAAAAAACTCATAATCCAATGGTAAAAAATGGACAAAAGAGCTGAATAGACACTTCTCAAAGGATGACATAAAAATTTCATACAAACAGGCATATTTTATCTGAGCATATATTCCACACTTTTCCCCCAAAACTGAAATCAGGTAATCAAAGAAATTATTTAACATAAATAAAAATACTTCTGAAGTAAGTAAAATGTATGAGACAAACAAATGTCCATTACCTAATAAATTTATAAATAAAATGTAGACGTTTCATACAATGCAACATTAATTAGTCATGAAATAAAGAGTGAATGGTATAACCCCTTGAAACACTGAAAATCTTATGCTACACAAACAAAAACAAGAAACATAAAGGCACACACTGTGAATTGTTAAATAAAATATTCTGAATAGTAAAATCTCTTTGTTTATGTCATCCAGTATAATACTATTTACTATTTATTGGACATAACTTGAGGTCCTTAATTTCTAGACATCAAAACTTCAAAGGACTATTTTTCCATGGAGTTTAACATTAAAATTAGTGAATAGTGAATTCATGTATTATGTGTATTTTTTATTGCAAACCATTCACATTGCTGTAGATCCTGAACTCATAAGTGAGGATCATGCAAATGTTGGCAGCAAGCCAGAAAACCACTCTGCAAGCAAACAAATACTCTGCAGAGAATGGAAATTCATACCACAATGCCAAATATCTAACCTCAGTCATCTTAGAATTATACATATATTGACACATTAATTCACATAGGATCTGGAACTTAAGTGATTGGTTGGTTGTTGATGAGTTGACCTGATTTGGGGAGAATTTGTCCTGGAATAATGAAGGGAATGGGGGTTAATATTTCTTCTTACCTGCTTGTTCTTCCCCAGCACCTTCAACTTTATTTTCCTCCTCTTCAGCTTTTCCTCTCCTTCTTCACCCTGACCTATTTCTTCTTTATCCTTTGCTTCTTTAGACACTTCCTTAGCAGCTTAGTCCTCTTCCCTGCCACCTCTTCCTCCTCCTCTTTATTATCTTTCTCCTCCTAGGCTTTTTCTTCAGAGGGGTACTAGTCTTTGCCTTCCTCAATCTTAGCACTCTCAATGGATTCCTCCACCATGATCTACTCCTCTTGCACATGGCTACTGTAGTAGGACAGGAAGGAGTGGGTGGACATCATGTAGGAGTTGGTATGTGAACCCCAGTAGGTGATAAACCAAAGACCAGGGGGTCTGGAAGCAGTGTGCTTCCCATGCTGCTGAAACTCAGCTGGGTCTCCTTGCCTTTGAAGGGTTTCCTCTGAGCTGCAGCCTCAATACAAAGAGCCATCTTCACCTGGAGGACTTGGTATTCATTTAGGTATCCAGATGTTTAACTTTGCCATCTTCAATTCATTTTCTAATTTGTGGATGATGGCCTGCACACTACTGATGTAGGTGTTCAACTTGTCCTTTGGCTCCTGCAGCTATATCTCCATTACTTCCTTCATGCCCTAGCATGCTTTGATCTCCAAGTTCTTGGTCTTGAGCAGGTAGTGGCTCTGAGACACCTTGTTTCTGGTGCCTTGCATGGCATAGACCCTCTTGACAGTGCTCTGGCTCAGCAGTCTAAAGGGCTCTTAAAGCACTCCTCTGCATGCTCTGCATGCTCTTGGCAGCCATCTTTCCCTACTGTGGGCAGATGACCTCCAGCAAAGAGGTGAGGTTGAGATTGGTGAACATGTTTATCTCTATGGAGATCTGCACATACTGGATCTGCCCCTGCAAGTGGATGGATCTCCTCTTAGTGAAATTTCTTCAGAAAGGCAATTTTGCCCATCAGGCTATCCAGGTGCTTTTCGCTCTGCTGTGGTGCAGCCTGGTCAGAACATTTGCAGGCTTCCATCCTGCTGCCCTCAGCCTGTTTGTAGGAAAATTTTGTATCAGGGTAATAAAAATATTTTTAAATTAGTAATTGCAGTGAAAAAACATTGTGAAACAATTAAAAACCCCCAAGTGTATGCTTTAAAATGATACAATGTAAATATATCATTATATAGGATATATAAATTATATAGATCATTACCATTTCAGTTAAAAGTTAAAATTTATGAGAGGAAATGTAGAAACTAGTGGGCATTATTCTTAAATGTGTCTAAGATAATACCAAAACTCTGTATTGCTGGGAAAACAGACTATATACAGAGTATTGGTATGGAGCAGTAGGGTATTGCTATGAAGCTACCTGAAAATATGGAAGCCACATAGGAATTAAATAACTAACATAGGTTAGAAGAGTGTGGAGGTCTCAGAAGATGATAAGGAAAAGTTTGGGACTTCCTAGAGTGTTACTAAATTGTTGTGACCAATGTGCTGATAGTGATAGGGAAAATGAAGTAGACACTGAGGAGATCATGCATGGAAATAAGGAGCTTATTGGGAAGCAGAGCAAATGTCATATTTGTTACACATTAGCAAGGTACCCTTGATAATGCATTGTACCCCTGCCCTAGGGATATGTGGAACTCTGAAGTTGAGTATGGTGACTTAGAGTCTGTGGTGGAAAAATTTAGGGTATGTGGTGAAAAAAATTTCTAAGCAGAAAGTGCTCCAGATGTCACCTGGATGCTTCTAACAACCTAAGCTCATATGCATGAGCAAACAGATGACATGAAACTGAAACTTATGTTAAAAAAAGTAATACAGCATAAAAGTTTGGAAAACTTGCAGCCTGCAAAGTGGTAGAAAAGCAAAGCTCTTTTTCAGAGAAGAAATTTAAGATGCTGCAGTAAAGCAAAAAGGAGCTAAGTGTTAGTATCCAAGACAATGGGGAAAAAACCTCTAAGATATTTCAGAGAGCCTCTTTTACCACAGACACAGAAGCTTAGCAAAGATAAATGGTTGTTTCATGGACCATATTCAAGGACTTTCAGCTCTGCACAACTTTGGGACACTGCTCCTTGAATGTGAGCACATTTCACACTCTTCAAATTCTCAGCAGAATTTGTTATTGAAAGTCTTTTGAATAAAACCCATTTTAACTAGATTGAGATGATATCTTATTGTAATTTTAATTTGGATTTTTCTGATAATTAATGATCTTGAGCACTTTTTGATATACCTGGTCACATTTGTATGTTTTCCTTTGAGAAATATGTTTTTCAAATATTTTGACCAAATTATAAGATTTTCCTATAAATTTTTTCCTATAGATTGTTTGAGATTTTTATTTATTGTGATTATTAATCCTTTGTCAGATGGGTAAGTTACAAATATTTCTTCTATTTCTGTGAATAATCTCTACACATTGTTGATTTTTAAATTTTTCCCCTGCAGAAACTTTTCAACTGCATGTTGATTCCAGACGTCCATTTCTGGTTAGGTTGCTTGTGCTTCTGGGGAATTGCTGAGGAAATCTTTGGTCAGGCAGGGTGGCTTATACCTATAATACTAGCTCTTTGCAAGGCTAACTTATATGGATTTCTTGAGCACAAGAATTCAAAACCAACCTGAGGACATGATGTAACCCCATCTCTACAAAAGTGAACACACACACACAAAAATTTCCATGGTATGTGGTGATATGTGCCAGTAGTCCCAGCTTCTCAAAGGCTGTGACAGGAGATTGCTTTAGCCTTAGAGATGGTGATTGCCGTGGGCTTTGATCTTGCCACTGTACATCAGCATGGGTGACAACCTATCTCAAAAAAAAGCAATATTTTTTTCATATTAATAACCTGGAGATTTTCCCAAGTCTTTTTTTTGTAATTTCAGAGTTTCAGGTTGTAGACTTAAGGCTTTAATTCACTTTGATTCAGTTTTTATATATGGCCAAAAGTAGAAGTCTCATTTTTATTATTGCACATATGGAAGCCCAGATTTCTTGGCATCTTCATTTAATAGGGTGTATGTTTTCCTCAGTGGATGTTCTTGGCACATTTGTCCAAATTAGTTTACTGTAGCTGTGTGGATTTTTTTCAGGTTCTCTATTCATTTTCATTTTTCTGTGTTTCTATTTTATGCTAGTAAACTGGCTATTTAAGGCTGTTTTACTTACTGTGGCTCAGGACTCTAATTTGAGGTCAGATAATTTGATTTATCTAATTTTGTTCTTTTTTCTAAGGACAGGTTTAGCTATTCTGAGTCTCTTGTGGTTCCATGTAAAATTTAAAATTATTTTTTCATTTATTTCAAAAATATTATTGGTATTATGTTAGGAATTACATTGAATCTGTAGATTGCTCTGGGTAGTATGGACATTTTAACAATATTGTCTTACAATTCCTGAACATAATATGTTTTACCATTTTGTAGTGTCATCTTCAACTATTTTCATTATTCAGATCTTTCACTTCTTTGGTTAATTTCTAAGTATTTAATTTTATGTGTGACTATTGAAAATAAGATGATTTCTTATTTCTTTTTCAGATTGTTTACTGTTTCAGATTTGTGTCTGTTAATTTTATATACTACAACTCTACCCAATTTGTTTATCAGCTCTAATAGTTTTCTTGTGGTGTCCTTAAGTTTTTTTTCTAATATGAGATTATATCACCTGCAAAGTAGAATAATTTGAATTATTCTCTTCCCACTTAAATGTCTTTCATATATTTCTCTTGTCTGATCTCTCTAGATAGAACTTCCAGTACTACGTTGAATAATAGTGGTCACAGTGGGCAACTTTGTTGTATTGTAGATTATAGATAAAATATGTTCAGTTTTTCCCCATTCAGTACAATACTGAATATTTTTTAGTCTGTCATATAAGGTTTTTATTATGTTGAGGTATGTTTCTTTTTTCTGCTGTTTTTTGAGGATTTTTGTCTTGAAGGATGTTGAATTTAACCAATTGCTTTATCACCATCAATTGAAATTATATAAAATTTATCCTTTCTTTTATTGAAATGATATAGCAGACTGTTTGATTTGCATACATTAAATCATGTTTTTATTCCAGGAATAAATCCCACTTGGTCATGATATATGATGCTCTTAATATATTGTTGAATTTTGTTTGCTAGTATTTTATTGAGGGTTACTGCTTCAATAGCCATCAGAGATATTGGCCTGTGGTATTATTTTCTAGATGTGTCTTTGTCTGGTTTGGGTATCAGGGTAATATTGGCTTTATCTAATTAGTTGGAGTAATTCCATTCTCCACTATTCCTCAGAATAATTTGAGTAGAATTAATATTAGTTTTTCTTTAAAAGTTTGGTAGATTATAGCATTGAAGGCTGTACTTTACTGTGCTTTTCTTTACAGACATATTTACATTATGGTTTTTATCTCATTACTTGTTATTGGTCTATTCCGGTTTTGAATTTCTTCCTGGTTCAAACTTGATGGATTCTGTAAGTCATGAAATTTGTCCATTCTTTCTAGAATTTTCAATTTATTGGCATATTGTTGCTCATAGTAGACCTAATAATACCTTGAATTTCTGCAATATCTGTTATAATGTCTTTTTTCACTTTTTATTTTTAATTTTTTGCTATTATCTCTTATTTTCTTAGTCTGGCTAAATTTATCAATTTTATTTACTATGCAAAAAAAACTTTTAAAAAGTAATCTTTTCTATTGTCTTCTCTATTTCAATTTTATTTGTTTATGCTGTGATCTTTGGTATTTCTTTTTTTCTACTAATTTAGGGGTTGGTTTTCTCTTGGTGTTCTAGTTCTTTAAGATACATTGTTAGGTTGTTTATTTGAAGTTTTTCCCCTTTATTCATATATAAATGCATACCTACAAGCCTTCCTTTTAGTATTTATTTTGCTGTATTTCATAAGTTTGGGTATAATATGTTTCCACTATCATTTGATTTGAGAAAATTTCCACTTTATTCTCACTTTTTGACCCATTAATAATTTAGGATGTTAGTTTATTTTATTTGAATGTATTTATATTTTATTTCAATACTTTGGGAGATATGTGTTTTTTAGTTAACTGAATAAGTATATAGTGATGAATTCTAATATTTTAGTGTCTCCAACACCCAAGTAGCCAAGTAGCTAGATATACCCAAGTAGTGTATATTTTACCTAGTATGTAGTTTTGTGAAAAATCCCTGAATCCCCTTTCAACCTTCACCTTCTGAGTCTCTAAATTCCATTTTGTTTCTCTGTATGCCTTTGCATACTCGTAGCTTAGATCCCACTCTTAATTGTTTTCACTTATAAGTGGGACCTAAGCTACGAGTATTCAAAGGCATACAGAGTGAATTCATGTGTCCCACTCCTATGGACTTCACTCAGAATAATGACCTCTAGCTACATTCGTGTTGCTGCAAAAAATCATTGTATTATTCTCATTCTGTTTTTATAACTTCTCTCAAAGAGAATCTCATTCTCTGTTTTGAACCTCCTGAAGCTTGGGTAGAGTAACAGCATCATTCATGTGGCCTCTATCACTATGACTATGTGGACTTAACCCTGAAGCAAG
The DNA here is from genome assembly GCF_000001405.40 of Homo sapiens. Lineage (NCBI taxonomy): Eukaryota > Metazoa > Chordata > Mammalia > Primates > Hominidae > Homo > Homo sapiens. The sequence continues at coordinate 21,226,668 of NC_000024.10, forward strand.
CAAAGCACTGAGTCTCAACCAAAGCCTTCTGTAAGCACTTCTTGACTACTGCCTATTTTCACTCAAGATCTTTGGACTCTACAGTCAGCAAATGCTGAAGCCAGTCAGGTATATGTTCTTCCCATCAGGCTGTCAAGATCTCCCAGGCCCCAGTTGTTATTATTTTGTAGTTAGAAACTAGAGTCAAAATTTTAGAAGCCTAACTTGTGTTCTGTTACACTGAGGTTGAGCTGGCACTTAAAACACAGGATGCAATTCTCCTAAGTCTTTCTTCCTTTTTATAAGAGGCAGAGGATTCTCATTCTATGATCACCATGACCCCAGGTTTCAGGAAGTATTTCTGCACTACTACCAATGTTCCCTGAAGGCTCAAGGGCTCTTAGGCCATCTTGTAATTGTCGCTTCCAGGCCTGAGACTCAGGTTTCTGATCAGAAGGCTCCCTTGTGATCCAGAGAAAGTCTAGAAATGACCTTCAAGAGTCATAGAATAGAATTACTCAATAATTTGCTTGGTGCTATACCCTGCTGTCGCCTAGCTGGCACCTAAGCTGCAAGAAAAATGTCTTCTTTACATTTCCCTTTGCTTTTTATCACACAGAAGGAATTTTGCCCCATAGATGTCATGTGGAATTTGCTGTGTGTCACCTGAAGCCACTTAGTCTCAGAGGCTCACCCAACACCTCTGATGCTGTACCTATTGATGGTTATTTAGAGCCCAAGGGCTCCTCAGTTAACATCTGATGAATGTGGCCATAACTTGGTGCTTTCCTAAAAGGCAGCATGTCTTTTATGGTCCAACATAGCTAGAGATGTTATTCAGAAGCTAGGTCCTAAAAAAGAAACCTCATGACTCTGACCAGTTCCCTATCCTGTTGTGGCTGAGCTGAGCTGGTATACAAGATGGAAAACAAAGTTATCCATATTCTTCTCTCTTCTCTTTCGAATTGGAAGAAAGCTGTCTCTCTCACTCTCTCTCTCTTTTTTTTTTTTTTTTTTGAGACAGAGTCTTGCTCTGTCACCCTGGGTGGAATGCAGGCAATCTCGGCTTACTGCAACCCCTGCCTTCCAGTTCAAGAGATTCTCCTGATTCAGCATCCCAAGTAGCAGGGACTACAGGTGCATGACACCACGCCTGGCTAATTTTTTGTATTTTTAGTAGAGACAGGGTTTCACCGTGTTAGCCAGGATAGCTCAAACTCCTGATCTCATGATCCGCATGCCTTGGCCTCCCAAAGTGCCAGGATTACAGGCATGAGCCACTGCGCCTGGCAGAGATCTCTTTTTTATCTATTAGCTGTGCAGCCTGTGATTAGGAGAGCAATGATGCCCTCACTCTCTTAACCACTCCAGCTGGGGGTTTCGGTAGATCTTGATTCCCCAGTCCACTGTCTCTGAGCTTAGTTCAACACTAGAATTTGCATAAGAGTTGTGGTCCTTATAAAAGTCCTTGAAGACTGCCTTTCAGGTTTACTTAGAAACCCAGAGCATTTTAACCCTCAGTAGTGAGGTAGGTAAAAACTCCAGTTTGTACTGCTGGAATTGCCAATTCCCCTCTAACTTGGGCTGGATTAAATGCTCCCTTTATGACTTAGCATCTGCTGAGTTTGGTTCATTTTTTTCCTTTTTGCTCTAACAGGACAGCACTCAGTTTATTGCTTCAAAATTCCTGTTTTCTCTTCCCCAGCACACAGAGATATTCCTTCAGCATACCATACTGCCATAGAGTGATGGAGGAATGACACCAGTAATTTGAGACCTCTTCAGTGGCTCTGTGATACAAAGTTAAAACCAGGTACTTTGAGTGTCTCTCTCTTATATATAAGGTTGTATATAAATACTAGAATAAATATTTTCATTATTAGAATGGAATATTAGTCAGAGGAAAAATAAAATCCTGTAATTTGCAGCAACATTGGGTAAATATAGACAACATATGATAATGAAAGTAAAGTTTTATTTTGTTTAAATTGGCACATAATTTTCTACATGTATAGGTTAAAAATGTGATGTTTTAATATATGTAATTATGTGATGATTAAATCAGGGTAATTAATATATCCATTAACTTAATTATGTGTTATTTTCTTGTGGTGAGAATATTCAAAACTCACTTTTTTTGCTATTTTGAAATATATAGAACTTTATTGTTTATCATAATCAAGGACTATGTGATAGAACACTAGAAATTATTTTTATTGTCAAATTCTAAATTTATAACAAATAAGACAACTACTTTCTTTCCTTCCTTTCCACTTCATATATTTTGTTAACCACTATTGTACTCAATACTTTTATAAAATCAACCTTTATCAAGCTCTCAAATGTGAGTGACATAATGCAGTTTTTTTATTTCTGTGACTGGCTTATTTCACATAGCATAACATCTTATGGTGTCCTCCATGTTGGCACAAACGTCATCATTTTGTTCTATATATGACCAAATAATTAACTATTGTGTAAATATACCACATTTTTATGTACTCATGTTGATAAAATTTGTAGTTGATTTTTTTTATCCTGGCTATTGTAAATAGAGCTGCAATAAGCATGTAAAAACAGATTTTTTTTTCTTTTGTAAACTGATTTTCGTTACCTTGAATAAATACTCAGTAGTGGGATCTCTGAATCATATGGCGGTTGTAATTTTAGTATTTTGTAAACACTCAACACTTAAAAAATATAAGAACAGTGCTAATTTACACTCTCACCTGCAGTATAAATATTTCTTTCTGTCCACAACCTCATGGTCATTCGACAATTTTTTAATCTTTTTACTGATAGCTATTTTCACTAAAGTGAGAAAATATCTCACTTTTGTCTTAATTTATATTTTATGGTGATAAGCATAACACTTCTGATATTAATGGGAGTATTCGTATATCCGCTTTTGAGGAGAACGTGCATTTCTTCTTTTGAGAATTGCCTAATCAGATTCTTTGTCAATTTTTTTTTTTTTTTTTTTTGAGACCAAGTCTCTCTCTGTCACCCAGGCTGGAGTGCTGTGACATGACCTTGCCTCACTGCAACCTCCGCATCCCAGGTTCAAGCAATTCTCTGCTTCAGCCTCACTAGTAGCTGGGATTACAGGCACCCACCACCATGACCAGCTAATTTTTGTATTTTTAATAGAAACGGAGTTTCACTATCTTGGGCAGGTTGGTATTGAACTCCTGACCTGCCTCGGTCTCCCAAAGTGCTGGGATTACAGGAGTGAACCATCATGCGTGGCCTCTTTGTCCATTTTTTAAAAATCAATTTGTTTTGTTTTTTGCTAATGAGTTTCTAGTATATTCTGGATATTAGTCCAATAGCAAATTTCTTAATTTATTGTTCTATTTTCTATGAAAATACTTTGCAGTACAATGTGGTGAAGTGCATTGATTTTTCATTTTGCTGCTTCTGCTTTTAAAGTCTTATTCATGAAACATTTGACTAAACTAATGTCTTGAGGTGTTTCTTCTATTTTTGTGGTAGTTTTATAGATCAGAAACTTATGTTTAAAGTCTTTTCTTTTTTATTTATTTATTTATTTTTTGAGATGGAGTCTTGCTCTGTTGCCCAGGCTGGAGTGCAGTTGTGCCATCTCGGCTCATTGCAAGCTCCACCTCCCGGGTTCATGCCATTCTCCTGCCTCAGCCTCCTGAGTAGCTGAGACTACAGGCACCTGCCACCACACCTGGCTAATTATTTTTGTTTTTTTAATTTTTTTAGTAGAGATGGGGTTTCATCATGTTGGTCAGGCTGGTCTTGAACTCCCAACCTCAGGTGATCCACCCACCTCAGTTTCCCAAAGTGCTGGGAGTATAGGCATGAGCCACCGCTCCAAGCCAGTTTTGTTTAAGTCTTTAATCCATGTTTAGTTGATTTTTGCATAAAGGGTGAAATGTAAGCCTTTTAAAAAAGTAAGAATTTTATTTCTCTGCATATTCAGTATTTCCAACACAATTTATTAAACACACTATTCTTTCATCCAAAGAATGTTTTTCAGGCCATGTTGAATAATCTAAGTTGAGAATGTGCGAATTTATTTATTTTATTTCTCTGTTCTCCCTCAATTGTCTATATGTCTGTACTTACACCTATGTCATGCTGTTTTGGTAACTACAGCTTTTTTGTCAATTTTAAAGTCAGATACTGTGATTCATCCAGCTTTGTATTTCTGCTCAGTAGATTTTTTGATATTCAGGTTCTTCTGTGGTGCCATTAAAATTTAATGATTGTTTTATCTACTTATATAAAAATCTTGTTATTTTGACAGAGATTTAATTTGATCTATAAATTGTTTTGGATAATATAATTATTTTAACATTTTTCACAAACTATAATCCCATGTATTTCATATTTGTGTCCTTTTAATTTCTTTTGTTAGCATTTTGTGGTGTTTATTTCAGAATTTTTTTTATCTTTTTGTTTGAATTGATTTCTTGCTACGATTTATTTATTGTTTTCAAATTGAATGCTGTTGGTATATAGAAACATGGCCAATTTTTATATGTTGATTTTATATCCTGTATGTTTACTAAATTTGTCTATCAGTTGTAATGGTTTCTTTGGTAGAGTATTTAGTTTAATTGTTTAACTGTATAGAATTATGTCATCTGCAAAGAGAGGTAATTTAAGTTTCCCTTTTCTAATTTAAATGTTCCATATTTATTTCTATTTCCTAAGTCCTCTGGCGAATACTTTCAATACTGTGTTGAACAAGTGATGAAAGTAGGCAACCTTGTCTTATTGGAGTTACTAGAGAAGTCAAAAAAAAATTAACCTTTCCCCCTTTACTGAAATGTGGGTTTATCATATGTAGTTTTTATTAGGTTGATGTATGTTACATACTAAATTTTTGGAAATATTTCTTATGAAAATATGTTGAATTTCATCAAATGCTTTAAGATATGAGCTCAATGTACTACATATATTGAGATTATTGTATTGTTATGATGATTATTCTGCTGATGTGATGTATCACATTTTACAATATCTCTATGTTGAATTTTGTTTACATTCCTGTGAAAAATACCAGTTTACCATGTTATATTATCTTATTTTTTGTTTTGATAATATTTTATTGAGGAGTTTGCATCAGTGTTCATTAAAGATACTGACTTGAAGTTTTATCTTTTATTATGTCTTTGTTTCATTTTGGTATTAGGATAATTCTAGCCACATAGAATTATTTAGGAAACAGTCTTTATTTTTTGGAATAACCCAATGATTTATATGAATTCTGTACTAATGTTTGGTAAAATTTATCACTAAAGCCATTTATCACTAAAGCCTTCAGATTTATTTTGTTGAGATACTTATATAATAACTTACTATTTAAATTAATTTTTGGTATGTTCAAGTTTTATTTATTTTTTATTTTAGATTAAAATTATTTTATTTTTATAATTTTTATTTTCTTTTTAATTTTTGTAGGTACATAGTTGGGGTATACATTTATGGAATATCTGAGCTATTTTGAAATAGACATTAAATTTGAAATAATTTTATCATGAAGACTAGATTATACATTATGCCAAGCATTTTATTCATTGAGTAGCAAACAACCCATTTACTCTCTTTTGTTACTTTTAAATGCACAGCTATTATTGGCTATAATCACTTTGTGTGCTATCAAAGAGTAGGTCTTATTAATTTTTTCTATTTTCTTTTTATGGCTTAAACATCTCCACCTCCTGATCAGCTTCCTATTATTCTTTCCAGCCTCTGGTAAACAGCCCTCTACTCACTATGTTCATAAGTTCAATTGCTTTATTAGGTTTCACAAATAAAGAAAATGTGTAATGTTTTGCCTTTCTGTTCCTGCTGTATTTTACTTAAAATAATAATATGACATCCATCTATGTTGTTGCAAATGAAAGCATGCTATATTTTATGGCTTATTAGTATTAGTACTCCATTGTGTATATGTACCACTTTTTTACTCACTCATCTTTTGATGAATACTTAGGCTGCCTCCAAATCTTAGTGATTGTAAACAATGTTGTAACAAACACAGGTGTGCATATGTCTTTTTGATAATATGAATTTTCTTGCTTTGGGGTATATAACCAGGAGTGAGATTGTTAGATCATACAACAGCTCGATTTTTAGCTTTTTAAAAAATCTCCCAAATGTTCTCCATAGTGTCTGTACTACTTTACATTCCCAGCAAGAGTGTACAAGTGTTCACATTTCTCCACATTACTGTCAGCATTTGTTACTGCCTGTTTTTTTTCTTTTTGTATCAGCCGTTTTAACTGGAGTGATATAATATCTCATTGTAGCTTTTATTTGCATTTCTCTGATGATCAGTGAAGGTTAGCAACTTTTTATATGTCTATTTGCTACTCATATGTTTACTCTTGAGAAATGCCTATTCAAATATTTTGCCCATTCTTTAGTCAGGTTATTAGATTTTTTTTTTTCCTATATCTTTGTCTCAGCACTTTATATATTTTGGTTACAAATCTTTTGTCAGGTGGGTAGTGTGCAAATATTCTTTCAGGTTTCATGGGTTATCCCCTTCCCTCTTCCTTTTTTTTCTGAGCAGAAGCTTTTAACTTGATGTGATAACATTTGTTTATTTTTGCTTTGGTTGCCTTTTTGTGCTTATGAAGTATTAAACACATAATTTTTCCTGAGACCCATGTTCCAGAGTTTGTCCACAAAGTTTATTTTGTTGTAGTTTAAGAGTTTAAGGTCATAGGTTAAATTTTAATTCATTATGATTTGATTTTTGTACATGGTGAGAGATAGGTGTCTAGTTTCATTTTTCTGCATATGGATATCCAGTTAATTGAGCAACATTTATTTAAAAAAAAACTGTCTCTTTCCCCAGTATATGTTCTTCACACCATTGTTGAAAATGTGTTTTCTGTAGGAGCATAGATTTGTTTCTTGGTTCTCTATTCTGTTCCATTGGTCTATGTGTCTATTTTTATGTTAGTATCATGTTGTTTTGGTTACCATAGCTCTGTAGTATAAATCAAAGTCATAATGTGATTTTTTTTTTAAATTTTTGTATAGAATAGCTATTCTGGGTTTTTTGTGGTTTTATATACATTTTATAATTAATTTTTAATATTTCTTTTAAGAATATCATTGGTGTTTTGAGAGAGAATGTATTGAATCTGTAGATTGCTTTGGGTAGTATTGACTTTTTAGCAATATTGAGTCTTCCAGTTTTTGAATGTGTAATATTTTTCAGTTATTTTGGTGTTTTTTTCAGTTTATTTCATCAGTGTTTTAGTTTTTATTACAGAGATATTTCACTTCTTTGGTAAAGTTAATCCCTAAGTATTTAATTTTCTGTGTGGCTATTGCAAATGCAATTACTTTTTAAATTTTATTTTCACATTGTTTCCTGTTGGCATATAGATATGCTACTAATTTTGTATGTTAATTTTGTATACTGCACCTTTACTAAATTTGTTTATTCATTCCAATAAGAGTCTTTAGGTTTTTCCAAATGTGAGATTATATAATCTGTAAGCAAGGATAATTTGACTTATTTCTTTCCAATTTAGAAACTTTTGTATCTTTCTCTTGTCTCATTGCTCTAACTAGGACTTCCAATATTATGTTGAATAAAAGTGGGCCACAGTGGGTATTCTTGTCATATACTAGATCTTAGATAAAAGGCTTTCAGTGTTTCCCTACTAAGCATAATAATACCTGTAGGCTTATGTGGTTTTATTGAGGTACGTTTTTCTCTCCCCAGTGTCTGAGGTTTTTATGTTGAAGAGATGTTGAATGTAATGAAATGCATTTTTGGTATCAATGGAATTATCGTATAATCACCATATACAAATCAATCAGTGAGATGAATCAATGTTGATATCATTCATACTTTATTTTACTTTATTTTATTTTATTCTACTTTTACAATTGTTAGTAATGTGAGTGAGGTCATGTTGGTGAGGTCATGTTGGTGAGCCTTTGATTCTGCCATCTTTCTCTCCATCTCTTCATGCCCTTTTCTGTTCTGGTTTTTATTAATTCTTTCTTCTTCAATCTGAGTAAGCTATCTAAGTGTAGAAATTTATCAATTTCCCTTGGGTTTTTAACTTGTTTGTGTATATAGTTATTCATAATAGTTTCTAATGATTTCTTGCACTTGGTTAATGGCTTTACTTATTTTTTGTTCTTGTTTTTTCTTTGTCTAGCTAATGGATTTTCAATTTTAAATCTTTCCAAATAAACACATTTATATTATGATGATTATCTATTTTTAATCTGAATTATATTTTCACTGATATTTTTATTTTGTTATATCAACAGATTGATTCATCACACTGATTTGTATATGGTGACATATTATGCTTGCATCACAGAGATAAATTTTACTCAATCATGATGAATGATCTTTGTAATGTATGGTTGAATTCAGTGTTCTAGTATTTGATTGAGGATTTTCATATCAAAATTTATCAGATATGTTAACCTGTAGTTTTCTTGTTTGAATGTGCCTTTGGTTTTGGTATAAGTATAATACAGGCTACACAAAATGAGTTTGGAAGTTATATTCTTCTCCTCTATTTTTTAGAATAATTTGAGTAGTATTGTCATTAGTTCTTCACCTCATGGGTTAAAGTAATTTTCTGCCTTAGCCTCTGTAGTAGCTGGGACTACAGGTGCATGCCACCATGACAAACTCATTTTTGTATTTTTGTAGAGATGGGGTTTCATCATGTTGGCCAGGCTGGTCTCGCACTCCAGGCCTCAAGTGATACACACGCCACCAGCCTCTTAAAGTGCTGAAATTACAGGCATGAGCCACTACACCCAGCCTTTCTAAAAACACTTTGTATCTCTATTTCTTTGTCTACTTCTACTTTATGGCCAATAATTCTTACATTTGTTTTTTTTGAGGCTACATTATAAATCCTACAGATGCATTATATTATTTTATTATTATTTATTATTTTGTCTTATTTTACTGTACATTTTTAATAGTCTGTCTTTAAACTCACTAATTATTCCACTTGATTTTTTGTTATTAAATAATTTTCATAGATTCTTTAGCACGACAATTGTATTTTTCAGCTACAGAGTTTTTGCTTGCTTGTTTTTAATTATATACATATCTTTGAATAGCTTTTCTGATATAAATCTAAATTCCTATTTGTGTTACCTTACATTAGTTTGAATTTTCTAAACATGACTATCTGCTCATCTGTACAGGGAAATCATGTGCATATAGAGTATATGCCGTATTTTTATATAAGCATACAATGCAAAAGAATCACATCAGGGTAAGTGAGATATTCATCTTCAAGCATTTATTTTATCTTTGTATTACAAGAAAGAATTATACTTTTAGTCATTTGAGTTAGGGTTTTTCTCCTTTTTAAATTATTTGCTATGCATCATTAGGTTTTTAGAATTTAAAAACTTTCTATTTACCTGATATGGGTGTTTGTTGATATAAACAGTCTCAGTACTGCATTTGCTTTATTCTACATGTCCTGGTGTGACATATTTTTATTGTCATTAGCTTAGATGTTCAAATCTTAATATATTTGTTAACTTCTGGTTCCTCAGGGTCATGTTATTTCTCAACAACCTCACCAGTATCTCTTATTTCCTGGCTTTTCAATAATTGCCCTTCTGACTATTGTGAGATGGTACCTCATTGTGGTTTGGATTTGCATTTCTCCAATAATCAGTGATGTGGAGCTTTGTTTCATATGTTTGTTGGCTGCATAAATGTCTTCCTTTGAGAAGTTTCTGATCATATGTTTTGCCCACTTTTTGGTGGGGTTGTTTTCACTTGAAAATTTCTTTATGTTTCTTGAAAATTATGGATATTAGACCTTTATCTGATGTGTAGACTACAAACATTTTCTACTACCCTGTAGGTTTCCTGTTCACTCTGATGATAGTTTCTTTTGTTGTGCAGAAACTCTTTAGTTTAATTAGGTTCCATTTGTCAATTGTGGCTTTTGTTGCAATTGCTTTTGGAATTTTTTTCATGAAGTATTTGCCCATGCCTATGTCCTGAATGGTGTTGCCTAGGCTTTCTTCTAATTTTTTTTTTATGGTTTTGATGGCTACATTTAAGTGTTTAATCCATCTTGAGTTAATTATATAGGTGTAAGGAAGGGATTCAGTTTCCGTTTTCTGCATATAGCTAGCCAGTTTTCCCGTACCATTCTCTTGAATAGGAGATAATTTCCCCATTACTTGTTTTCATCAGGTTTGTCAAAGATCAGATGGCTGTAGATGTGTGTTGTAATTTTTGAGGCCTCTGTTCTGCTACATTGTTAGACGTGCCATGCTTTTTGGTTTTGTAGCCTTGTAGTATAGTTTGAAGTCATACAGCATGATGACTCCGGCTTTGTTCTTTTTGCTTTGAATTGTCTTGACTATTGGGGGTCTTCTTTGATTCCAAATAAAATATAAAATAGTTTTTTTTTAATTCTGTGAAGAATGCCAATGGTAGTTTGATGGGAGTAGCATTGAATCTTAAATTACTTTTGGCAGTATGACCATTTTCAGGATATTGATTCTTACTATCTATGAGAATGTAATATTTTTCCATTTGTTTGTGTCCGCTCTCATTTCCTTGAAGAGTGGTTTGTAGTTCTGCTTAAAGAGGTCCTCCCCATCCCTTGTTAGCTATATTCTTAGGTATTTTATTCTTTTTGTATTGATTGTGAATGGGAGTTTATTCTGGATTTGTCTATCTGCTTATCTGTTGTAGTTGTAAAGGAATGCTTGTACTTTTTGAACATCACTTTTGTACCCTGAGACTTTACTAAAGTTGTTTATCAGTTTAAGGAGTTATTGGGCTGATCATGTCACCTGCAAACACAGAAAATTTGACTTCCTCTCTTTCTATTTAAATAACTTTTATTTCTTTCTCTTTTATGATTGCAGTGCTGAGAACTTCCAATATTATGTTAAATAGGAGTGGTTAGAAAGGACATCCTTGTCTTGTGCCATTTTTCAAAGGGAATACTTCCAGGTTTTGCCCATTTGGTATAATATTGGCTGTGGATTTGCCATAAATAGCTCTTATTATTTTGAGATATGTTCCATCATTATCAAGTTTACTGAGTGTTTTTTACATTAAGGGATGTCGAATTTTATTGAAGGCATTTTCTGGATATATTGAGATATTCATGTGGTTTCTGTCATTTGTTCTGTTTATGTGATAGATTACATTTATTGATTTGTGTATGTTGAACCAGGCTTGCACCAAAAGGATGAAGCCAACTCGATCATGGCGGATAAGCTTTTTGATATGTTGCTGGATTTGGTTTGATGATATTTTATTGAGAATTTTTCATTGGTGTTCATCAGGTATATTGGCTTGATATTTTTATTGTTTTGTCTTTTCCTGGTTTGGGTATCAGGATGATTCTGGTCTCATAAAATGAGTTAGGGAGGAATCCCCCTTTTTCTATTGTTTGGAATAGTTTCAGAAAGAATAGTACTAACTTCTCTTTATACATCTGTTACAACATGACAGTGAATCCATCTGGTCCTGGGCTTTTCTTAGTTGGTAGGCTATTCATGAGTGCCTCAAATTCAGAACTTGTTATTGGTCTATTCACGGATTTCACATCTTCCTGGTTTAGTCTTGGGAGGGAGTATGTGTCCAGGAATTTATCAATTTCTTTTAGATTTTCTAGTTTATTTGTGTAGAGGTGGTTATAGTATTCCCTGATGGTAGTTTGTATTTCCGTGAGATCAGTGGTGATATCTCCTTTATCATTTTTATTGTGTATATTTGATTCTTCTTTTATTATTTGTTAGTCTAGCTATGAGTCTATTTTGTTAATCTTGAAAAAATCTGGTGTATTCACTGAGTTTTTGAAGGGTTTTTTGTGTCTCTACCTTCTTCAATCCTGCTTTGATTTTACCTATTTCTTACTTCTTGTAGCTTTTGAATGTGTTTGCTCTTGCTTCTCTAATTCTTTTAATTATGATACTAAGTTGTCAATTTTGGACTTTTTTTGCTTTCTGACATGGGCAGTTAGTGGTATAAATTTCTCCCTTAACACTGCATTAGTTGCGTCCCAGAGAATCTGGTAAATTGTTTCTTTGTTCTCATTGATTTCAGAGAACTTCTTCATTTCTGCATTAATTTTATTTACCCTGTAGTCACTCAGGAACAGGTTGTTCAGTTTCCATGTAGTTGGTGGTTTTGAGTGAGTTTCTCAATCCTGAGTTCTAATTTGATTGCTTTATGGTCTGAGAGACTGCTTGTTATGTTTTCAATTCTTCTGCGTTTGTTGAGGAGTGTTTTACTTCCAATTATGTGGTCGATTTTAGTATAAGTGCTATGTAGTGCTGAGAAGAATGTATATTATGTTGATTTGGGACAGAGAGCTCTGTAGATGTCTATTAGATCTGCTTTGTCCAGAGCTGAGTTCGTGGGTTAAGTATTCTTGTTAATTTTCTGTTTCATTGAACTCTGTAATATTGACAATGGTGTGTTAAGGTCTCCCACTATTATTATGTGGGAGTTTCAGTATTTTTGTAGATTTCTAAGAACTTATTTGATGAATCTGAGTGCTCCTGTAATAGGTGCATGTATATTTAGAATAGTTAATATTTCTCATTGCCTTGATCTCTTTACCATTATGTAATGCCATTCTTTGTCTTTTTTGATCTTTGGTGTTTTAAGGTCTTTTTTCTCAGAGACTGTGATTGCAACCCCTTTTTTTCTTTTGATTTGCTTGGTAAATATTCCTCCATCCCTTTATTTTGAACCCATGTGTGTCTTTGCACATGAGATCGGTCTCCTGAACACAGCACACTGATGGGTCTTGACTCTATATAATTTGCCAGTCTTTGTCCTTCAATTGGAGAATTTTGCCCATTAACATTTAAGATTAATACTGTTATGTTTGAATTTGATCCTTTCAACATATGATCCCTTATTTTGAACATTAGTTGACGTGGTTTCTCCACAGCATCAACGGTCTTTACAATTTGGCATGGTACCGGTTGTTTCCTTCCATGTTTAATGCTTCCTTCAGGAGCGCTTGAAAGGCAGGCATAGTGGTGACAAAATCTGTAAGCATTTGCTTGTCTGTAAAGGATTTTATTTCTCCTTCACTTGTGAAGCTTAGTTTGGCTGGATATGAAATTCTGGGTTGAAAATGCTTTTCTTTAAGAATGTTGAATATTGGCCCCCACTCTCCTCTGGCTTATAGGGTTTCTGCTGAGAGATCTGCTGTTAGTTGTACAGGCTTCCCTTTACAGTTGTACAGAACTTCCCTTCCCTTTATAGTTGTACAGGCTGTCCCTTCCCTTTATAGGTAACTCGACCTTTCTCTCTGGCTGCCCTTAACACTTTTTCCTTCATTTCAACCTTAGTGGATCTGACAATTATATGTCTTGGGGTTGCTCTTCTTGAGGAGTATCTTAGTGGTGTTCCAGTTCCTGAATTTGAATGTTGGCCTTTTTTGCTAGGTTGGGGAAGTTCTTCTGGATAGTATACTGAAGTGTGTTTTTCAACTTGTTATCATTCTCCTCAACACTTTCCCATACACCAATCAATCACAGGTGTGGTCTTTTCCAATAGCCCCATATTTCTTGGAGGTTTTGTTCATTTGTAGTGGGAAATCAGAGAACCAGAGAGACCAATCGGGTCACAGAAGGATTTATTATTTAGGGTGTACCCCAACTCTGTGGACTAGCATCCAGAAAAAGTGTGAGCACCAAACAAACAAGGCAAGTGCCTTTTATGCATCTTAAGGCAGGCAGTACACGAGGCAGGAAGCAGGCTTACAGAAGTGAGAACAAAAAGCAGTCAGTCACATTATGACGTGTCTTACATCTTTGGAAAAACATGTTTTGCAGCTAGTGCTTATCTATCTTGTGACCTTTCAGTTGTTCAGCAGAAAAACAGGAACTTAACAGAACTTACAAAATATGCAGAGGGTAGATTATGGATAACGTTTCACAGAGAAGCAGTTAGTATTCTTTCTTAACTCCTACTTCAGTGGTGGGGGGCTACTTGAGGCCTATTTTATTCTAACTCTAACAACAATTTTTATGCAAGTTTTAACTTTCCTTTAATTCTGTACTTCATTTCCCCCTTTGATGCTTTTTATGAATGAATTTTTAATAGAAAGCACCACTATCATCTATTTCTCAATGGGATGGCACACTTTCTTCTCTAGATAGAGGATAGTGTTTACTTAAAGCCATCATTTGGGTGGTGGTTTGCCTTGTCACAATTGCTTTTATACTTGACTGAATGCTTCTGATCAAAAGAGGCAGGAGAGAAGGGAGTATTAGACACCCACTTAAGATAACTACAAAGCAGTCTGTTATGGTTTTAAATCCACAAAAAGATGAAAAACATCCTCCGAAGAAGGAGTCTGGAGACCAGCCTTTCCTGATTTGCACTGGAACATGAGCCAGCTTTCACATCTTTGCAGTAATCTTTATGACAAGTTGTTCATTATCATCAATTTCCAGACATTTGTTAAACTGAACTTCCCACATACTGTCCTTTCTGAGGCCAGGAGTTAATCTAGTACCAACCTATTTTGATAAATAGTTTATCTCCTCTGTGTGGCTTGCACGGCCACCAAACCTAAAGCCCTTGATGTTTCCTTGGTTATAATTTCAAGAACAGCTTGTAACCTTATGACATGGCTGATCATGTAAATGAGGGTATGATATCCCCACATTCCATCTTCTGCCCAGGTGGCTTGCCCATAGTATTTAATAATTCTTTCAGGAGGCCATTCATTACATTTCCAGTATCATATATCTATATCCTTTTTGAAGTTTGTTCTATTTTTGAGACTAACAACAAAATAAAATAACCTCCTGGTTCATTTTTATTCTCATCATAAACTGTATACCCTGAAGTCTCACCCTGCTTTAGGGGGGTTAAGAAAGAGAAAGGCCTAATTATTTTTAATACATTGGCCCCTGACCACTTAGGCAGCAGTTTCTGATATGCCTATGTTCCACAGATGCAATGGAGGCCAGAGGGTACTTGCCAAGAATTTGGATCCTCAAGCTGATACCAAGAATGGTGCGAGGTGGGAAACTGAGAAAAGGGGTTAAAATTAGATAAGGAGGAATCATTTTTTGTACTCCTCCATGGAATTTTCCTTCAGTTCTATTATAATATTTTTGCCCTAAGCAAGTTAATTATCCTACTACATCTGTAAATGCTTCTCCTCAATGGATGATACAGTACCTTCAAATTATGGAGGTATTCAGTATCCACACACTGGCTGAGTCTATTGGTTCATTGGTGGATTTAGGAAGAGTGAAATTATCTTGAGGCATTAATTCTTTTGCCTCCCATGGCCATTGGTCTTCTACATTTGTTCCTCCACAAACATAACAGGAAGTAATTCCTAAACTGCCAGTTATGTTTTCAGCTAGCTGGGCAAATAAGTTTTTGGTTGGAGGAGGTGGCTCAGATACCTTCTGGTTGGAATATTTATAAAATGACATGAAGACTAGAACTGAGGTATTGGCTGTTTTGTTTGTTTTCTTAATAATAAATAGCTAGATTTCCATGGCTGCCTTTTGATCAGCAACTCCTAACATTATGGGATATCCTGTAGTCCATATGAGTTCATTTG
Organism: Homo sapiens; assembly: GCF_000001405.40. Classification (NCBI taxonomy): domain Eukaryota; kingdom Metazoa; phylum Chordata; class Mammalia; order Primates; family Hominidae; genus Homo; species Homo sapiens. The sequence continues at coordinate 21,242,225 of NC_000024.10, forward strand.
GCTTTAAGATAGTAAAATTCACAGTACTACAGGAACATGTTTTCCAATTACAGTGAGGTTTGGCTAGCATTCTGGTAAGTAGAGCCTCCTCTAATGGGTTGTGTAACCATGTTGAGCAGCTCCAGCATCCAATCATCACTAGGTATCTGGCAGAGCAAATGGAGGGTGCACATCCAGTGGTATGACAACTGCTAAGGTAACCTTCAGGGTCAGAGATAATAATTAAGTGAGTGGACACCGTGAAAGTGTGTTGGCAGAGGTTAAGATATAAGGATGTGGCATCTATGCCAAGGGAAAAACCCTTATTTTGATTCAAAAGATCCCCATCTTTTATTTTTGCATGAGACTCAAACTAGAATTCTGTGAGTGGAGTCTTAGGGTCATAACATATATATGGTTTGTTATTTCCTGGGTCATAAATTGAATATGTTATTTGGTCATGTACACAGGTACCCAAATGTGCCCTGGCACACATGTAATGAGTATGATATAGGAGAGTTTTAGTTAAAGTTCTTCCAGACTTTGTGGTATGAGTGCAGTGGGGGCACCATTCCAGGTGCTTTCTCTTTGCCATAGGCAGTGGTAGTAGCAAAATAAAAATAAGGAGTGGTATGTTTACACAAAGTATGGACAAAAAAGGTCCTTTCCTGGGAGGAGGGACTGGCAAAAATTATAGCATAGCAACAGAACAAGTAATATTACTAAGATAGCAACTAAACTTAATACTTCTATCCACATTTACTCATCTGAGGAAGACTCTTCAAGCTTCAGCCGTGCATAGACTAGTCAGCTTGTGGTGTGACTAGGGCAGGGCTTGAAGTTTCCTCAAGCTTCAGCCATGTGTAGACTGTCCAGCCTCTGGAGTGGACAGAGCAGAGTGGTTGTCCTTCTCAGCATGACTTGGTTCCATCGCAAGATCAGCCCTGTTGGGTGGTCTGGGTCTTCCTGACTGGTCCACTTGTCCAGTGCTGCCAATTTTGGCCAACTGTGGTGGACCCACAGTATGATACCTGCAACTTTAACAGCTGTGGAAGTAGACAAGATTACAGCATGGGGCCCATCCCATAAGGGTCCTAGAGTAGTTGGATTCTGTTTCATAACTCAAACCAGGTCCCCAGATTTGAGCGGGCATATTGGGTCTGTTAGACTTACAGGCATCATTTCCCGTACCCAGCCATGGACTTTCTGCATAGCTAGACCTAAGGCCTCTATTTGCCTGGTTAAGTTTAATTCCCCTAAATCATGGAGGTCACCTTTAACCTGAGTTATGCTGGGGGTGGTCTGCTGAACAAAATCTCCCAAGGTGAATACCCAGTTTGTTTGGTAGTGGGGCACCTGACTCAGAGGAGGACTCCGGGCAAAACCTGATCCCACCTGAGATGAGTTTCTTGACAGAATTTCTTCAGTAGTTGCTTGAGTGTTTGGTTCATCCACTCTACTTTTCCTGAGCTTTGCAGGTGGTAGGCAGTGTGCCACTTCAATTTTATTTTTAGTAGTTGTGTTAGCTGCTGTACAATCTCAGCCACAAATGCCTGGCCATTTTCTGATCCTATAGTTACAGGCAGTCCAAATCTAGGAATGCAGTCTTTTAACTGCACTCTAGTTACTTCCCATGCCTTTTCTGTCCTGTTTGGGAAAACCTCAACCCACAGTGAAAAGGTGCAAACAAGCACTAGTAGGTACCAGTGGCCCCCAGCCTGGGGCAGTTTGGTAAAGTCTACAAGTAAATTTTCACAAGGTGTAGCTCTGATTTCTGAACTGCTGGGGGCCAGGTTGGCCCCTGCCATGGGTTGTTTTGAGGACAAATCAGACATTGCTCACAGATGGCTCAAGTGATGGGGCTAAGTCTTTGCACATAAAAGTGCCATCCTAGCAAGGTTTCTAGTGCTGTCTTCCCATGTGGGTTCCTTGGTGGAACTGATTTACAAATCTGGGAGTCATCATCTCAGGTATGGCTAGCCTCCCATCAGAGAACTTCCATCATCCTCCCTCAGTGTAGTTTCCATTTTCCTGAGCAAAACAACTCCTTTCATTTAGAGTGTAACTTGGGATCTCTGGGAGGGAAATCTCTGGGAAGAGAGGCATTGCTAGGGCTCCCTCTTTAGGAGGAAAAGTGGCCATTGATGCCCATTGTGCCTTTTTATCTGCTTTTCTGTTTGCTTTTGCTTCAAAATTTCTGATGCTTTATGTCCCTTGCAGTGAATGACAGCCACCTTTTCTGGGGCCCACGCAGCATCTAAGAGTTGTAGAATTTTCTCTTTATTTTTTATCTCCTTTCTTCCTGCAGTTAAAAGTCCTCTTTCTTTATATATGGCCCCATGAGCAAGCAGTGTCACAAAGGCATACTTAAAGTCAGTATAACTGTTAACCACTTTTCCTCTGGCCAACAGTAGGGCTCTTGTTGGAGCTGTTAGCTCTGCTTTCTGAGCAGATTTCCTAGCAGGCAGAGGCTGAGCCTCTACCACTGAGTCCCAGGTTACTACTGTATATGCAGGTTACTGGATCCCTTCTGAGATAAAACTGCTCCCATCCATGAAGTACTCAACATCTGGGCCAACAAGGGGCTGGTCTGTTAAGTCTTTTCAGCTACAGAATAATTCCTCCACTACATCCACACAATAGTGATAGGGAATGGAATCTTTTGGCCTTTTTATGGGTAGCAGAGTGGCTGGGTTTAAAGAAATAACAGTTCCTATGATTACATAAAGATTTTCAGATAAGAGTCCTTGATATCTATCTGGTAATTCTTGGGTTTGACAACCAATAATGTCCCCTTTGATCCATCAAGATGATAACTGTGTGGGGTACTCTGATGATTAGTTTTTGTCCTAAGGTCAATTTATTGGCTTCTTGTGACAAAAGGGTTGTAGCAGCTGATGTCTTAAAGCAAGGGGGCCAGCTTAGCACCAAAGGGTCCAGCTGTTTGGATAAATACACCGCTGGTATATGCCATGACCCCATCATTTGAGTCAGGATCCCTACAGCCACTTCCTTCCATTCATAGACATATAGGAAGAAAGGCTTAGTCTGATCTGGCAGTCCTAAGGCCAGGGCCTGGATTAAAGCCCTTTTGATCCCTTGTAAGCTTTTTCCTGATTGGCTTCCCAAAGAAGGGGCTCTTTTTCCCCACTCTGTGGCTTCATACAGCAATTTTGCCATAAGTAAAAAATTTGGAATGTAGATGTGGCAGAAACCTGCTGCTCCTAGGAATTCCCTTATTTGGCACCCAGTGGTTGGGATGGTACTGCACAAACAGTCCGCTTTCGCTCACTGCCAAGCTCACATTTCCCTTCACTTATTTCAAAACCTAGATATATGACTCCTTCTGAACAGATGTGTGCCTTTTTCTTGGATACTTTATATTTGGCCTTCCACAAAAGGTGGAGGAGTTTCTCAGTGCCCTGAAGGCAATCCACCTGAGTGGGGACCATAAATAGGAGGTTATCTATGAACTGCAGTCAGAAGCATTTGTCATTAGGTGGAATGAAAGCTCCTGAGATCTGATGCTAGCACTTCTCCAAAGATTGTAGGGGAGTTCTTAAACCCTCGTGGGAGCCTTGTCCAAGTATACTGTGTTTCTCCCCAATGAAATGCAAAGATAGGTCAGCTCACTGGCACCAGCTGGAGACAAAAGAATGCATCCTTTAGGTAGAAGAAAATAAACCAGGCTGCACTAGCTGGTATTTGTCCTAACAAGGTGTATGGGTTGGGCACTACTGGATAGATTGTCTCTGTGACCTGGTTTATGGCACGCAAATCCTGCACTGGCCCATATTCCCCAGATGGCTTTCATACTGGCAACAGAGGAGTGGTCCAAACTTATCTGCATTTAACTATGATTCTATTCTTGAAAAGCCAGTCTATATGCTTTTGAACACCTTGGATGGCTTATATGAAAATCAGTTACTGACAAACTCATACCAGGGTGGCTCCTGGTTTTAACTCTACTAAGACTGGTGCCTGATTTACAGCCAATCCAGGTGGATTGTTTTCCGCCCATACTCTAGGTATTTTGGTAACTAGCCCATACTTCTCAAGAGGTCCTAGCAGTCCTTGCTTAAGTGGTACTTGTGCATATAGCCTCCATTCCTCAGCTTTTGGCAGTGTGAGGGTTAACACCATAGCTTTTGGTTGACGTAAGTTTAAATACATATTTCCTTGTGGTGCAAAGGAAATGTGTGCCTGTAGTATTTGGAGCAAGTTTTTCCCTAGCAAAGAAACTTGACAATTTGTAAGGTATAGAAACTCATGGTGGACTTCTCATCCTCCAATAATGCAACCCCTTGACCAGCAAAAAGGCCTTTTTCTGAAACTCCAGATCCCCTGAAAATAGTGGTATAATTCTTAGATAGTAGCCCTATGGGTTGGGTAACTACTCAGTGTTTAGCTCTGGTATCTACCATAAAGTCCATCCATTGGTCCCCTCTCTCCACTGTGACCATAGGCTCCTGGTGGCCCAAAGAGATGGAGAAACAGTCTGTCTCAGTCCTCCACAGTCTCTGCCAGGCTGATCAAGTTGGCATCCGGTTTCAGAACACAATGACTTACAGCTGGTAGCTCTGGCCAAGCTCCCTGGTCACAGATATTGCCCTTATCCTTCTCTGGACATTCATCCTTCCAATGTGCTTTCTTTTTGCGTAATGCACACTAATCCCTCTCCAGCCTTCTCTGGCCTTCAAATCCGGGCCACTTTGACCTCTTCATAACCATGACCATGACCACATCCTTGTCCCCTTACAATGCTAGTTTCTATTTCAACAACGGCTGCCACCAGTAGCTCGGCCTTTTTCTTAATCATCTGCTTAGCCTCCTTCCTTTCCTCCTGATCGTGGTTAACACATACTTTGGTGGATACTTCTATTAGCTGGGTGGCATTCATGCCTGCAAAACCTTCAAGATCCCAAAGCTTTTGTTTAATGTCTGCCTGTGCCTGACTAACAAATGACATATTCACCATGCACTGATTCTCTCTGTAGCCTCGGGGTCAAATGGGCTATAGAGCTGGTATGCCTCACAGAGACTCTCATAGGACTGACTTGGGCTCTCATCAGCCTTTTTAAGGACCTCTGAAATTTTTCCTATGTTCATTGCCTTTTTCCCTTCAGCTTTTATCCCATTTAAGAGTGCTTCCTGATATCTCTGCAGGCAGAGCTGCTCTTTTGCCTCATTTGGGTTCCAATTTGGGTCTGTCTCTGAGAACTGTTCCTGGGCATACCACCAGACATCATGTGTGCCATCAGGTGCATTGTTCTCTATCCACTGGAGGGCCTCTTTGGACACCCTCTGATGCTCCTTTGTATTGAACCATGTCAGAAGGAGCTGCTGGCAGTCTGGCCAGGTAGAATTGCGAGTCAGAAAAATGGACCGCAACAGGTCTATTACAGACTGGGGCTTCTCTGTATAGGATGGAGTATGCTGTTCCCCATTTAGGTGGTCTGTGATGGAGAAAGGCTGGTAGACAAAAATTCACTGCCCACCCCGGACCCGGCCTTGTTCATAATAATACGTCTGTGCTCGAGTCTCATGGAAGAGCATTTGCAAGGCTTGGGTGCAGCCTGACCAGAAGTGGCTTGCTGTTTAATCCTGCCTTTCCTCTTTGGTTTTTATGGGCAGGGGCTCAGGATCCCCTCCATGGGGTTATGCTGCTTGAGACTCACTTTTCTCTGAGCCTGATTCCTCGAGGGCCATTTGCTTTCTGCCTTGTCTTAGCCCTGACAAGGATGGGTGTATTGGAGCATAAGAAGGAGGAAACTTTCTTTCCTTGGAAAGCGTTTGGAAGACTGTTTTTTCCTGACTACTCTGTTGCTTTTTCTTCTCCTCTGAGGCTCCTATTGAGATAGACTTCTCAACTTCCTTAGGTATAGCTCAGGCTACCAGAGACTTACAATAACTTGTCAAATAAGGTTGTATCCATTTGGGATGTGTTAGAACCATGTTCAACCAGGAATCAATATATGGGAACTGATCTAGATTCCCAGGCTGTTCTCCAACCCCTGTCACTTCCTTAAACACATGGCCAATTTCTTCCCTATCTATTGTGTCTTTGGCAGGCCACACAACATTAAAAGAAGGCCAGTCTAATTCACAGAGAGTTCTCAACCTTTGGGGGGTCAGTTTTACCCCATAATCTCCTCCAAAGCGTTTCCCAGAATTATTTAACATGCACTCCAATGGAGAAGCTTTTGATGATTTTCCTCCCATTCCTCCTTTTATGACACACACTCACTCTACCTTTTGTTACAGACTGATCAGACTGGTTCCTATTACGGGAATTTCATGCACTGCTTAGCTAGGACAGTATCGTATTCCCACTGCAGCTGCTGCAGCTGTAGGGCAGCTCCTGTCAGCCTTATACAGATCGCTCTAGATCTGGTCAGCCACACACTGGCTCCAGAGCCCACAGTCCACATTAAGAGATCTGTGCCTTCACCTGTCATGCCCCATGTTGGCCCTTCCCAGAACTGTCTCTTTAATGTGCTTTCACATGCCTCTTCACTCCCAGTTCACGTTTTTTAATTAGGGTGGCAACTCATTCTTGCTACGTCTAGTTTCAGTTTTTATTTTCCTAAACTGACTTAGTGAGCCTCTTTCATGTGCTGTGACAGTTAGGTTGTAAGTTTCATCCAAACTGGCAGGTCACTCCCACTTTCCTCAGCCCCTCTGTGTTAGACGAGTAGTCACACCCTGGGAAGTGATTAGGCCCCCGTTTCATCCTTATGGGATGGGTCTTGACTTGGGGCTTCAGGCCTTACCACGTTTTTGAAGAATGCACGCAGCTCCTGGAATTGTCCTGTAGCCCCTTTGCCAGTTCCATTGTGCTGTTAGGGAAGGGCACCGGGATGCAGGAGAGCTGGTCTCCTCTCCAGTCTGAAGTTCTCCTGTCAGTGCCTAGGATTTCAGGTATCCCCTGCTCTTGGGCTCCAGTCCTATGGGCAAAGGAGACAGAACATTTGCCATCTCCAATCCTGGATGAGCCCCTAGAAAATGTTACAGGAAATCAGAGACTGGAGAGACTGATGGGGTCAAAGGACGATTTATTATTTAAGGTATACACTGGCTCAGTGGACTAGTGTCCAGAAAGTCTGAGCACCAAACAAACAAGGCAAGTATCTTTTATGCAGTTTTTGTTTTTTGACGCAGAGTCTCACTCTGTCACCCTGGCTGGGGTGCAGTGGTGTGATCTCAGCTCACTGCAAGTTCCACCTCCCGGGTTCACACCATTCTCCTGCCTCAGCCTCCTGAGTGGCTGGGACTACAGGTGCCTGCCACCATGCCTGGCTAAGTTTTTGTATTTTTAGTAGAGACGGGGTTTCACCTTGTTAGCCAGGATGGTCTTGATCTCCTGACCTCGTGATCTGCCTGCCTCGGCCTCTCAAAGTGCTGGGATTATAGGCATGAGCCACTGCTCCCGGCCTTTTATGCATCTTAAGGCAGGCAGTACATGAGGCAGGAAGCAGGCTTACAGAAGCGAGAACAAAAGCAGTTAATCATCTGTGACACGTCTTACATCTTTGATAAAACATGTTTTACAGCTAGTGGTTATCTATCTTGTGACCTTTCAGCTGTTCAGCAGTAAAACAGAAACTTAGAGAACTTACAAAATATGCAGAGGGTAGATATGGTTAATATTTCACAGAGAAGTAGTTAGTATTCTTTCTTAACTCGTACTTTGGAAGGGGGCTATTTGAGGCCTATTCCATCCTAACTCTAACAACAATTTTTAAGCAAGCTTTAATTTTCTTTTAATTTTCTACTTCACATTCCTTTTCTTTTCTCTAACCTTGTCTTCATGTTTTATTTCAGTAAGCTCTTCTTCAACCTCTAATATCCTTTCTTCCACCTGATTAATCTGGATATTGATACTTGTGTATGCTTCACAAAGGTTTTAGCACTGTTTTTCAGCTCCTTCAGGTCATTTATATTCTTCTCTAAACTGGGTATTCTAGTTAGCAATTTCTGTCACCTTTTATAAAGGTTCTTAGCTTTCTTGCATTGGGTTAGCACATGTTCCTTTAATTCAGAGGAGTTTTTTATTACCCACCTTCTGAAGTCTACTTCTATCAACTCATGAAACTCATTCCCCATCCAGTTTTCTGCCCTTGCTGGAGAGGAATTTCAATCATTTGGAGAAGATGAGGTATTCTGGTTCCTTAAATTTTCAGCATGTTTTTTGTTTTTTTTTTCTTATCTTCATGGATTTATCTGCCTTTGCTCTTTGAGGCTGATGATCTTTGGACAGGTTTTTTTAGTGGGGGTCCTTTTGTTGATGGTGATATTGTTTCTTTCTGTTTGTTTTTTTCTAACGGTCAGGTCCCTCTTCTGCAGGTCTGCTGCAGTTTGCGGGAGGTCCACTCCAGACCCTGTTTGCCTGGGTGTCACCAGTGGAGGCTGCAGAACAGAAAGGATTGCCACCTGCTCCTTCCTCTGGAAGCTTCATCCCAGAGGGACACTGGCCTGATGCCAGCCACAGCTCTCCTGTACAAGGTGTCTGTCTACTCCTGTTTGGTGGTATCTCCCAGTTAGGAGTCATGGGTGTCAGGGACCTACTTGAGCAGGTAGTCTGTCCCTTAGCAGAGCTGGAGCACTGTGCTGGGAGAATCCTTCTTGACAGATGCTGCTCTCTTCAGAGATGGCAGGCAAGAATATTTAAGTATGCTGTTGCTGGGCACATAGCCAGCCCTTTCCCCATGTGCTCTTTTTCCACGGAGATGGGAGTTTGTCTATAATCCCTTGAATGGGGCTACTGCCTTTCTTTCAGAGATGCCCTCCCTAGTGAGGAGGAATCTAGAGAGTCAGTCTGGCCACAGCCGCTTTGACATGCTTTGGTGAATTCTGCCCAGTATGAACTTCCTAGCCTCCTTAGCACTGTCAGGGGAAAACTGTCTACTCCATCCTCAGTAATGGTGGATGCCTCTTCCCCAACCAAGCCTGATCATCCCAGGTTGACTTCATGCTGCTCTGTTGGCAGCAAGAATTTCAAGCCAGTGGTTCTTAGGGTGCTGACTCCATGGGAGTGGGACCCACTGAGCAAGACCACTTGGCTCTCTGGCTTTAGCCCTCTTTCCAGGGGAGTAAATGGTTCTCTCACTGGGGTTCCAGGTTCCACTGGGAAAAACAAACAGACAGACAAACAAACAGCAACAACAAAAACAAAAAAGCTGAAGCTAGCTTGGTGTCTACAGCCACCCAGTTTTATGCTTGAAACCGAGGGCCCTGGTGGTGTAAGCACACAAGGGAATTTTCTGCTCTCTAGATTGAAGATCCCATGGGAAAACTGTAGTATCTGGGCCAGGTAGCACAGTGTTTCATGGCTTCCTTGGTAGGGCAGAGATTGGTTCCTGGCTTCTTGTACTTCTCTGGTGAGATAATGCCCTCTCTTGCTTTCTGCTCACTGTCCATAGGCTTCGCCCACTGCCTAAACATTCCCAATGAGATTAACTGGGTACCTCCTTTGTAAATGTAGAGATTATCCATTCACTTTCTGCATTGGTCTCAATGGAAGCAGCAAACTGGAGCTGTTCCTATGTGGCCATCTTGTCAGATCTCCCTGTAATTCTTGTCTTATTAAATTGTCTTAACAGAATTATCCACTGACAATGTCAATGTATCAGAAATATATGAGTTTATTTATTTGTTAATTTTTCATTCAACTACATATTTCTTTGTGTACACACTTTGAGTAGTTCTTCATTTAAATAATTGTAGTTATTTAGTAATACTTAGTAATATTAGCAGTAAAGAAATATGAACAAGAGTTTCTTTTCTTCTCAACAATTTTGGCTAACCAGACATCAATATAAATTTTATAAGATAATTTTTTAGTTCTGCAATGGAGAAACAAATTAGAGATTGACAGATTTATATAAAATTTAAAATAAAAATTTTCAATTCTGCACAGAAAAGTACAGCAATATGCTAGAAAAATATTAAGTTTGCAAATAAATTTGAAAAAAGATTTGCACTTTAAACATGTTAAATCTTAGAATTTGGGATCCAAATACATTGTTCTACATTTAGTTCTTTTTTATACTTCATATAATATTTTGTACTTTTAGTATACAATTATCACAACATGTATACATTTTTAATATTGATTTTATTATTTTTGTGTTATTCTAAATAAAATTATCTCTATAGTTTTGTTTCCATATTGTAGATTACTAGAGTTTAGAAACATTTCATTTAGGTGTTGATTTTTAATACTTGTATCTATGCATTAAAATATGCAAAATTTATATGAACGTAATTTATATTACTTTTTACATTTTTTTCTAATGACTTAGGCTAGAAGTTCCAAGGCAAAGTTAAGTGAAAGTAAAAAAAACAACGCATCCTCATTCCACATCTTATTTAAAAGTAAGCTTCCACTTAGCACTACTGAAGAAAAGAATACCTGTGAATTATAGTGCTCTCTATGAGAGAGGAAATTTTCCTTTCATTTCTAGTTTATTTACTTTTAATAATAAATGTTATATTTTTTGAAAATGTTTGTTGTATAAGCTATGATTATACTGTTCCTTATTATATTCTTATTCTGCATTGCATTTATTGGTTTTATAACTAATTTGTTATAAATTATTTAGGTACGTGACTCTTTTGGAAGGTATGTAAGCCTTGAGGTGTTGATGGATTTTAATTGTTAAGCATCCAATGTGATTCTTTATTGACAAAATGTATCTGGGTATGCATTTATTAACTCTGCATTTTATATGTTATTTATTTATTTAATTTTTGCTAAGTTCAGAGAATAGAGTATACATGCAGGTGTGTTACATGGGTATGTTGTGTACTATTGAGTTTTGGCCTTTAGTGTGCCCATCACTCAATTACTAAATGTTGTTTTGAATACTTTTTAACTCCCACTTTCCTTCTGTACTCTCCTTTTTTGATGTCTCTAGTGTTTATTATATCCCTCTATATGGCCATGTGTACTCATCGTTCACCTTCCACTTACATGTAAAAACATATGGTAAGTGATTTTCTGATTTTGAGTTATTTTACTAAAGATAATTGTTTTTAGCTCTGTGGATGTGATTGCAAAAACTGTAACATTATTGTAAATATTTATGGTTATGCAGTATTAAATCATGTATAGACACCACATTTTCATATTTTCAATTCAATCATACTTTGATGGAAACTTGGGTTAATTCCATGACCTTACTATATATATATATATATATATATATGTATGTATGTATGTATATATATATATATATATATATATATATATTTTTTTTTTTTTTTTTTTTTGAGACAGTCTCTCTCTGTCACCATGCTGGAGTGCAGTGGTGAGATCTGGCTCACTACAACCTCTCCCTCCTAGTCAGGATGGTCTTGATCTCTTCACCTCGTGATCTGCCTGCCTTGGCCTCCCAAAGTGCTGGGATTACAGCATGAGCCACTGCACTCAGCCAACCTTGCTATTTTGAATGGTGCCATGATAAACACAGCAATGCAGCTATGTGTTTGATATAACTCCTCTCACCACCACCACTTTGAGTAGATATCTAGTTGTGGCATTGCTGGGCCAAATGGTAGTTCTATTTTTATTTCTTTGAAAAATTTTCAACTGTTTAAATAAGAATTGAGCTAATTTTATTCTCAGGAACACTATATCATTATTCTATTTTTCTGCAATTTAGCCAGTGTTTGTTGATTTCTGAATTTTTGTAATAGTTATTCTGACTGCTGTGAAATATCTCACTGTGATTTTGATTTTTCTGCCTCTGATGATTAACAATGTTGAGCATTTTTTATCTATTTGTTGTTCACTTGTATGTTGTCTTTTGGGAAATATCTGCTCATGACTTTTGCCCACAGAATGTTTTCTTTTCCTGGTTAGTTATTTGAGTTTCTTCTAGAGTCTGGACATTAGCCCTTGTAGGAAATATTTTTTGCCTTTTTTTTTTTTAATATTCTACAGGTTATCTGTTTACTGTGTTATTGATTTGCCGTACTGAAGCTTATTAGTTTAGTTGTTGCATTTGTTCCTGTATTTGTTGCATTTGCTTTTGAGGTCTTAGCCATAAATATCTTTAAACTGTATTATTAAATAACACATTGTATGACTTATCTGTTTTATCTACAGTACATAAAAATTGTACTATTAAATAATAAAGTGTATTATTTATCTGTTTTACATACTGTTGGTTTTGCTTTGCTGGTATTTTGAGAATTTTTGCACTTAGGTTTATTGGAGACATTGGTCTGTAGCTTTCTCTTCTTGTATTTGTTTTGTTTTGTTTTTGTCTGGTTTTTATATTGAAATAACACCTGCCTTCTATGAGTTAGGAATAATTTTCTCTTCCTCAATATTTGAAATGTTTGCAGGAGGATTGGTATTAGTTTATCTTTGCATGTTTTGTAATATTTTGCTGTGAATCCATCTGCATCAAGGCTTTTTTTTTTTTTTTTGTCGGGTGGAAGCATGAATACTTGTTATTCAAGTGTTCAGGTTTCCGGTTTCCTCCTGGGTCAATCATAACAGGTTGTGTGTTTTCAGTAATTTGTTCATTTTCTCTAGATTTACTTGTTTGACAGTTAATAGTTGTCACAATGCATCTGGTAATCCTTTGTATTTCTGTGGTATCACTTGTAATGTCTTTTTTATTTGTTTTTAATTTATTTATTATTATTCATTTATCTTTATTTATTTACTGTTTATTTTGTGTTTGAGTATTCTTGATTGGCTTACTTGCAATTTACTAATTGTGTTTGTATTTTCAAAGAAATAGGTTTTATTTTGATCTTTAAAAAAATTTTAGTTGCTATTTGATTTAGTTCTTCTGCCTTTATTTCCATTATTTATTTTCTTCAGCTATTTTTGGGTTTGTCATGTTATTTCTTTTCCAGTTTCATGATCTGTGTTATAAGACTGTTAATTGGTAATCATTCTTCCTTTTCAATGTAGGCATTAAATATGTTAAACTTCCTGCTTAGCAGTTTTGCTGTATTCCACAAGTTTTGGTACATTGTGTTTTCCTTTTTGTTTGAGAAAATGTTTTTATTTTCATCTTAATTTTTTACAGAGTCAGTGATCATTTCACATCATGTTTTTCAATTTTTATTTATTTGTGTAATTTCCAAAAATTATCTTACTATTGATTACTAGTTTTATTCCATATTTAGTTAACAATATAATAATTTCAGTTTATTTGAATCCCTAAAATTTGCTTTGTGTTCTATTCTTGAGAATGTTGCATATGCTGAGAAGAATGTGTATTCTACAGATGCTGGAGGAAATGTTCTGCAAATATCTATTACATTTATTTGCCCTATTGTATAAAGTAATGATTGTGATTCTTTTTAAATTTTTATTCTAGATTATCTGCCTTCTAGATAATGAAATTGTAAAAGTCTGTTTTGTGATAAAAATGTCTTGAAGCCTTCAGCTGATCTTTAGGATTTTACTCTATTGTTTAAAATGTATAAATTTAAGTGTACAATGCAATTTTATTACATGATCATATTGTGTAGTGATAAAGTCATGGTTTTAGTGTATTAATCATCTGAATAATGTACATTGTACTCATTAAGTATGTCTCATCAACCAAGCTCTTTCCATCCTTCCACATTTCTGACTCTCCAATGTGTATCATTCTATACTTTATGCCCATGCTTACAATATTGTGAATATACAGTATTTGACTTTATGTTTCCAAGTTTGTTTGTTTTAGATCATGGCCTCCAGTTTTATACATGTCAATAGAGAGGACATGACTTTATTCTTTTCTATAATGAAATTGTATTTTATTATGTTTATGTAGCATATTTGTTTAATCTAATTATATGGTGATAATCAGTTTAGGTAATTCTATTGTTTTACTACTGTGAATAATGCTGCAATACTTATATGATATGTATTTTATATAATGATTTTAATATCTTTGATAGATACCCAGTAGTGGGATTGCTGGAACAAGTGGTACTTACAGTTTTAGTTCTTTGATAAATAACCATTCTGTTTTTCATAGAGCTTATACTAATCTATATTCCCACCAACAGTATTAAGCATTCTTTCTTAGCATCCTCATCATCTGTTTTTCTTTTTATGTAATAGCCATTTTGAGTGGTGTAATATGATATCTATCTTACGGTGGTTTTAGTTTGCATTTCTTTGATCATTAGTGATGTTGAACATTGGCTTATATGCATGCTGGCCTTTGGATGTCTTCTTTTGATAAATGACTATTCATATTATTAATAGCTTTTATTATCCTTTCAAAACTTAAATTTTGGTTTTCACAAACACATGAAGGTTTCTTACACAGTTAAACTCAGGTCATAGGGATGAGTTGTAAAGATTATTTCATCACCTGGAAATTAAGCCCAATACCCAATAGTTATCTTTTCTGCTTGTCTCCCTTTTTCTTCCCACCATCCTCAAGTAGACCCCACTGTCTGTTATTTCCTTCTTTGTTTTAACAAGTATTACTTAGCCCTAACCTTTGATGAAAACTATTGGTTTTCTCTTCCAGCATTAGCTTACTCAGATTAATACCCTCCATCTCCATCCATGTGCCTGCAAAAAAAAAACATAATCTTGCTTTTTTATATGTATATTGGCATAGTATTCCATGGTATATATATGCCATATTGCTTTATTCTATCATTAATGAACATTTATATTAATATCATGTCTTTGCTATTGTAAATACTGCTGCTATGAATATTCATGTGTATGTCTCTGTGTGGTAGGATGATTTATGTATCATCCTTTGGTACACACTTAGTCATAAAATTGCTTAGCCAAATGGTAGTTCTGCTTTTAGCCTTTTGCAGAATCACAATACTGCTTTCCACAATGCTTGAACTAATTTATGCACCCACAAACAGTGTATATATGTTTCCCTTTCTCTGCAGTCTTGCCAGCATCTGTTACTATTTCACTTTTTAGTAATAGCTTTTCTGACAGCTGTGAGATTGTATCTTATTGTGGTTTTGATTTGCATTTATCTAATCATCACTGATATTGAGCTTTTTTTATACATGATTATTGGCAGCATGTATGTCTTCTTTTAAAAAAAATCTGTTCATGTCCTTTTCCCATTTTTAATGGGGTTTTCTATTGGAATTGTGTTAAAGTTCTTTATAGATGTTGGGTATTAGACTTTTTCAGATGCATAGTTTGCAAAATTTTTCAGATTTTTGTCAGATGCACAGGTTGCAAAATTTTCTCCCATTCTGTAGGTTGTCTGTGTACTCTGTTGATAGTTTCTTTTGCTGTACAAAGTAACATTTTAATGGTTTTATTTGTTTTTCCTGTTGCTTGAGTTTATTATATATTCTAGATATCAGTGTATTTCTTTTGTTTCTACCCTGACCTTTGTAATTTATAATTTTCTACACATTGTGAGTAGTTTCATTTTGTTTTCCTAAAACTCTGAGTTGTCTTATTTGACTTTTTAGAGCTTTTTACTTTTAAGTGTTGGAATTTGTTGCTATCAACTTTTCTATTTTAGCGATATTTGATTTTTCTTTTTAATTTTATATATTGTGTTTACTTTTTTATTTGTCTCAACATTTAAACATTTTTATTTTTACTTTTTTTGGTTCATTGATTTTTCAGGAGCATGCTATTTAATTTTTACATATCTGTAAATTTCTGTAGTTTCTAATGTTTACTTTTATATTTTTAACTTTATAGTGTTATTTAATTGTGGTACAAATAGATATTAAATGTGATCTTGTTAAGTTTGTTGTGACTTGTTTTTTGTCCTAACATATAATCTATTCCACAAAATTTTCAAAGTGCAGGTTAGAATAATGTGTCTTCTACAGCATTTGGAGGAGAGGCTTTTATCTATTTCTGTTGGCTCCATTTTATCTAGAGCACAGTTTAAATCAGGTTTTGTGATTAAATCAAGTTGTGTTCATTGTCTGTGAATTATCTGACTTGCTGAAAGTGAGAGATTTAAGTGCCCTGCTATTTTAATATTGCAGTATTTCTTTAATTGTGATAATATTCTTTATCACAGTTTCTTTAATAGCTATAATGTTTACTTCATACATCCAAATGTACCATTGTTGGGTGATCATATATTTACACTGATTATATTTTTTTTCCAAATAGATCACATTGTCATGGTATCATGACCTTGTCCTTCTTACAGTTTTTCACAAAGTTTGTTTTATCTAATATAAATATAGTTACTTCTGTTTGCTTTGGATTTGCACTTTATGGAATAATTTTTTACATTCTTTCACTTTTTGGCTATACATTTTCTGAGAAGAAAGATGATAAAATAAATATTTTAAGAAATATATCCAGCTCTACAGATTATGTTTTATGTAATTCACCCAGTTAAAATACACAATGTGGCCAGGTGCAGTGGCCCATTCCTGTAACCTCAGCACTTTGGGAGGCCAAGGCAGGTGGATCACCTGAGGTCAGGAGTTTGAAACCAGACTGACCAACATGCTGAAACCCTACCTATCTCTACTGAAAAAACAAAAATTTGCTGGGTGGTGGTGTGCACGTGTAATCCCAGCTACTCAGTAGGCTGAGACAGGAGAATCACTTAAACCTGGGAGGCAGAGGTTGAAGTGAGCTAAGATTGTACCGTTGCACTTCAGCCTGGGCAGTAGAGTGAGACTCAATGTCAAATAAAAAAATACACAATGTATTTGCTTTAGGTATAATCACATATATGTGCAGCCATCAACATACTTTGTTTACAAACATTTTCATGTAAAATTAAGTGAAGAAATATTAAAATATTATATTCCTTTCTCCAGTCACATCTCAATCTTAATGAAGGATTAATTTGTTTTCTGCACGTATAACCTTTTTGTTTTTCTGTGTTCCATTCATTTTATAAGGATATGATAATATTTGGCCATTGGAATTGATGTTATAATGGCTGAAAAGCAGCATTTCAAACATAACTCATCCACTTAAAAAATAATGTGTCAAAAACCACATTTTGAATTTTTTTTTTTTTTTTTTTTTTGAGATGGAGTCTTGCTCTGTCACCCAGGCTGGAGTGCAGTGGCACTATCTTGGCTCACTGCAAGCTCCGCCTCCCGGGTTCACGCCATTCTCCTGCCTCAGCCTCCCAAGTAGCAGGGACCACAGGCGCCCACCACCTCGCCTGGCTAATTTTTGTATTTTTAGTAGAGACAGGATTTCACCATGTTGGCCAGGATGGTCTTGATCTCCTGATCTTGTGATCCGCCCACCTCGGCCTCCCAAAGTGCTGGGATTACAGGCATGAGCCATTTTGAATATTTTATCCAAAAATAATATTGGAATTTAACAGAGGAGTGACATTAAATAGCAAGAATTAGGAAGGAAAAAGTGAAAAGGCAGCCTGCTTGACCAGTAATGGCCAGGAGCTGGGAGTGAATTCCCACTCTCTGGAAAGGGTGAAAAAGCAGCTTTCTGTAGTCTGTGTTTTTGTTTTGTTTTTTGTTTCATCAAGTCATTTTATAATTCAGGCCACAGGACAGCACTTTAACCTTCTCTGTCACTGAATCCAATGTAGAAAGTTTCCAGACTTTGAGAAGAAACTGCTCCAGAGAGAGAGTTCATCATGAGCCCTGTGTCTTTTGTAAAATATAAGTGGCTATAACAAAGCTACACATTTGTCACTGACTCACCACTACTGTGTGCTGTCTCAGGTCCCAGAATTGCCCGTTCTAAGCACTAAGAAAATTCAGGTTATTGTTTGTGAAACAGATGCATGGACAGGGTGAGCTCCTGTGGAAGACTGCAGGAGCTCAATGTGGGCTTAGTCATCAGTGCTAGAAAATGGGTGCCACTTCCAGAACTTAAATGAGACACAGTAGCCATGCAGGCTTGGTTTTAATACAATGGCAGGCAGTGGGAAGTTTCTAGCATCCATGAGAAAGTTATAGACTAGGCATGGATTGCTGGGCTATACAGGTCAAACATATCTGCTGTGACAGCTAGGTCTGAGAAGACCCTGTAGGACTGAGGTGAGACAGAAATGCCTATTTCCCTCTCATTAGCCAAGGCTCTGATTGCTGAAGCTGGCCCCATTGTCTACATAGAAGCTGCCAATCTTCATCTGAGAATTTAGGCAAGTCTGAGGGACATCTTTCCCATGACCTTCATGGCTGGTGCATGCACTCACCATTAGGGAGACTGAGAGCAAAATTTTTCAGTTAGGCTCTGCTTGGCTTTGCCCCCATCTACCAAGAAAAAGTACACGGTCTGTGGCCTGGGGATTGTACAACAGAATCCACGAAGTGAGAAACCCAAGAACATCTCCTGGGGAACTGATGATGGGCCTAAATGCCTGATCACTCAAAATATTCCATCATATTAGCTGGTTCCTATATAAGGGCACCATCTGCTGGCCCAGAAAACAAATTAACACCCAAATATCTAATTGCAACCACTGCGAACAAGAGAGCACTGTGCTTGAGATGGAGCAGAATACCTCACCATTTCTAACACAATCACTTACTCTATGCCACTGAATCAGGGGCTCAAGAGCCTGCTTACCTGACTAGTTCATCAGTATCGTAACCAACACCTGAGAAAACCACCCAAAGGTCCAAGAATTGACCTGCCTGAAACTCTGAACACAAGTGCCAATGTAGGCTACTTTAAGACACAAGGATACACCTCCTTAACCACCATCAGTACCACTAAAGCCTGAAGATGGGCTTACCTGGAATTCTAGTACCCAATAAAACTTTATCACAGCCTCCACTAATAACCGCACCCTAACAACCCAAGAATTATATAAATACTATTAACACAGCTTACAGCTGAAGAAATAATGAAGAGATTTCACACCTGCATGCATCTGGAATCAAAGCCAAAGGTTTCTAGTCGACTAAAACCATAGACATTTCTAAGAGAAAGATCCCATCTCAACAAAAGTATTTGTTAAAAAAGGAAGAAGGTACTCTTACACCAGGTGCAAAAAATATCAATGTAAGGACAAAGAACACGTGAAGAAACAGAAAAAAAAAAAAACCACTTCTGATGGAATACAAAACGTTACCAGTAACGTATGTTAACTAAATATAAATTACTTATTTTTAATATTTCAACTCCTCTTTTACATGCAGAAGCTACATATTCTTGTATGTTACATGGGTATGTGATGTGCTGCTGAACTGCGTCATATAAATCTCATCACCCAGGTAGGAAGTATAGTACCCAAAAGGTAGTTTTCAACACAACTCTCTGCTTGCTTCCTTTCCCCTCTAACAGTAAACAGCGTCAGTTGTTCATGTGTGCTCAAATTTAAGCTTCAACTTACAAGTGAAAATATGTGGTAGTTGGTCTTCTGTTCCTGAAATAATTTGCTTAATATTATGGCCTTCAATGGCAACTATGTTTCTGCAAAGGACATTAATTTTTTCTTTTTATAACTGCACAGTATACAATTGTGTAATGTGCAACATATTCTGTATCTGAACCATCATATATGGGCCCCTGGATTGATGCAGTGTTCTTTTATATTGTGGACACCATGGTAATGATTATACAAGTTCATGTTTATTCTTGCATAGAAAAATTTTCCTTAGAGTATATACCTACAGCAATAAGATTATTGGGTTGAATGTTGGGTTGGTAGCACTATGTTATCTGACAAATCTCCAGACTGCTTTCCACAGTGACTGAACTAATTTACATTTACTCTCAAAATGTATCAGTGTTCCCTTTTCTCTGGAGCCTCATCAGGATGTCTTATTTTTTGATATTTAATAATAGTTATTCAGACTAGTGTGAGATGGTTTCACATTGTGGTTTTAATATGCATTTATCTGATGGTGAGTAATGATGAGCATCTTTTCTTATCTTTGTTGATCGCTTGTATATCATCTTTTGAAATACATGAGTTGTGTGTTTTATGCTTGTTTAAATATTTTTTAAACATAGTCACCCTGGTGAATCTGGTGACTATGTTCCTTGGAAGTGGTCATCTTGTTCTAGCCAGAGTTCACTGTATTTCCTAAATTTGCATGTCAACCTATCTAATGAGATTACAGAAATTTTCATGACCTTTATTTATTCTGTCTGTCTTCTGTCTTAGGAATGACAATAAGTCATAGACTTTGTCTCTTTAAATAATGCCATATTTTGCAGAAGTTCTTATTTTTACTTTAAATAATATTTTATTTATTTATTTTTTCTTTTAGCTGAATTGATCAGAAGTACGAGCCTTTGCACTCTGAGATTGTTTTTTTTCTGAGATTGGTGTATTCTGCTGTTGGTACTCCTGATTGTATTATAAAATTATTTTACTGAATTTGTAGCTCTGAAAATTTAATTTGGTTTATCTTAAAATGATTATTTTAGTTCTTGGTGGATTGATTCTCGGGAATTTTTGGATTAGTTTTCAGCTTTGTTCTGAATTTTGATTAGCTTCCCTATAATCCATAATGTCTTCTATTTAAGTCATTTCAGACTGGTTAAAAAGTATGGATGGGAAGCTTATGGTTTTACTGGGAGAGAAGGGGGTACTCTGGCTTTTTGAATTGCACTAGGTTGAATAACACAGGATTATTGCACAGATACATTCTTCTCTGTGAATGTTGTTATTCCTTTAATTTTGATATTAGTTTGATATTGGCTTTGTTTCTGAATGTTTTATAGAGACAAGGCTCTGTGCAGGGATTTTGTGGCTGAATTCTTGTGACTGGTTTCATAGAGGAGTATATTAGCAAAATATTTTTGGTTTTGTAGTTTAGGCTGTGATACAGCTGGTGACATTTAAGAGTAATAGCCAGCAGATAGGCTTTTACTAAACTTTTTTTTTTTCCCTCATGTTTGCAGCCATGCTCAGTGTTGTGGGAGGCAGGGAGGTGACACCCTCACCATGTCCACTACTGGGCTTGGGGAAGTCCCCTACTATTACTGACAGCATACCCACTTTTATTTTATTTTATTTATTTATTTAATTTATTTATTTCTTCATGCATTCATTTATTTATTTTAGAAAGGGTCTCACTCTAGCCAGGCACGGTGGCTCACGCCTGTAATCCCAGCGCTTTGGGAGGCCAAGATGGGCAGATCACCAGGTCAGGAGATCAAGACCATCCTGCCTAACATGGTGAGACCCCGTCTCTAATAAAAATACAAAAAAATCAGCCGGGCGTGATGGCAGGCACCTGCAGTCCCAGCTTCCCAGCTATTCTGGAGGCGGAGGCAGGAGAATGGCGTGAACCCCGGGAGGCAGAGCTTGCAGTGAACCCAGATGACGCCACTGCGCTCCAGCCTGGGAAACAGTGCGAGACTCCATCTCAAAAAAAAAAAAAACAACAACAACAAAACAAACAAACAAACAAAAAAAAAACAAAAAACAAAAAACAAAGGGTCTCACTCTGTTTCTCAGATTGCAGTGCAGTGGCAAGATCTCGGTTCACTGCAACCTCCGCCTCCTGGGTTCAAGTGATTTTTGTGCCTCAGACTCCCAAGCAGCTGAAACCGCAGGCAGGCACCACCACAGTTGGCTACTTTTTTGTAATTTTAGTAGACAGAGTATTTCTCCCTGTTTGCCAGGCTGGTCTCAAACTCACTGGCCTTAGTTGATCCACCCACCTCACCCTCCCAAAATGCTGAGATTACAGATGTGAGCCATAGCACCTGGCCCATACCCACATTTCTTCTGTTATATGTTTCAGTCTGTGAGGCTCCTTTGGAAAGAGTCAATGACTGGGAGATAAGTCACACTTTTTCTGTACTAGCTTTGTGAAGGAAGGCATGTTATGCTCCCACACCAGCCCATGATGAATAAATCACCCTTGTCAGTTCTCCAAGAGTGTGGACTCTTTCCCAACTTATCTGCCAGCTGTGATTCTCAACATTCCTGAGCTGCGTGCTGCAGCCCTTTGGTGCCAGGTTAGGCATATGGCTTTATTATCCATATGTTTGAAACACAGTTCCCATGTTCCAGGTGCACTGAGAGATCTAAAGTGCTCCAAGACTGCAATGAAGGAATATACCTTCTATGTGCATCAGAAGCTGTGCTGTGCACTCAATCCTGGTAAGGAGGTATGGCTCCTGGGAGGCACTGGGAGGTAGGTGTGCCTGCAAAACAGACATGCCCAAGTCCTGCAGGGAAGCTGGCTTTACTTTCTTTTATACCTATATAGCTAGGGCTAGGTTTTCTCTAAGAAATGTGAAGCGCTTTCAGGGAATGGACACCTATGACTGCACAGTGAGCTGCTCCACACACAAAGGCTCTGCGCTGGCTGAAGCATTGCTTTTCTTACTCTCTGGGAAGATTACTTTGCCAGCTCAAATGTTCTTAGGGGACATGTTGTCCCCAGGACCTAGAATCCCAGTGCTCTAGGGAAAGAGTTGGAAATTCCACAGCTTTTTCACTCACCAATTTCCCCTGAGAAATTTAGGACAAAGAACTTCCCCGAGCATTCAAGTTTCTCATAGTGGGTTCCTAGCTTGTTCCTTCTAGAGCATTAGTGTGTGCATCATATCTCCATGCACTCTCCACATTTTCTTTCTAAAAATCTGTACAAATTATGTTTGTTTACTTGGAATGTTGGTGTCTACTAATGGGAAAAGAACTTTCTGGCTGCATCAAATTGTTCTTCTTGCCCCTGAAGTCTGAAAATAAATTCCTTAAATTACACATAAATAATTCACAGTATACATTTTTTAAAAGCTCAAGGAAAAGCAATAGTAAACTGAAATCAGAATTTAGAGAAACACAGTTATACAATAAAAAATTTTCAAGGAGATACATATTTTTAAAAAATAAAAGTAAACAATTATGGAGATGAAAAATGTATTGGCCAGGCGTGGTGGCTCATGCCTGTAATCCCAGCACTTTGGGAGGCCGAGGCGGGTGGATCACAAGGTCAGGAGATCGAAACCATCCTGGCGGACATGGGGAAACCCCGTCTCTACTAAAAATACAAAAAAATTAGCTGGGTGTGGTGGCGGGCACCTATAGTCCCAGCTACTTGGGAGGCTGAGGCAGGAGAATGGTGTGAACCTGGGAGGCGTAACTTGCAGTGAGCAGCGATTGCACCACTGCACTCCAGCCTGGGCAGTACAGCAAGACTCCATCTCAAAAAAAAAAAAGAAAGAAAAAAAAGAAAAATCTACTGAGCATACAAAATACATTAGAAACTTTTAATAATAGACTAGATATAGCAGAAGAAATAATCTTAGAACTTGAAGACATATCTACTAAAATAATCCAGTCAGAAAAATATGAAGAAAAACTATTAAAAATGTTTAGCACAGGCTTTGAGTCATTTGGGACAACATAAAATGACCCAATGTAGAAACAATCATTATTTATAAGAGTGAAAGAAAATTAAAAGGTCCAGAATATTATAGAAATCAAATGTACATGTTAAGCTAGCCTTGGGAAAATAAAATTTATTGTCAGTTGTTACTCCTGTGACTGACTGAAGACATTTCCATGACACCTTATCTAGTTAAAAAAGCAAAGTAGTATGTAGACAATCACTCTTTGAACATATTATCTGGGATGGAACAAGGAGTAGAACAGAAAGTAAAGGAAAACTCCATATGCTGGGAGAGATTAGAAGGTCAGGCAGCCTATGTGGCCAGGACCAGCCAAAACCTGGGAATAAATACTCTATATAGAAGATAGGTGAGTATCTTTTGGCAGCCTACTTTTTAGTTGGATCTTAAAGTACAGACCATATGACAGCACCGTGATTCCGTCAGCCCCTGAATTTAACTTGAGAAGTCACTGGGAGACAGTGAGTAAAAACTTCTCTGAAAAGCATAACATACTTAGTGACTTGGGTAAGATGCCATTCTTGATCCTAGCAAATTGTGGCTGGTTTTGGGAGCTAGCAACAGCAGCACCTCTTGGCATCAGAAAAACTTAAGCTGTATATAATGCAATGGGACTCAAGTGGGAAATATGATCCCACAGCCGGAACTAATAAAAAATATGGAGTGGGTTCTAGCCTCTAGCACTATACCTGGCCTTCCTCCAATTCCACGAGTTGAGCAAAAGAAGAGCTCTTAAGGATGTTTGATGAGTTACCAGCTAATGTCTCCTATGACCCAGGCTATGATGGTGTACATCAGCAAACTGCAGTGACTAAATAAATATCCACAATCTTGTCACAGTTGGCTTAGAGGGAATGAAGTCTGCTGGGACTGGGAGGTGAGAAGAAAGCAGGTTCCATTTCACCAACAAATACTTTGGTGCTGGAAATGCATGCTTTTGTTTGTGATGAGAGCTCAGCCTAGGAGTAGTTGCCTATTGCCCAGACATTTTGACAGAACAATGAGGACTCTTTCATTTTTAACATCAGGGCTCGTGCCTGCACCTGCCTTTGAGGCCTGATTGCAGGATTTACTAGTCCAGCTATGGATAGCTTTACCACATTCTCTGAGACACAGTGTGGGATCCAGGCCACTGGTCATTCCACAGCTGAATTCACCCACTGAAATATCCATGCACTTTTCTCAGAGAACAGTTGATAGACAAAATCTTACTGTTGTAGTTTTGCCAGTGTAACAAGATGAAGCAGTTTCTCGTTTGTGATGACATCTGGAGTTTTTTGTTCTACCCTCAAGAAAATTAAGGAGTGCAGAACAGTATAGTGAGGTTGGAGCAAAAGTTAAATAAGTGAAATAAGAAAGTTCTCTGCCAGAAGAGAGGGATTCTTGAATGAGTTACTCCACATGAGGCTGAGGTTTAGGAATTTTATGAACTGGGAAGGGGAAGGAGGAATGTGCTTAGTCTGCAAGCTGTCCTGGATAGTGCTGACTTAGCTTGGCCTGGGACCAGTTAAAAACTTGGCCAAAGACCTTGGCCCAGGACAAATCAGAGGCTGAACTGATGATTTATAGACTCTGTTTAGCTTGGCCAGGGATCTATTTAGAAGCTGAAGTGAAAGCTTAA
The DNA here is from genome assembly GCF_000001405.40 of Homo sapiens. Taxonomy (NCBI): domain Eukaryota; kingdom Metazoa; phylum Chordata; class Mammalia; order Primates; family Hominidae; genus Homo; species Homo sapiens. The sequence goes on from NC_000024.10 coordinate 21,267,073, forward strand.
CCCAGGACCTTGGACCAGAGCCAATCTTAATCCAGAACTTGGGCCAGGGGCTGAAGTGATGCTTTACAGAGTCTGGGCTCACACTTTGCACAAGAAAGCAAACTATCCATTGAAACCCACTGGAGCCCACTGTGTTTATGATCACAAAATGAGAAAAAACTTCCTGGGAACCTACAGATTATACAAAGGATAATGGCATTCTTATGTTAGGTCTTATTTCCTTATCTGAGTGAACAAGAGGTTTGTACAAATTTTTATCTGAATGGGCTGGGATTTACCGTATTTGTGCAGCCATGGGCATGTCTCCAGGTACAACAGCCTGTGATAGTTTCCTTATGATGCCTGCAGCTTGATTTTTTTTCCAGCCTGCTTTGTTTCTTGCATGGGGATGAGGAACTGACCCATGGGTTGGGGACTGTCCAGAGTCTCTTCCCTTGTTACCTACCTAAGGCAAACTAACAGTCTCCTTTCATTACCACCATATTAGCAGCTGGCTCTTGTCTTCAATCATTACTTATTGCACTTGAGGCCAGCCCACAAAGCCCACTGTAAAAATTGCTAACACAAGAGTACAGAATGTGGGAAAAAGGAGAGCTTCTCAAGTCACTGGTAGCACTCTTGCCTGGTCACTCCAACTAATAAAAGGGTTTTACCCAACTCATCCACCAGCCAAATTGATACTACAACTAGGATTTCACCACATGACAACATTCCACTGAACCACAAATAAAAAGATTGAGAATAAAAAAAATCAACTAGAAAAAAAATTAAGCATATAATGAAGATAAAACCTCACATATCAATATTAACCTTGAATGCATAATCGCTAAATATTTATAATCCAATTAATAGCTCTATTTGGTTGAGAGGCTGAGGTGGGTGGATCACGAGGTCAGGAGATCGAGACCATCCTGGCTAACATGGTGAAACCCGGTCTCTACTAAAAGTACAAAAAAAAAAAAATAGCTGGGTGTGGTGGCGGCCGCCTGTAGTCCCAGCTACACGGGACGTTGAGGCAGGAGAATGGTGTGAACCTGGGAGGCAGAGCTTGCAGTAAGCCGAGATCGTGGCACTGCACTCCAGCCTGGGCTGGAAAAAACAGTCTCAAAAATAAATAAATAAAATAAAAAATACTGTATTTGGTCAGGCACAGTAGCTCACACCTATACTTCTGGCATGTTAGGGAGGCCAAGGTGGATGGATCACTTTAGTCAAGGAGTTTTAGATGAGCCTGGACAACATGGTGAAAACCCATCTCTACAAATAAAATGCAAAAATTAGCAGGGCATCATGGCATGTTCTTGTAGTCCCAGCTAATAAATAGGCCGAGGTGGAAGGATGGCTTGAGCTCCTGAGACACAGGTTGTAATGACTAAATAAATATCACACAACAACACTCCTGATTGGGCAACAGTGCCAGACCCTTCTTCAAAAAAAAAATATATATACACACACACATACACACACACATATATATTTGAAAAAGTGAATAAAAAATGTTCACTGCCTACAAGAAATTCAGCTTCCCTCTAAAGACAAATATAAACTAAATGTATACAAACAGAGAAAGATAATCCAAAAAACCTATAAAACAAAAGTTAGCAGAAGTGGCCACACTTAAATGAGAGAAAATTCTTTGAACTTAAAAGTAATCCAAAAAACCTATAAAACAAAAGTAAGCAGAAGTGGCCATACTTACATGAGAGAAAATTCTTTGAACTTAAAAGAGTAAAAAATATTAAAATGTCCATATATAATGATAAGAAATTGATTCAGAAGGTGAATAAAACAACTAAGTACACATCAAACACTATTGCTTCTAGATTTATGAAACAGATATTACTAAATAAAGAGATAACAATGCAATACTATGGGAAAGTTTAGCACACCACTTAGAGGATTAGATAGACCAGTGAGACAGAAACCCAAAAAGAAAGCCTGAACTTGTTAAATTAAACATTTCACAAAAGAGACCTAACAGATGTATACAGAAATTATATCAAAAAACTTCTGCAAAATGTAAATTCTTATTAGTACATGCCATTTGATTAAGAGAGATTATATGTTAGGCCACAAAACAAGTCTTAATAAATTTTAATAATTCAAGATCATATTAATGTCTGCTTTGACCACAGTGTAATAAGCCAAAAATTAATACCAAGAACTTTGAAAACTGTACAAATACATGAAAAGTAAACAACATGCACTTGAATGATCACTGAATCAACAATGACAATAAAATGATTTTAGCTGAAATAAATTGAAAAGAAAACACAACATACCAGTCTCTGATAAACTCCAAATAGTATTAATAAAGAAGCTTACACTACTCAGTGCCTACATTAAGAAACAAAAACAATAAAAAATTAACAGCCTATTATTGCACCTCAAAAAACTAAAAATAAATAAATAAATAAAAACAAAAAAAACAAACTCAGTGTTAGCAGAATAAAAGACATAGCAAAGATCAGAGAAAAACTAATAATAGAAAGCAAAAACACAATACCAAAAATTAACAAAATGAAAAGTTGTTTATTTGAAAAGACAAATACAACTAATAAACCATCAACTAGAATAACAGAGAAAACAGAAGATAAAAGATGCAAGTAAACAAGTTGAAAATGAAAAAGAAAACATTACAACAAGTGTCACAGAAATAGAAAAGTGTATTAAGAGACTGCTATGGACATCTGTGAATTCAGAAACTAAAAAACCTAGAGAAAATGGTTAAGTTTCTGGAAACATGAAGCCTTCTAAAATTGTAACTAGAAAAAGGAGAAAACCAAAACATATCAAGAATGAGTAGCAAGGTTGAATAACTATTTTTTTTAAAACCCAAAGGGAAGTACAAAAACATACAAATTTACAGACAAATTTCAGTAGCCATACAAAGAACTAATGCCAATTTTTCAGAATCTATTTCAAAATTTGAAGAGAAGATACTTATTCTCAGCTCATTCTATGAAGTGAATATTATCATCATACTAATACCAGAAAAAGACACACTCATACACACAAGACATGCACAAATCCAAAACAACAAAACATATTCATTATGAGTGTGGCCACAAAGGTTCTTAACAAAATATCAGCAAACTGAACCCATTGGCACAATAAAAAGAATTATACATTATGAGCATGTGGTTGATATACCAGGGATGAAGGGACAGTGCATTACATTTAAATCAACAGAAGTAATAGAAATAATAGTTTTCTTTAAAAATTTGCCTATCTTTATAGATAAAAACATTTGATCAAAGGATTTCCTTATGAAAAAAAAAACCCTTATCAGACTAGGCTTATACAGAACATACCTCAAAATACCATCTATAATAAACAATCTATAATAAACCAATAGCCAGCATCATATTGACTGAGGAAGAATTGAAACTTTATCTGTAATTACTGGTAACAGACAAGAATGCTGATTTTTACCTCTCCTAAAAAACACATTATTGGAAGCCCTAAGCCATCAGGCAATAGCTACAAATAAAAAGCATTCAAATTGTAAATTACGAAGTGAAATAATTTCTCTTCACTGATAATATGATCGTATATCTGGAATATCTAATAAATGAATTCAGTCAATCTTCAGAAGGCAACATTCAAAAATCAGTTTATAAAAATCAGTTGTGTTTCTACATACCAACAACAATCTAGTTGAGAATAAAATTAAGAATGGATTCTATTTGCAATAGAAACAAAAAATACTTAACTAAAGCAATGAAAGATGACTACAATGAAAACTACAAAACACTAATGAAATAAATATTAAATCACACAAAAATGAAAACACATGCCATTCTCATTGATAATAAGAATTAATATTATTAAATGAGCATAGTGCTCAGAGCAATCTACAGGTTAAATTCAACTGTTAAAAAAATATTGATTTTATTTATCACCAAAAGATAAAAATTAATTCAAACATATATGGAAGAAACCAAAAAGAGCATGAATAACAAAATGATTCCAAGCAAAAAGAACAAAGTTGAAGACATTACCTGATTTTAAATTTTATTAGCAAGTATAATAAAAATAGTATGGTTTTTATATAGAATTAGACACATAATTTAACAGAACAGAATACAGAAGCCAGAAATACAGCCACATATTTCCAGCTATTGATATATATAGTCCACTAATCTTCAATCAATTGGACAAAAACACACACTGAGAAAAATGATATTCTTCTAAATAAATGGTACAGAAATAATTTGATTGCATTATTCAGTGGAAGGACACATGAGATCCCTTTCTTTCGCCATAAAGGAAAATCAAATCCAGATCAACTAAAGACTAAAATGTGGACACGAACTTACAAATGTACTTGAAAAAAAAGAAAAAACACTCTGAGCATTGTTGTAGGCAAATATTACAAGATTAAAATCTAAAAAGCATAGGAAACAAAAATAAGTAAGAGCAACTTAAACCAAAAATACTCTGCACATCAAAAGAAATCATCTAGAAACTGAACCCACAATTTACAGATTGGGTAACATTTTTCAGTAAATTTTGACAGGGGACTAATTTATGAGAAACTCATATACAATGCCTATATCCCCATTGTATCTTGGAGTTAACTAAGTGTTTTGTATTTTTTTTTTTTTATTTTACAAGTTTATAGGTGGAAGAGACTTGCCTTATCTCAGACGAGACTTTGGACTTGAACTTTTGAACTACTGTTGTGATGAGTTAAGAATTCATAAATTTATGAGAAACTCAAGTTCAACAAAAGAATCTTATTAAAAAGTGTGTTTATTTGTCTTATTCTCACACTGCTATAAAGAACTGCCTGAGACTGGGTAGATTATAAAGAAAAGAATTTAAATTGATTTACAGTTCCACAAGTTGCTCAGAAAGCATGGCTGGAGCACCTCAGAAAAGTGACAATCATGGCAGAAGGGAAAGGAAAATCAACCAAGCCTTCACATGGTGGTTGTAGAGAGCAGAGAAAGTGCTACACACTATCATGAGAAAAACAGGAAAAAATCTGCCCTCATGATCCAACCACCTTCCACCAGGCTCTTCTTCCAACACTGAATATCATAATTATACATGAGATTTGGGTGGAAACAAAGTCAAACCGTATCACTTCACCATGCCCTCTCCCAAATCTCATGTCCTTCTCAAATTTTAGAACAAAATCATGCCTTCCCAAGAGCCCCCAAATTCTTAACTCATCACAACATTAGTTCAAAAGTTCAAGTCCAAAGTCTCATCTGAGATAAGGCAAATCTCTTCCACCTATAAACTTGTAAAATAAAAAAAAATACAAAACACTTAGTAACCTCCAAGATACAATGCGGATATAGGCATTGTATAAATGCTACCATTCCAAAATGGAGAAATTGGCCAAATGAAAGGCGCTATAGGCCCCATGTAAGTCCAAAATGTATCAGGGCAGTTATTAAATCTTAAAGCTGTAAAATAAGATTCTTTGACTCCATGTCTCACATCCAAGCCATTTGATGTAAGAAGCAAGCTTCCCAGGAACCAAGCACCCCTACCCCTGTGGCTTTACAGGATACAGCCTCATTGGCTGCTTTTACAGGCTGGCATTAAGTGCCTGTAGCTTGTCCAGGTGCATGGTGCAAGCTATTGGTGGATCTATCATTCTGAGGCCTGAAGGACAGTGGACCTCTACTCACAGCACCACTAGGCAGTGCCCCTGTGGGGACTCTGTGTTAGAGATCTAGCCCAATATTTCCTTCTGCATTTCACTACTAGAAGTTCACTTTGAGGAATCTGCCCCTGCAGCACATTTCTGCCTAGACATTCAGATGTTTCCATACTTTCTCTGAAACAAGGGAGAGGCTTCCAAACCACCATTCTTGTCTTCTGCACACCTGCAAGCCAAACACCACATGGAAGCTGCCAAGGCTTGGGTTTGCACCCTTTGAAGTAATGGCCCAAGATGTACCTTGACCACCTTTAGGTACATTTGGAGCTGGAGCAGCTGGAATGCAGGTTGCCAAGTTCTGAGTCTGTCTATAGCGGTGGAGATTTGGGCTGGCCCACAGAACCATTTTTCCTTCCAAAGCCTTCAGGCCTATAAGGGGCAGGGTTGCAGCAAATGTATGGAAAGTACACTGGAGGCATTTCCCCCATTGCATTGTTTATTAACATTCAGCTCTCCTTTACTTATACAGATTTCTGCTGCCTTGATTTCTTTTCCAGAGGATGGAGGGTTGGTTTTGTTTTGTTTTGGTTTGGTTTTGGGTTTTTTTTTTTTTTTTTTTTCTGAAATGGTCAGGCTGCAAATTTTTCAAACATTTATTCTCTGCTCCCTTTTTAAACGTAAGTTCTAGTTTCAGGTCAATGATCTATGTAAATGCATGTGGGTTTTTATAAGCAGCCAGGTCAATTCTTGAAGGCTTTGCTGTTTAGGAAATTTTTCCCTCAGATACTCTAAATGATCTTTCTTAAGTTCAAAGTTCCACACATTTTTAGAGCATTTCCACAATGCAGCCAGTCTGTTTTTGCTAAAGCATAGAAAGAGTGACGTTTGTTCCAGTTCTCAGTAACTATCTCACCTTCACGTCAAACTTCCTCAACTGGGACTTCACTGTCCATATCACTGTCATCGTATTGGTTACAGCCATTTGAATAGTCTCTAGGAAATTCCAAACTTTTCCTCACTTTTCTTCTTCTTCAAAACCCTCCAAACTTTTTTAGCCTCTCCCTGTTACTCAGTTCCGAAGTCGCTTCCACATTTTCAGGCTTTTTTTTTTTTTTTTTTTTTGAGGTGGAGTCTCGCTGTGTCGCCCAGCCTGGAGTGTAGTGGCGCGGTCTCTGCTCACTGCAAGCTCCGCCTCCCAGGTTCACGCCATTCTCCTACCTCAGCCTTCCTAGTCGCTGGGACTTCCGTCGCCCGCCACCACACCTGGCTAATTTTTTGTATTTTTTAGTAGAGACAGGGTTTCACTGTGTTAGCCAGGATGGTCTCGATCTCCTGACCTCGTGATGTGACCGCCTTGGCCTCCCAAAGTGATGGGATTACAGGAGTGAGCCACTGCGCCCGGCCCATTTTCAGTCATTTTTATTGCAATGCCTCACTTCCCTGGTACCAATTTCGTGTATTAGTTATTTCTTACTGTGCTATAAAAAACTACCTGAGACTGAATAATTTATTTGAAAAAGAGGCTTAATTGACTCACAGTCCTGCAGGTCGTACTGGAAGCATTACTGGGAGTCCTAAGTAAACTTACAATCATGGCGGAAGGGCGAAGGAAAATTAAGCACAACTTCACATGGCAGCAGTACAGAGAGCAGGGGGAGGTATTATACACTGTAAAACAACTTGATTTCAGGAGAACTCACTTATTAACATGGGAGCAACAAGGGAAACTCCTCACCCATGATCCAATTCCCTCCTACCAGGCACCTCCTGCAACACTGAAGATCACAATTCAACATGAGATTTGGGTCGGGAAAGAGAGTCAAACTGTATCAGTGGGCAAATAACATAAGCATCCTTTTTCAAAAGAAGACATACAGATTACAAAGAGTAATTTGCAATTTTTAAAGTTAATAATTATCAGAGAAAAACAAAGACATAATGTGATATAATCTTACAGTTACCAAATTGCTGTTGTTCAAGGGGCAAAAAAAAATAACTGATGTTCAGAATATGCCAAGAGAACTAGTTTTCTTATATACCATCGGTGGAAATGGAAATTTGTACAACCTTTATGAGAAACAGTTTGGTGATTTCTCTAAGAACGAAAAATAGAGCTATCATTCCACCTAGCAATTTCACTACTGTGTAATCAATAAGGAAAATAATAAGTGTTGGTGTAGATGTTGAGAAGGTAATACCTTTGTAAACTCTTGGTGGGAATATAAATTAGCATAGAAATTTTGGAAGAGTTTTAAGGTTCTTCAGGAAGCTAAAAATATAATTACCATATTATTCAGCAGTTTCACTCTTTAGTATATATCTAAATAAATTAAAAGACTTGTGTTAAGAGATATTTGCAGTCCCATTTTTATTTCATCATTATTTATAATGGACAACACATGCAAAACCACCCAACTGTCTATCAATAGCTGAATTAATAAAGAAGAAGTGGTACATAAAAAATGGAATTTTGTAAAGTCATGAAAATACGTTACGGGTGACTATACAAATGTAACTAGAGTACTTGCTGTTAAGTGAAATAAGCCAGGCACAGAAAACCAAATAGTTCATTATCTCACTTACATATGAAAAATTCAAAAGTTAATCTATAAGAACAGTGAGGAATAAGATAGTTACTGGAGTCTTACGAAAGGGAGAGAAATGGATAAAGAAAAAATGTTGATCAGAAAATATAAAGTTGCAATTAGATTGGATGAATACATTTACCAATGTATGACATTGCCTGATGACTACCATTAGCAGTAATAGATTGAGGACTTCAAAACTGCTTACCTTGGTTTTTAACATTTTCACCACAAAAATTAAGGAGGTGATCAATATACATTAATTATCTCTTTTGAATGTGTTTCTTAGATAGATAGATAGATAGATACATAGATACATAGGTAGACAGATATTGAAGCATCACATTTTACTCCATAAATGTTCACAAGAATTATTTGTCATTTAAAATATTTGGGAAGAATTAAACTGGTTTTAACTTCTGAAACATTGTATCCCTTGAATATTACATTATGCATACTTGAGAATAATGTGTCTTGTGATTTTCGAAGTTGTTTTATATATAATTTTTACACATTACTTCTACTCATTTTACAGCATTAAGTTATCCAATTTCTTATTGATTTTGTGTCTGTTTTTTTCTTATTCATGTCAAAAATTAGTTATGAAGTTTCTATCTCTCATTGCAAAACTTCCTTATATCTCCTTTCAATTTTATGATTTACTTTATATACGTTTAATAGCTCTCTTTTGGTGCTCATGTTTCTACTTACAATATCTTATTTCTGTATCAAAAATTTATATGTATATATACATATATATACATTGCACAGAAATGCTATATATATATATGTGTGTGTGTGTGTGTGTGTGTGTGTGTCATAAAATGTTTTATGTCTTTGACTTAAAGTTTATTTTACCTGAAAATACCAGCCTCCATAAGCTAAGTCTATTTCTTTACACTTTCCATGGGAGGATTGTTTTTCTTTTTTGGGGGGGAGTCTAACTTTTGTCACCCAGGTTGGAGTTGGTGATTATCTCAGCTCACTGCAACCACCCTCTCCCAGGTTCAAGCAATTCTCCTGCCTCAGCAGCCCAAGTAGCTGGAATCACAGGCACCCACCACCATGCTTGGCTAATTTTTGTATTTTTAGTAGTGACAGGGTTTCATCATGTTGTCCAGGCTGGTTTCGAACTCCTGACCTCAGGTGATCCACCCACCTCTGCTTCTTAAAGTGCTGGGATTATAGGTGTGTGCCACTGGACTGCTTTTTATTCTTACATGTTATACCTCTTTTTTGTAATTATTTTAAAGGTGATTATCTTGTGGATAGCATTAAGTATTATTTTTTAATTTTTCCACTGTGTCAATCTTGTTTTTTTCAAGGTATAAAGAGTTTATTATAATAATTATGATCTTATTCAACTCTTAAAAAGGGTTTATTATAGTAATTATAAGGTCAGGGAGTTCAAAACTCAAGAACTCAGCCTGAAACACCATAGCAGGTAGTTGTCAAAAATTCTCATGACAGCCACTGTGAATCTCATGTATGCTTATATTTGTTAGTTTCCAACTGCCTCCAGAGAAGTGGTTTCTCCTCTTGGGCCCTATAAATCTCTCTCTTTTGAAAATTATTTGCCTATTTATATATTGTATACATTTTATGTTTATTTTTACATTTTTAGAGATAGGCTCTCACTCTGTCACCCAAGCTGGAGTACAGTGATGTGACCGTAGCTCACTGTAACCTAAAAGTCCAGGGCAAGTTTAATACTTTTTTTTTTTTTTTTTTTTTCCCCCGAGACAGAGTCTCGCTCTTTCACCCAGGCTGGAGTGCAGTGGTGCGATCTCGGCTCATTGCAAGCTCCGCCTCCCAGGTTCACGCCATTCTCCTGCCTCAGCCTTCCGAGTAGCTGGGACTACAGGCGCCTGCCACCACGCCTGGCTAATTTTTTTTTTATTTTTAGTAGAGACAGGGTTTCACCATGTTAGCCAGGATGGTCTTGATCTCCCAAGCTCGTGATACATCTGTCTCGGCCTCCCAAAGTGCTGGGATTACAGGCGTGAGCCACCTCGCCTGGCCCCAAGTTTAATTCTTATACACATAATACAATTACTAAAAAGCAAGTTGTCTTCACTTTACCTATTTATCTTGTTTCTTATATACTTTATGTTTCTCAATTCTATCTTTTATTAAAATTGATTATTTAGCTGTACTGATTTGAATTCATTCTTATATTACTCTCTGCATATATTTGTTATTTCTTGGATTTATGCATATATTTCAATGTGCAACTTAAATTTACAATATTCTACTTTGAATAACAATTTGGTTTCATACTATGCAAATGTTCTGCTTCTATCTTTATTTTTTCGCCTTTACATGAGTATATTCATAGACTGCAACATCATAAATGGTATGCTATTTAGCAACAATTTGTATTATGTTGTGCAATTATTAAGTCATCTAGAAAAATGTGACAAATTATATAAATATATGATAACATTGCATTTCATATTTACTAAACATTTATATTTACTAGTGTTATTCGTTTTTCTCTTGGCCTTAAGGGTCATCTACTATTCTTTTATTTCAACAAGAAAGATTTTTTTTTACATTCCTTCTTTCTTTTTTTTTGAGGCGGAGTATCGCTCTGTTGCCCAGGCTGGAGGGCAGTGGCACAGTCTCGGCTCACTGCAAGCTCCGCCTCCTGGGTTCTGCCATTCGTCTGCCTCAGCCTCCTGAGTAGCTGGGATTACAGGCGCCTGCCACCATGCCCAGCTAATTTTGTTTTTTTTGTTTTTTTTTTTTTTTGTATTTTTAGTAGAGACGGGGTTTCACCGCTTTAGCCAGGTTGTCTCAATCTCCTGACCTGGTGATTCGCCCACCTCGGTCTCCCAGTGTGCTGGGATTACAGGCCTGAGCCACCGCGCCTGGCCAGCATTTCTTAAAGAGCAGTTCAACTAGTTTTTAGTGTTTGTTTAACTAGAGGTAGAATACTTTGTTCTTCATTCATGAACAATAGTTTTTTTAAATATGGAATCTTTGTATGAGAGCTTTGTTTTCCTTTTCTGAACTTTATGCCATCCTATTATAATATGCCATCATATTGCATTTTATTTATAAAAAATTATTTTGTATGGCTTTAATATCTGTTGAATTTTTTAATTTTTAATTTTTATTTATATATATTTATTTATTTTATTTTACTTTAGGTTCCAGGATACATGTGCAGAACGTGCAGGTTTGTTACATAGGTATACATGTGTCCTGGTGGTTTTCGCTCCACCCATCAACCCATCATCTACATTAAGTATTTCTTTTAATGCTATCTATGCCCTAGCCTCCCACCCCTCAACATGCCCTGGTGTGTGATGTTCCCCTCCCTGTGCCCATTTGTTCTCATTGTTCAACTTCCATTTGTGAGTGAGAACATGCAGTGTTTGGTTTTCTGTCCTTGTGTTAGTTTGCTGAGAATGATGGTTTCCAGCTTCATCCATGTCTCTGCAAAGGACACGAACTCATTCTTTTTTATGGTTGCATAGTATTCCAGGGGGTGTATGTGCCATATTTTTTTTTATCCAGTCTAACATTGATGGCCATTTGGGTTGGTTCCAAGTCTTTGCTATTGTGAATAGTGCTGCAATAAATATTATGTGTGCATGTGTCTGTATAGTAAAATGACTTATAATCCTTAGGGTATATAACACATAATGGGATTGCTGGGTCAAATGGTATTTCTAGTTCTAGATCCTTGAGGAATTGACATGCTGTCTTCCACAATTGTTGAACTAATTTGCACTAATTTGATAGTTACATTAATTTTTATATTTTTGTTCTTTGACATTTGTACTAGAATTAAAATATTCTATTATACTATTACATTATTATAATATTTTGATATACCTTTGTATTTTCTTTTGCTAGCAAGAATTATACTTTTAAATGCTTTATGTTTCTATTTAGTGTCCTTTTGTTTTGACATAAAGGATTATTTAAACTATTTCTCATAAGACAAGTCAAGTGGTGATGGATTTCTTCAGTTTTACATATTTCTTTGCTCAAAAGTATTTCTTCACTTAACAATTTGCAAGAGTTAAGGTAAAGAAGTCAATGCAACAAGAAGAGCTAACTATTCTAAATATGTATGCACCCAATACAGGAGCACCCAGATTCATAAAGCAAGTTCTTAGAGACCTACTAAGAGACTTAGACTCACACACAATACTAGTGGGAGACTTTAACACATCCCTTTCAATATTACACAGATCAAAGAGACAGAAAATTAATAAGGATATTCAGAAGTTGAACTCAGCTCTGGACCAAGCAGACCTAAAGGCATCTACAGAACTCTCTACCCCAAATCAACAGAATATACATTCTTCTCAGCACCACATTGCACTTACTCTAAAACTGATCACATAATTGAAAGTAAAACACTCCTCAGCAATGCAAAAGAATGGAAATCATAATAATCAGTCTCTCAGACCACAGTGCAATCAAATTAGAACTCAGGATTAAGAAACTCATTCAAAACCATACAACTACATGGAAACTAAAAAAGCCTTCTCCTGAGTGACTACTGGGTATACTGGGTAATAACAAAATGAAGGCAGAAATAAATAAGTTATTTGAAACCAATGAGAACAAAGACACAACGTACCAGAATCTCTGGGACACAACAAAAGCAATGTTTAGAGATAAATTTATAGCACTAAGTGCAAACAAGAGAAAGCATGAAAGATCTAAAATTGACATCCTAACATCACAATTAAAAGAACTAGAGAAACAAGAGCAAGCAAATTCAACAGCTAGCAGAAGACCAGAAATAACTAAGATCAGAGCAGAACTGAAGGAGACAGAGACACAAAACAATCCTTCAAAAAATTAGTGAAGCCAGGAGCTGGTTTTTTGAAAAGATCAACAAAATACATAGACTGCTAGACAGACTAATAAAGAAGAAAAGAGAGAAGAATCAAATAGACACAATAAAAACAATAAAGGAGATCACCTGGTCCCACAGAAGTGCATACTACCATCAAAGAATACTATCAACACCTCTACACAAAAAAACCTGAAAATCCACAATAATTCCTGGACACACACACCCTCCCAAGTCTAAACCAGGAAGAAGTCAAATCCTTCAATAGACCAATAACAAGTTCTGAAATTGAGGCAGTACTTAATAGACTACCAACCAAAAAAAGTACAGGACCAGACAGATTCACAGCTGAATTCTACCAGGGGTACAAAAAGGAGCTGGTACCATTCCTTCTGAAACTATTCCAAACAATGGAAAAAGAGGGATTTCTCCCTAACTCATTTTATGAGGCCAGCATCATCCTGATACCAAAACCTGGCAGAGGCACAACCAAAAAAGAGAATTTCAGGCCAATATACCTGATAAGCATCAATGCAAAAATCCCCAATAAAACACGGATAAATCTAATCCAGCAGCACATCAAAAGGCTTATCCACCATAATCCTGTTGGCTTCATGCCTGGGATGCAAAGCTGGTTCAAATATGGACTTAATCCATCACGTAAACAGAAACAATGACAAAAACCACATGATTTTCTCAATAGACACAGAAACGACCTTTGATAAAATTCAACACCGCTTCATGCTAAAAACTCTCAGTGAACTAGGTCTTGATGGAACATATGTCAAAATAATGAGTATTTATGACTAACCCACAGCCAATATCATATGGAATGGGCAAAAACTGGAAGCAATCTCTTTGAAAACTGGCACAAGACAAGGATGCCCTCTCTCACCAGTCCTATTCAACATAGTGTTGGAAGTTCTGGACAGGGCAATCAGGCAAGAGAAAGAAATATAGGGTATTCAAATTGGAATACAGGAAGAACCAAAGTTACTGGTAAATAATTATAGCATGAGTAGAATACTGAGGAAAGAGTGCAAACACCTGTCATAGAACCCATGGGAAGGAACTAGAGCACAGAAAAGAGTGAAAGAAAATGTTTAGCAGAGATTGACTCCAAAGGAACTTGAAATACCATGAAAAGAGTACGTGGGGATGCATTGTTTTGCTTCCCTGGTTGCTATAGGAGTCTTTTGACTGCTGAACTGTCAGATAGCCCCTGTGCTCTCATAAGCCTGTGATTATGAAATGTAGGTAGCAATTTGGGAGCTTATTTTATTTTATATTTTATTTTATGTTTAGGCTCACTGCAGCCTCCACCTCCCAGGCTCAAGTGATCCTCCCATCTCAGCCTCCCAAGTTGCTAGAACTACAGGCATACGCCACCAGGCTCAGCTACTTTAATTTTTTTGTATGTTTTATGGAAACAGCATTTGAATATGTTGCCCAAGCTGGGCTAGAACCTGTGGGCTCAAGCAATTTGCCCATCCCAGCCTCCCAAAGTGCTCAGATTATAGGTGAGAGTCACTGCAATTGGCAGGGGACTTACTGAAGGCAGAGTACCAGGTAAACAACTTGCACAGGTTCTCTTTTCATCCTCCCAGATCTGAGTTGAGAAAGCATGTATCATACTGGTTGTGCACCCAATTTGGGACTCTATTTTACCCAGGGAGTTCCAGCTATTGTGTCTCCACATATCTAGGCCCCCAACAAACCTTCCCCAAATGCACTTAGGATGCAACAGTCACAAAAATATGGCAGGACCCTGGAAAGATGCAGAATTCCTGGAGGCCTAGCCCTCAGGGCCAGCCACCTCTAGGGAAAGGAAGAGTAAAGCATGCCAAAGCATTCCTCAGTTCAGTGGAAACAAGATTGCATGCTCTTCTCTGCCTTAGAGCACTCTGCTTGTGAGAAAAAGGTGATTGTAACCATCCAAAGAAATACAGATACTGTGCTCAGATCTGCATTGGATTAGTGTGGTTCCATTCCATTGAACAGGGAGCAATAGCACCTAGCAATGGACATGGAGAGAAGGGCATATCCTACTTCACTCCCATTACTGTGGATGCAGCATGACTGCAGCATGACTGTTTCTCCTTGGGGGTTGCAGAAAAGGTAGAACCCATCCCCCCACAAGGAGTAAGAGCATTCCTGCAGCAGAGAATAGATGAGCCAAAGAGCTATTGTTGGCAGAGGAAAAAGGATTTACCTTGAAGCCACTTTGGTGGTAGTAAGACAAGCATGTATCATGGGTGGCTTGGAGATAATAAACAGTCTTTATCTGGGCTGAAAATAATGACCCCTCAGATAGAGTGTGAAAGGAACATGGATTTTGTTTCTGCCTGGCCAGTGTATGGAGCACATCTCTTCTACTCTCCCCTTGCAAAGGCCTTGGCCCATTTTGCTACAATCTGTCTCTTCTACTCCAATCAGGGCAAATACTTTCACTCATCAGTGGGGTACCTGATGGTAAATCACCTCTTACCCATAAGTGCCACCTGGAAACTGTAGTTTAAACTGCGCAACCAAATAATAAAGCACATAGACAAACATAAGGGCATAGTGCTGCAGGATGGGATAAACTTTTTGACACTTCCACAGTCCCAGTTTCACAGAAGATACTAAGGTTGATCAAGTCCCCAGTGTGTTACTCCTACAATCACCATTTCAGAACATCAGTGCACAGAAATGCTATGTAACTAATGAAAACCTACAGAGACTTGGCTCATTGAAAAGACCCAGAATCAAGGTCAAGTGACAAATACAACATACATTACAGTCACTCCCTAAAGAGGGGAAGTTCAATTTGAGTGAAAGTAAATTCAAAAATACAAAGTGACACTTTGTCCAATTGAGAAGGCATCACTGTATAGACCCTGCAAGTATGATCAAAAATGCTGTTTTGATAACTCCCAAAATCAAACTTGCTCTCTGGCAATAAATTTTAACCAAAATAGAAATTCTAAAATGACAGATAAAGAATTCAAGATACAAATTTTAAGTCCAATGAGATCCAAGAGAAAGTTTAATACAAACACAAAGAATGTGAAACAATTCAGAATATGAATACATTTACCAAATGGATAGATACTGAAGAAAAGATAATTTATTGAAATAAAAAACCTCATTGAAGAAATTACTAGTGTTAAAATCCTTAATAATGAATTAGACAAAGCAGAATTTTGAAAATTTAAAGCCCGAATATAGGACTTTCAAATTAACATAGTCAGATATAAAGAAGCAACTAAAGAAAACATAGGAACAATTATTTTGAGAAATATAAAATTATGTAAATCAACCAAACCTATAGGTTTTCAGACCCATAGGTTTCCTGGGGTAGAAGAAAATTGTAACAAGCTTTAAAAATCTATATGAAAAATTAAGTAAAACTACACTGATCTTCTCAGAGAATTAGACATCCAGTTTCAAGAAGCCCAAAGAGAACCTGGAAGACACTTCACAAAATAAACCTATGAAGGCATATCTCATGAGAGAGTGCAAAACGAGCACAAGAGAAAAAAATCCTAAAAGCAAGAGAGAATAACCTATCTAATTATAAAGAAAATCATGTCAGATTAACAGCAAATTTCTCAGAAAGAGCTAAAGAAGCCAGAACTGATTGTGGTCCTCTTTTTTCCATTTTCTCAATTAAAAAAAAAAACAAAACTGTAGCTAAGTATTTTGTTTGCTGCCAAACCTAGTTTTATAAAGGAAAGAAAAATGTGTAATATTCCTCGGAAAAGCAAGCACTAAGCAAAATTTATCACCGCTATACTGGTTCAAAAAGGAAAAGCTCAAAATTTTACAAATGGAAACAAAAGGATGATATCATCACAGAAATACACAAAGGTATATAACTCAAAATATTACAAAACAATTACACCAATGAGACTACAAAGTGAACAGGTAACAAATAACAGTATGACAGCAACAAATTCCCACATGTTAATATTTATCTTGAAAGTAAACAAGGTCCAACTATAGGCTACTTACAAGAAACTAACAAAAATGTAAAGTTATTCACAGACTAAAATTTAAGACATAGAAAAAGAATATTATGCAAACAGAAAACAAAAGTAGGAGTAGCTGTCCTTATATTAGATAAAACATACTTTATTATTAAAGGTTCTAGGTTATATTTGTTTTGTTTTATTTTGGTATTTGTGGGCCCCTGGTAGGTGTATATTATTGTAGAGTACATAAGATTCTTTAAAAAAGATGCATGCAAAATAACAATCACATCATGGAGATTGGGGTGTCCATCCACTCAAGCATTTATCCCTTTAATTACAAACAATGCAGTTACACTCTTTGTGTTATTTTAAAATGCACAATTAAATTATAATTGACTAGAGTCACCATGTTGTGTTATTGAATAGTAGGTCTTATTCATTCTTTCTAACAATTTTTGGTACCCATTAATAATGCCCACCTCCCTCCAACCCCACACAAAATTTCCAGCCCTCTAGGAAGCATTCTCCTACCTCTATGTCCATGAATTCAATTGTTTTGATTTTTAGATCCCAGAAGTGAGTGATAACATACACTGTTTGTCTTTCAGTGCCTAGCTTATTTCACCTGACATATTAAGCTCCAGTTTCACCTATATTCTTGCAAATCACAAGAGTATCTCATTGTTTTTGATAGCTAGATACAACTCAAATGTGTACATGTACCACATTTTCCTTATTTATTCATCTGTGACTGGGCACTTACATTGCCTCCAAATCTTAGTTATTATGAACAGTACTGCAACAAACATGAAAGTGCAGATATTTCTTTTATATACTGATTTTCTTTCTTTTGGGTGTATACTAAGCAATGGAATTGCTGGATCATATGGTATCGCTGTTTTTAGTTTTGTGAAGAAGTTCCAAACTGTTTTAAATAGTGGTTATATTAATTTACATTCTCAGCAACAGTGTACAAGGATTCTCTTTTCCATATATTCTCACCATCATTTGTTATTGCCTGTTTTTTGGATATGACGTTTTAACTGGGGTAATATGATAACTCATGGCAGTTTTAATATGCATTTCTCTGATGATCAATGATGCTGAGCACATTTTCATATCTAGCCATTTGTATAGCTTTTTCTGAGAAATGCCTATTTAAATCTTTTGCCCATTCTGATCAAATTATTAGATGTATTTCCTGTAGAGTTGTTTGAGATTTGTATATATTCCAGTTATAAATTTCTTGTCAGATAGGCAGTTTCCAATTATTTTCACCCATTATGTAGATTATCTCTTCAGTTTGTTGATTGTTTCCTTTGCCAAAATGCTGTTTAACTTGGTGTGATCCAATTTGTTCATTTATGCTTTGGCTTCCTATGCTTGTAGGGTACTTCTCAAAAAAATACTGGGACACATACACCCTCCCAAGACTAAACCAGGAAGAAGTTGAATCCCTGAATAGACTAATAATAGGCTCTGAAATTGAGGCAATAATTAAGAGCCTACCAACCAAAAAAAGTCCAGGACCAGATGGATTCACAGCCAAATTCTCCCGGAGGTACAAAGAGGGGCTGGTACCATTCCTTCAATGAATAGAAAAAGAGGGAATCCTCCCTAACTCATTTTATGAGGGCAGCATCATCCTGATACCAAAGCCAGGCAGAGACACAACAAAAAAAGAGAATTTTAGATCAATATCCCTGATGAATATCGTTGCAAAATTCCTCAATAAAATGCTGGCAAACTGAATCCAGTAGCACATCAAAAAGCTTATCCATCATGATTAAGTGGGCTTCATCTCTTGATGGAAGGCTGGTTCAATGTACACAAATCAATAAACATAATCCATCATATAAACAGAACCAAAGACAAAAACCACATTATTATCTCAATAGACGCAGAAAAGGCATTCGACAAAATTCAACAGCCTTTCATGCTAAAACCTCTCAATAAATTAGGTAGTGATGGGACATATCTCAAAATAATAAGAGCTATTTATGACCAACCCACAGCCAATATCATACTGAATGGGCAAAAACTGGAAGCATTCCTTTGAAAACTGGCACAAGACAGGATGCCCTCTCTCACCACTCCTATTCAACAGAGTTTTGGAAGTTCTGGCCAGGGCAATCAGGCAGGAGAAAGACATAAAGGGTATTCATTTAGGAAAAGAGGAAGTTAAATTGTCCCTGTTTGCAGATGACATGATTGTATATTTAGAAAACCCCATCGTCTCAGCCCAAAATCTCCTTAAGCTGGTAAGCAACTTCAGCAAAGTCTCAGGATACAAAATCAATGTGCAAAAATTACAAGCATTCCTATACACCAATAACAGACAAACAGAGAGCCAAATCATGAGTGAACTCCCATTCACAATTACTTCAAAGAAAACAAAATACCTAGGAACCCAACTTACAAGGGATGGGAATGACCTCTTCAAGGAGAATTACAAACCACTGCTCAACAAAATAAGAGGACACAAAAAAGGAAGAATATTCCATGCTCATGGATAGGTAGGATCAATAACATGAAAATGGCCACACTGCCCAAGGTAATTTATAGATTCAATGCCATCCCCGTCAATGCCATCCCCATCAATGACTTTCTTCACAGAACTGGAAAAAAAACTACATTAAAGTTCATATGGAACCAAAAAAGAGCCCGCATTGCCATGACAATCCTAAGCCAAAAGAACAAGCTGGAGGCATCACACTACCTGACTTCAAACTATACTATAAGTCTTCAGTAATCAAAACAGCATGGTACTGTTACCAAAACAGAGATATACACCAATGGAAAAGAACAGAGCCCTCAGAAAAAAAATACCACACATCTACAACCATCTGATCTTTGACAAACCTGACAAAAACAAGAAATGGGGAAATGATTCCCTATTTAACAAATGGTGCTGCAAAAACTGGCTAGCCATATGTAGAAAGCTGAAACTGGATCCCTTCCTTATGCCTTACACAAAAATTAATTCTTTTGCTGTGCAGAAGCTCTTTAGTTTAATTAGATCCCATTTGTCAATTGTGGCTTTTCCTGCCATTGCTTTTGGTGTTTTAGACATGAAGTCTTTGCCCATGCCTATGTCCTAAATGGTAATGCCTAGGTTTTATTCTAGGGTTTTTATGGTTTTAGGTCTAACGTTTAAGTCTTTAATCTATCTTGAATATCAGATAGCTTTTTATAGCAGTGTAACAACAAACTAATAGGGGAAATTGTTACCAGAGAAGTGGGGTGTTGCCATAAAGAGACCTGAAAATGTAGAAGTTACTTTGGAATTCAGTAACAGGCAGAGGCTGGAACACTTTGGAGTGCTCAGAAAAAAATAGAAAGATGAGGGAAAGTTTGAAACTTCCTAGAGACTTGTTGAATTGTTGTGACCAAAGTGTTGATAGTAATATAAACAAGGAAGTCCAGGGTAAGGTGATCTCAGATGAAGATGAAAAACTTATTGGAAACTGAAATAAAGAGTAAATAAAAACTTGCTATGCTTTGGTGAGGAGACTGTCGGCATGGTGCACCTGCTCTCTCAGAGATCTGAGAAACTTCAAAGTTAAGAGAGATGATTTAAGTTATCTGGAGAAAGAAATTTCTAAGGGGCAATGCTGTCAAGAATTAGCCTGCCTGCTTCTAAAAGCCTCACTCACATGAGTTTGCAAAGGGAAGGTCAGATATTAAAACTTATGTTTAAAAGGCAAACAGAAAATAATAGTTTGAAATATTTGCAGGCTTGAACCTGTGGTAGAAAAGAAAACGTCGTTTTCTAGAAAGAAATTCAAAGCCATAGTAATTTACGTAAGTAAAGAAAAGCTGAATGTTAATAATCAACAAAAATGCCTCAGGATATTTCAGAGACCTTTGCAACAGCCCCTCCCCCACCTCCCATTCCACCCACTTCCCGTGCCCTGCCCCCTGCTGCCTCCCTAGCACAGGCCTGCAGGCCTAGAAAAACATGGTTCTATGGGCCAAGCTCAGGACTCTACTGCTCTGTGCAAACTTGGGACATGGTACCTGTGTCTCAGCCACTCCAGCTCCAGCTGTGGCTAAAAGTGGCCAAAGCTCAGCTTGGGTCATTTCTTCAGAGGGTGCAAACCCCAAACTTTGGTGACTTCCATGTTGTGTTAGGGCTCTGAATGTGCAAAGGCAAGAGTTGAGCTTGGGGGCTTCTGTCTAGATTTCATAGTATGTATGAAAATACCTGGTGGTTTAGGCAGAAGTGTGCTGCAGGGTGGAACCCTCATGGAAAACTTCTGATGCAGTGAAGAGAAAAAATGTAGGGTTGAAGTCCCAACACAGAGACCCCACAGTAACACTGCCTAGTGGAGCTGTAAGTACAGGGCCACTGCCCTTCAGATGCCAGAATGATAGGTCCATTAACAGCTTGCACCTTGTACCTGGAATAGATGTAGGCACTAAATGCCAGCATGTAAAAGCAGCCAAGAGGGATATATCTTACAGAACCACAGGGGAAGAACTGCCCAACACCTTGGAAGCCCACCCTTTTCTTCGGTGTAGCCTGGATGTGAGACATGGAGTCAAACAATGTTATTTTGAAGGTTTAAAATGTAATAACTTCCCGGCTGTGTTTTGGACTTGCAGGGGACCTCTAGCCCCATTGTTTTGGACAACTTCTCTTTTTTGGAACAGAAGCATTTACTCAATGTCTGTATGCCCTTTTATAACTTAGAAGTAACTAACTTGTTTTTTATTTTACCAGCACATAGGCAGAAGGGACTTTCCTTGCCTCACATGAAACTCTGGACTCAGACTTTTGAGATAATGCTGGAAGAAGTTAAAACTTTAGGGGACTGTTGAGAAAACATGATTGGTTTTGCAATGTGAAAAAATGCATGGAATTTGGGAGGAGCCAGAGGTGGTATTTGACTCTCTGTTCTCACCCAAATCTCATGTCAAATTGTAATCTCAGATGTTGGAGGAATAACAAGATGATAGGTAGTTTGATCATGGGAAACATTTCTGCTTGTTTTTCTCATGATATTGAGTTCTCATGAGATCTGGTTGTGTGTTGCACTTTTCCTTCTGCTCTCTCTCATTTCCCTACGTGAAGAAGATTCTCGCTTCTCTATTTTCCTTCTCCCCTGATTAAAAGTTTCCTGAGAGTTCCCCAGTCACACTTACGGCCTGTAAAACTGTGAATAAATTAAACCTTTTTCTCTCTTCATAATGTACCTGGCCTTGGGTAATTCTCTGTAGTTGTGTGAGAATGGACTCTTACAGAAGTCTTTTCATATGTTAAAAAAAAACTTAGATGTTTTTGTCTATGCTTTATCCCTAGCCCAAAGATGACATGGTTTTTGCTAACTTGTGTAGTTACAATAAGAGCAAATTCTTATTGAGTTATCTAGATTACCAGGCCAAGACATATATTCTGTTTTCTTTATTCCAAACAAATGGAGTCTGTCCCTGTGCAGAATCATCTAAAGCTGTGGTGACACAAGCACCCCCCTGGCTAGACATTATATCTGTGCTGTACCTAAGGTATAAGAAGAAGTCTGCTTTATTTTCCCTCTACTTTTTTCAAGAGGAAGGAGTTTTGCCTGACAGTCACCACAGGACTCTCACCTGCAGCCTATAATTCTTAGAGGCCCACCCAAGAACCTTGATGTAGTACCTGGGTATCACTGCTAGTTATTTAGGGCCAGAAATCTCTTCAGTTAGCTGGTAATAAGTGCTCCAAGGACTGAGCACTTCCCTAAATGAACAAATCAAGAGGAATCACTTTATCTGCTCAAACTATATTACAAGGTTATAGTAACAACAAGAGCATAGTACTGGCATAAAAACAGACACAGAAATCAGTAAAATGAAATAGAGATCCCAGAAATAAGGCACATTACTACAATCAACTGATGTTTGAAAAAGTTGGTAACAAGCTAGACTGAAGAAATAATACCCTTTTCAATAAACGGTGCTAGGAAATAAGCTTGTGCATAAAAATAAAACCAAAACTATAAGTTTCATCATTTGAAAACATTACCTCATGATGAATTAAAAACTTAAACTTAAAATCTGAAATTATAAAAATCCCAGGAGAAAGAGAAAAATGCAGGAACTCTCTACTGGACAATGGCCTGGGTAAAATGTTTATAACTAAGTTTTCAAAAGCAAACTAACAATGAAAAAATGTAGGCAAATGAGATGTAGTCAAAGTAAAAACCTATATATATACATATATAAACATATATGTATATAAACATATATAAACATATATATAAACATATATATATTTCTCTTTTTTCTGTTATTATATATGGTGAGCACATTTGCTTTAATTATACATATGTGATTGCTGAATATATATGTATATATATAATTAGCAGAGTAAACAATCTACAAAGTAGAAAAACAATTCGCAAACTATGTATCTGACAATTGGCTGATATTTAGAATCTTAAAATAATTCAAACAATTTAACAAGAAATAAAAAATAACCCCTTAAAAATGTGGGCAAATAATGTGAACAGATATTTCTCCAAGGAAATCATACAGGTGCCCAGCTAACAGAAAGTGTTTAAATCATTAATCTTGAGAGTAATGTAACTGACAACTACAGTGAGATATGATACTGCACAAGTCAGAGTGGGTAAGATTAAGAAGTCAAAAATCAACAGATGTTGGTGATAACACAGAGAAAAAGGAAAGTTTATACACTGTAGATGGGTAAGTAAATTAGATCAAACTGTATGAAGTGTTGCATGAAGATTTTCAAATAACTAAAAGTACATCTACTATATAATGACAATTTCATTACTAGGTACCTAATTAAAAAATAACAGGTCATTATATCAAAAAGATACCTTCACTTGCTTGTTGATCACAGCATTATTTATAGTAGATAAGCTACATAATCAACCTAAGTGTCCATCAATGGATGACAGAAAAAGTAAATATGGCACATATTTATACCATGCAATACCTTTCAACCATATAAAAGAATAAAATCATGTATTGTGAAGCAACATGGCTGGAACTGGGAGCTATTATCCTAAGCAGAATAATTGAGAAACAGAAAATCAAATACCACATCTTCTCACTTACAAGTGGAAGCTAAATAATAGGTATACATGGCCATAAAGAGTGGAAGGAGACACCTTACAGACTTCAAATGGTGTGAGGGTGAGATGGGTGAGGACTGAAAAATTACCCATTGGGTCAACATACACAAATTCATTACTATACAATATATTCATGTAAAAAACTGCACTTCAAACCCCCAAAATTACAAATGAGATTGCTTTTTATTTTCTTTATTACTAGTGAGGTTGAGCAACTCCATGAGTTTACTGGCCATCCATATTTCTCTTAGGTTAAATGCCTGTTCATATATTTTGAACAATTTTGAATTCAGTTTGCTGTGATTAATTATTCAGGAAATATTTATATACTCCATCATTGATTTTATACACTGCAAACATACTTTACCACAGTTGTAACTTCTACTTGAATTTCATTCATATGTTTTTTATAAACAATTTTTTTAGTCTATTCAATATTATAAACTATTTTCTTTGCATTAGGATTCTTTGTGTTTCATTAGAAGACACTTTTTCATTCTGAGTTTATAATGTTATTCTATAATTATTTCCTAATTTTTCTTCTAAAAATATGTGATTACTTTTAACACTTAAATTTTTAATCTATTTGGGGTTGACATTTGAATATGATGGATATAAGCTAGACATGTTTTTGCATTTTTATAGGGATAACAAACTTGCAGTGCTTGATTTGTTAATCCTTTTTCCTACACTAATGTTCTGCCATCTCTGTCATATTAATTCTTTATGTATACATTAATCTAAACTTAGGCTCAACTCATTGGTTTCTGTCACTTTCCCTGCATCAACACATGCTGTTTCTATAGTTGTATGTTGGCTAAGACCATTCTTCAGATGTAAAACAATAAATATATTATCTATTTTGTCTTTTGACTCTCACTTTAAGTTGCATGTGTTTTCTTGTTTTTGGTGATCTTTGTGATGGTGTGCTTCATTTTAACCTGTTGGACTATTACAGGCATCACTTATGGAGTCATTTTTCCAATGAGGTTAACCACCAGTTTTGTTTGTAGTCAGAGAGCACGATGTGCAGAATCCAGTTTTTTTTCCCTTTTTCTTTTAAATGCTATTCAATAACATATTTGTATTGTATGAGTTTTTAACTTCTTCTTTAGACATTAGTGTAAACTGAGAGCATACTCTGGGTAAAATTAGATGTAATAAAATAGAAAACTTTTTGGAGCACTTAAAATATGCCAGATATACTTCTAAATGTTATATATGCATTATCACATTTAATTTATATAACAACCAAACCAGATTGCTGCACCAAAGAAAGCACTGATTACTAACCACAATACATGTGCTCCTAATCTTAGCTCAAGCTTATTAACTATACAAATGTAGTTATTGATATGGCCATATGTGGTACTCTACAATGATTAGTGAAAACATGGAGTTTTCATAAAGACAAGAAGTGTCATTGACCCTGTTGGTTGCCTACCTAATGCCTCTCTTATTCCTGAAAACGTTTTTAAGATAAATAGCCTTCTTCCAACAGCTATATGGTTCAGAGTCAGCTGGACCCATCATCAGGCCCAATGGGTTTAGAGAAATTTAAGGAGTTCAACATTGGTCACAAAGATATCATTGACATAAAAGTGTGCCTAAATTTAGCTCAATGAACCACAAGGGAGGAAGGGCTTAGGAAAAGTTCTTCTTTCTCATTGAAAAAAGACACATAGGGTAAGGTCCTTATCTGCCACTAAGTCTTTACTGTTTTCAGATAATATGCATAGCAGGTGTTTGTGATCATAAAGGAAACTAACTATAGGATGAGGTCAAAAGTGAGAAACATGGAGTAAAATCTCAATGGAAGTAACCTAATATTTTTAATAAAATTACTAAACTTCAAATTATACCATACTGGGTACCTTATTGTAAAGTTAGTATTTTTTTTATAGTGAGAAATAATGCACATACTGCTATTGATGTAGTAAATATATATTTTTCTAAAAAACAATTTGGCAACATAGGGATTTTAGTTAAAAATTTATAATTTTGAAAAATTATTATTATTATTATTTTTTTTTTTTTTGAGACGGAGTCTCGCTCTGTCGCCCAGGCTGGAGTGCAGTGGCGGGATCTCGGCTCACTGCAAGCTCCGCTTCCCGGGTTCACGCCATTCTCCTGCCTCAGCCTCCCAAGTAGCTGGGACTACAGGCGCCCGCCACTACGCCCGGCTAATTTTTTGTATTTTTAGTAGAGACGGGGTTTCACCGTTTTAGCCGGGATGGTCTCGATCTCCTGACCTCGTGATCTGCCCGCCTCGGCCTCCCAAAGTGCTGGGATTACAGGCGTGAGCCACCGCGCCCGGACTGAAAAATTATTTTTTAACCAGAAATATAAATAAGATTTTCTAAACATACCATATGGCAGAGGAAATGGCGAGAATCTGACACAGAGGCTGAATTTAATATGCAGAAGGATGACCCAGAAAGGGAGATGAAGAAAGCATAGCCACACAGTTGGCAGAAATTGAAGAGAAAGATGTATCAAAGGAGCTAGATGTATTCTCACACTTCTATAAAACACTGTCCAAAACTGGGTAATTTACAAAAATAACTAAATAACTAAATAACTAAATAAATAAATAAATAAATGCCACACTGTTTTGCAGGGCTGGTAAGATCTCAAAAAACTTATGATTATGGAAAAAGGAAAAGCAAATCTTTCCTCCACAGGGCAGCAGTAGGAAGAATAATGAGAGACCCTGCAGAGTGAAGAAGGGAAAGCCCATCACAAAACTATCAAATCTCATGAGAACTCACTGACTGTAACAAGAAAAACATGGGGTAAGTGCCATCATGATTCAATTATGTCCCACAAATTCCTCCTCCAACATGTGAAGATTAAAATTTACATTACAATGTAAGATGAGATTTGGGTAAGGATACAAACAATATTTTTTTTCTCCTAACCTCCACATATTCTATGTTATCACATTTAAAAACATAATCATGCCTTTCTAACAATCTCCCAAAGTCTTAACTCATTGCAACATTTATCCAAAAGTCCAAGTTCAAAGTCTCATCTGAAACAAGGTAAGTTCCTTCTTATTATGAACCTGTAACATCAAAAGCAAGTGAGTTACTTTCTAGATATATCGGGGATATAGGCATTGACTAAATGCACCCATTTGAAGTGGAAAATTGTACAAAACAAAGGGGCTACAGACTCAGTGCAAGTCCAAAATCTAATAGAGCCGTCATTAAATCTTAAAGTTTCAAAAAAAATTTTGGACTCCTTGTCTCATATTCAGGCCACATTGATGAAAACTTGGGCAACCACAGCTTTTGGCGGCTGTACCCCTGTAGCTTTGCATGGAATAGCTCCCCATAGCTTTTATGGGGCTTTTATGGCTGGCATTGAGTGTCTGAGGCTTTTCCAGGTGCATAGTGGAAGCTGTCAATGTATCTACACTTCTGGTGCCTAGAGGACAGTGTCCCTCTTCACAAAGCTCCACCTGGCAATGCTCCAGTAGGAACTCTGTGTAGAGGTTCCAACCCCATATTTTCCTTTGGCACTGCCCTAGCATGGGTTCATAAGGTCTTTGGCCCTTCAGCAGACTTATTCTTGGACATCCAGGTGTTACCATACATGCTCTAAAATCTAGGCAGAGGTTCCCAAACCTCAAATCTTGTCTTCCTTGAACCCACAGTAAAAACACCACATGGCAGCTGCCAAAGTGGGGGGCTTGCACCACCTGAAGCAACATCCTGAGCTATACCTTGACCCTCTTATTCACGGCTGAAACAGCTGTGATACAGTCTCCTGGACCCACCCATAAAACCATTTTTTTTCCTCCTTTGCCTCAGGGCCTGTGATGGGAGGGGCTGCTGCAAAGACTTCTGACATACTTTGGGGACATTTTCTTCATGTCTTGGTGATTAACCTCTGTTTTCTCTTCACTTAGGTAGATTTGTACTACCTGCTTCAATTTCTTCCTAAAATATGGGTTTTTATCTTCTACCCCATTCTCAGGCAGCAGATTTTTTATAATTTTATGCTTTGATTTCCTTTGAATGTTCTGCCTCTTTGAAATTTATTCTGCCTTGATAAAAAACAAGTAGTTTAGACAATTCCTCTTCAAAGAGTTTCACTTTGCTACAAACAACTGTTCTTCTCCAAGAGGTCTTTCCTTCCTTGTGCTGTCTGTCCTGAAGTCTTACTTCCCTGTTCTTTGTCTAATCTTGCCCACCAATCTGTCAGCCCCTCCTGCCCTGCTGTGCTCAGGCATGCCCACCAAGAAATCACCCTCCTGCCTTCCCACCAGTGTAACCGCATTCCTGCACTCTTCAAGTTAGCCAACTGCATTCTGCTTAGATTGTGTGGTCTAACGGCAGCCAGTGGAGGCACATACACTAACAGGGACAAGCTGCATTAAAAATCATAAAAACTCCTGCTTTCCTCTGTTCTGGGTGCTCTTGCCATTGCTGCATAAACAAGATGCACCCTCCTGCAGGAGTAACTTTGCCTTGCTGAGAAAATTTATGTTTGAGTGCTATTTCTTTTGCAGCACTGAAAATTTCTTTCTAACATGCCTGGTACCCCAAAGTTCCAAAAATATCTTGGGCAGGTGGCAAAAAGCCACCAGTGTCTTTGCTAAAGCACATCAAAGCCACCTTTGCTCCAGTTCCCTACAAGTTTCTTTTCTCCATCTGATACCATCTCAACCTTAAGGTCATTGTCCATATTACTATCAGGATTTTGGTCACAGCCATTAAATAAGTCTCTGTGAAGATCCAAACTTTCTCACATCTTCCTTTCTTCTTAGCCTTTTAGGTCATAGGAAGTTTCTAACTTTTCCACTCTCTTTTTCTTTTTCTGAGTCCTATAAACGTTTCAACTTCTGCCTGTTACTGCCAAAGCTGCTTCCAAATTTTCAGGTATCCTTACAGTGGTATCTCACTCTTAGTGTTCTAATTTATGCATTGGTCCATTCTCACACTGCTAGGAAAGAACTGCCTGAGGCTATGTAATTTATAAAGAAAAGATTCAATTGACTCACAGTTTTGCAGGGCTGATAAGGCCTCGGGAAACTTGCAATCAGGGTAGAAGAGGAAGCAAGTGCATCCTATTTTACATGGCAGAAGAAAAGAGAAGAATAAAACAAATTCAGACTGAAGGAAATTAAAGCCTCTCACAAAACTATCACATCTCATGAGAACTCACTATTATGAGAACAGCGTGGGGGAATCACCTCACAGTTCAATCAGCTCCCATGAGATTCCTCTTTCAACCCATGAGGATTACAATTTTGATTACAATTTAAGATGAGATTTGGGTGGAGACACAGAGCCATACCACAGCACTAGATAAAAATGATTTTCAAATAGATAAAGAGGTAAGTAGAACTGCATGCTTGTTTAAAAACATGATGTAAACATAAAAATCCACTCTAGATTCCTAGACATGAAAGTCATGAATGGCCATAGCCAGAGTGAAGGGGCTGGAAGTGAGATTGATTTTGGTTTATTTCTAAGTATGTGTGGTCACCTATCAGAATGCAGCTCTCCTATCTCTTTTAAGTGAAAAAAAAAAAGAGTTATTACTCTAATTGCCATGACTGCCAGCCCACATTACTCAGCTACAAAACCCTTTTGAGGTTTGCAGAAAACCCACTCATTCAAGGCCACATCGCCATTCCCATGAAGGTCTACATACAATGAGTAACAGAATGGGTCCGAAGTCCCAGTTCTCTTGCCCTCCACTGCAGACCGCTCTGAAGATTCATTCCATTTTCCAAACTCCTGATAGGGTTGGATAAAGCTTATATTGAGACTGTATTGCAGCTCAATGTTTTTTCCATGCCCTCTGGCTTCTATGCCCTCTCTATGCCTTCTCTATGCCCTCTCTACTGCTTCTATGCCCTCTCTACTGTGTTGACCCTACGAGCACAAAGTGATCAATGTAGCATTGTGTATTTCTATCTAAGCATCTACTTTCCAAGCAACACACTTCACAAAAAAGAAAATTATGGCCTTACTACGGATAAGTTCTCTTAGCAGCAGAAAGTGAGAAATTTGAAATGATTAACTCCAATTTTTTTCAAAATGTTTGATAATTTAGGGAATGTAAGAGATATAACTTAAAAGACTACTTAGAGAGTTTTCTTCCTTTATATTTTTATTTTAGAGACTTACACTTTATAAACACAGACACTAAGGAACATTTTAAAAATACTTTAAAATGCCTGGAAGTAAACATTGAAAAAATATTTTTCCATGCATACAAACAAGAAGGTGTAAAGAACTTTCAAAGGACAAAAACAATAAAAAAACAAGACTTTGAAGAAATCATAAAGCCTTAAAGACCTTTGTTTTAATGGGCTTGATATAGGGAAAAAAAAAAAAGTAAATAACCTAGTTAAAGAAAAGTGCTGATCAAGGCTCCCTTGCACAGTTAAAACAACCAAAGAGGACACTCATATTCAAATAGGTATCAAAAGTGTACAGGCATTGTAATGGTTAATACTGAGTGTCAACTTGGTTAGATTGAAGAGTATTGGTTGGATGCAAAATATTGATCCTGGATGTGTCTGTAAGGGTGCTGCCAAAGCAAATTAACATTTGAGTCTGTGAGCTGCAAAAGGCAGACACACCATTAATCTGGGTGGGCACCATCTAATCAGCTGCCAGTGCAACTAGAATATAAAGCAGAGAGAAAAATGTGAAAAGACAAGTCTGGTCTAGCCTCCCAGCCTACATCTTTCTCCTGTGCTGGATGCCTCTTGCCCTTGAAGGTTGGACTCCAAGTTCTTCAGTTTAGGGACTCAGATTGGCTCTCCTTTCTCCTCAGCTTACAAACAGCCTATTGTGAAACCTTGTGATCATATGAGTTAATACTTAATAAATTCCCCTTTATATATCCTATTAGTTTTGTTCATCTGGAGAAGCCTAATTCAGATTTCAGTGATACGAGTGGTTCTAGAGGAAAAGAATATTAAGGATGGAGTTATCTTCTAGGTTTGAGTTTCTGGGATTGGATTCTTAATACTATTAAACCCCAAAATGCTAAGGACTCTACTTCTAGTAGTATGAAGACTGAGAGTTCATGACATGAACTATATAATGTGATGGTTAATACTGAGTGTCAACTTGATAGGATTAAATAATGCAAAGTATTGATACTGAGTATGTCTGTGAGGGTGTTACAAAAGGAGATTAACATTTGAGTCAGTGGGCTGCAAAAATAAATGCATTTGGCACTCCCGATGCACTGCTCACAAGAAACAAGGAGTTTAGTGATTTTATACATAACACCTTTGACTATATGTGGAGAATCAAGGAAAATAATGAAGCTGGTTGGTTGCAACTAAATTCAGTGGAGAAAGTGATGAAATAAAATAGTGGACTCAGGGATTTTATCTCTCAGCTTCAGAAGCAGATATTGAGCCTCAAATCTGCAAAGAATCGCCCTGCGTGAGAGTCTTATCTCCTGTAGAGAAAGAGATGAAATTGTGGAAAAACAGACACAAGCTCTTATCCTGTGAGTGGCTGACCTGCAAGGAAAGGTGCATGCACAGCCTCACCAGGTGTCTACTTTTAAAGAAAAGGCATTGATTGGAAAATAATGGGTCCCTGAAACTTGCAAGGGGGGCATAAGGAAGGACCCTGATGAAGCTGGGGACACTGAGTTTATAAACTCTGATGAACCTTTTTTTGCCAGAAGAAACAGCTTCCCCATCCCTAGCAATGGCAACATCCCCTCCCCATCTCATGTTGCCATCAGCATCTCCACCTTTGCATGAAGCAATAAACACTGCACTTCCTGAGGAAACAGTGATGGGGTCCCTTGAGGCAGTTTCCAGGCAAGATAATGCTGATTCTCCTGAAGAGGCACCCTGAACACCCCTGTTTGCTTCTAGACCTATAACTAGACTGAAGTCCTGGTGGGCCCTTGAAGGTGAGGTTGACAGTGTGACCCATGAGGAGGTGCATTACACTTGAACTGCTAGAGTTTTCTAATTTATATTAATAGAAATCAGGAGAAAAGTCATAGGAATGAATATTAAGGGTGTAGAATAATGGCGGAAAAAAACATTGAGTTTGATCACGCTGAATTTATTGATTTGGGCCCAATAAATAATGAATCTGCATTTAATGTTGCAGCTCAGGAAGATAAAAAAGTTCTAATAGTTTCTTTGCTTGGTTAGCTAAAATATGGATTAAAAGATGGCCCACAGGGACTGAGCTGGAAATGCCTGTTTGGTTTAATGTAGAGAAAGGGAAACAAAGGCTTAGAGACCTTGAGATAGTGGAGTGGATTAATCATATTAGACCCATTCATCTTAGCTGGGAGGGTCCAGAAGACATATCCTTGACCAATTCTTAGCAAAATAGGTTTGTGAGGGCAGCACCTGTATCTTTGAAGAGCCCTATAATTGCTCTTCTCTGTATGTCAGATCTAACGGCAGGAACCACAGTTACTCCACTACAAAATTCAAATACGATGAGAATAACTGGACCCCAAACTAGCAGGGAACAAGTAGTGGCATTCAACAATCAAAGGCAAGGTGGACATAGCTACTGTAATGGATGGTGCAGGCAAAGCAAGAAACAGAATAGTCTCACTCACTTAGAGCTCTGGTATTGGCTAATTAATCACAGTATTCCTATAAGTAAAGTTGATAGGAAGCATACTGCAAAAAAACTAATTGGAATTATAAAAAGAGAGAATCACAGCCCCTCAATCAATGTCCAGGCTGGAGCCCATTTTCAGACTGAGAAACTTTGAATAAAGGGGAGTCTGGGTTCCATTGAGGAAGGACCCTACTACTATACTGAAAGTTTATGCTGTTAATCTTTCTCTAATCCTTCCCCAAGGAGACCTCTGGCCTTTTATCCAGGTAACTGTGCACTGGGGAAGGGAAAATGATGAGACATTTTGGGACTACTGGATACTGCTTCTGAGATTGCGTTGATTCAAGGGGACCCAAAACGTCATTGTCATCCTCCAGTTAAAGTAGGGGCTTATGGATGTCAGGGAATTAAAGGAATTTTAGCTCAGGTCTGACTTCCAGTGGGTCCAGTTGGTCCCTGAACTTATCCTGTGGTCATTTGCCAAATGCCAGAATGTATAATTTGCATAGACATACTAAACAGCTGTCAGAATCCACACACTGCCTTCCTGAAAGTTAGGGTGAGAGCTATCGTGGTGAGAAAGGCCAAACAGAAGCCATTAGAGCTGCCTCTACCTAGAAGAATAGTGAATGAAAAACAATATTGCATCCCTGGAGAGATGCAGAGGGGTGTGAAAGATGCAGTGTCACCATCAAGGATGTGAAAGATACAGGGGTGGTGATTTCTGCCACATCCCCATTTTTGACTCTCGCATTTGTCCTGTGCAGAAGAAAAATGAATCTTAGAGAATGACAGTGGATTATTCTAAGCTTAACCAAGTGGTGATTTCAATTGAAGCTGGTGTACCAGCTGTGGTTTCATTGCTTGAGCAAATTAACACATCTCCCAGTACCTGGTATGCAGCCATTGACTCGGCAACTGTCTTTTTCTCCATTCCTGCCCATAAAGCCCACCAGAAACAATCTGCCTTCAACTGGCAAAGCCAACAATATACTTTTGTTGTCCTACATCAGGTGCATGTTAACCCTCTGGCATTGTGCCATATTCTTATTTGGAGAGACCTTGAATGCTTTACAATTCATCAAGCTATTACACCAGTCCATTACCTTAATGACATTATACTGATTGGATCCAGTGAGCAAGAAGTAGCAAACACACTGAACTTATTTGTTAGACATTTGTGTGCCAGAAGATGAGAAATAAATTCATCTAAAATTATTTCTTTTTAAAAGCTGGACCTCTGTGCTGCTTATGAAACATACATCAAACACAAGGCAAGAAACAGAAAATAAATTATGTAAATGGATATCTGGGAAAATTCTATGCCCCTAGTAAACAATGCATATTTTCAGATTTAAAGCAACAATTAATACTAAAGGGAAAATTATTGCCACCTACATAACAACAAAACTTTCAGTAGACTAGGAGTATAATACAGTTTTAATCTACACTTCTAAAATATAGACAGCAAAAATTAATGAAATTATAATAAATTAATTATCATGAAACATTTTAGTACAACACTCCAAGATTATTGGTTCAGCAGAGGTTAAACTATGTAAGAAGCTATTCAAAAACTTTATCTGATAGGCAGTTTTAGGCTATAGTATCTAGCAATGCACATTCTTCTAAAAATTCAGAAACATTTACAGACATACTATGCCATAAGGTAAGTCTCAATACATTTCAAAGATTCTTATATTATCAAGAACACATCTGATTCTAATACAAACAAGTATAAAAATATACATATTTTTAACCTTGTAAATTGGAAATATATGACAGACTTCTTAATTACACATAAAAAACACAAAACTTGAAATTCAGAAATAAATAATAGTTTAAAATATTAAGTATCAGTACTTTTGGAATCCTGCTAACAAGAAAGTTAGTGATAAATTAAAAGGTTGAAATGTTGTATTTCATGAAGAAATAAGAAAAGCTGACACTAATATGTGAATAATTTGTTACAAAGAATTAGGAAAAGAAGAAATAAGTACACCAAAAGAAACAAGTATGAATTAGAAAATAATGAACCAAGAGCAGAAGTTAATCAAATAGAAATAGAATTAGTACTTTGAGAAGATTACAAAGCTTACAAATCTCTGACCAGATTGATTGGGGAAGAAAGAACACATAATATCAAGACATAAAGAGAGGGCATGTTCAGCGAGGCAGCAGAAATTTAGAAATACAGCAGTATTAGGAACATCTTTATGCAAATAAATTTTAATTCTTCAGTGAAACAGAAAAGTTTTACAAAAAAGTCAGTTACCCAAACTGACACAAGAAGAACTAGAAAACTTCACTTGCTATATCATTTTGAAAAAAATGCATCCACATTTAAAATATCCCTATAAAAAAGTATTAGAATAAGTGGCTTTTATAGTTGCATTCTACTACACATTCAAGGAAAGAAATGTTTCAGAGAAGTGAAAAAGAGAAGAAAAACACAAAACCCTAATTAATTTTCAAATGAATAATTTCGTTACTACTTTCAAACAAAAAGCATAAGAATTAAGCCCAAAAAAGATTAATTTAACTTTAAAACAACAATGTGAAAACATGAGCAAAATATAAGTATATTATTTGTTTTCACACAGCTGCAAAGAAATATCCGAGACTGGGTAACTTATAAAGAAAGGAGACTTAACTGGCTCATAGTTTCTCAAGCTTTGCAGGAGGCATAGCTAGGAGGCCTCAGAAAACACACAATTATGCGAGAAGGCCAAGGGAAAGCAAGTGTGTCTTCAGATGGTGGCAGGAAAGAGAGTGTAAAGGGGGAAGTGATACACATTTTCAAAAAAGTCGATCTCATGAGACCTTACTTACTATCATGAGAACATAAAGAAGTCTGCTCCCATTGTGTCCGAAATTGGTGGGTTCTTGGTCTCACTGACTTGAGGAATGAAGCCACGGAGCCTCGCAGTGAGTGTTAACAGTTCTTAAAGATGGTGTGTCCAGAGTTTGTTCCTTCTGATGTTCAGATTGTTCGGAGTTTCTTCCTTCTGGTGGGTTCATGGTCTCACTGGCTTCAGGAGTGAAGTTGCAGACCTTCACAGTGAGTGTTACAGCTCTTAAAGTGGAACATCTGGAGTTGTTCACTCCTCCCAGTGGGTTTGTGGTCTTGCTGGCCTCAGGAGTGAAGCTGCAGACCTTCGTGGTGAGTGTTAACAGCTCATAAAGGCAGTGCAGACCCAAAGAGTGAGCAGCAGCAAGATTTACTGCAAAGAGCAAAAGAACAAAGCTTCCACTGCCGGAAGTGGACTCTAGTGGGTTGCCACTGCTGGCTTGGGCAGCCAGCTTTTATTCCCTTATCTGACTCCACCCACATCCTGCTGATTGGCCCATTTTACAGAGATCTGATTGGTCCGTTTTGACAGGGTGCTGATTGGTGCATTTACAATCCCTGAGCTAGACACACAGTGCTGATTGGTGTATTTACAATCCTCTAGCTAGAAGTAAAAGTTCTCCAAGTCCCCACTAGATTAGCTAGACACAGAGTGCTGATTGGTGCATTT
Source organism: Homo sapiens (assembly GCF_000001405.40). Taxonomy (NCBI): domain Eukaryota; kingdom Metazoa; phylum Chordata; class Mammalia; order Primates; family Hominidae; genus Homo; species Homo sapiens. Next base: position 21,303,250 of record NC_000024.10, read on the forward strand.
ACAAACCTTGAGCTAGGCACAGAGTGCTGATTGGTGGATTTACAATCCTTGAGCTACACACAGAGCACTGATTGGTGTATTTACAATCCTTTAGCTACAAGTAAAAGTTTTCCAAGTCCTCACCAGATTAGCTAGATAGAGAGTGGTGTATCCAGGAACCCCAAGCTAGACATAGAGTGCTGATTGGTGTATACACAATCCTCCAGCTAGACATAAAAGTTCTCCAAGTCCCTACCCGACTCAGGAGCCCAGCTGGCTTCACCTAATGGATCCCATGCCAGGGTCACGGGTGGAGCTACACACCAGTGCCACGCCACACATCTGCAGTCCTCAGCCCTTGGGCGGTCCATGGGACCGGGCACCACGGAGCAAGGGCTGGCACCCGTCGAGGAGGCTCAGGCTGGTGGGAGCCCACCACAGGGGTGTTCCAGCATGGCAGGCTGCAGGTCCTGAGCCCTGCCCCATGGGGAGGTGGCTGAGGCCTGGAGAGAATTCGAGTGCAGCATAGGGGGCCAGCAGTGCTGCAGGACATGGCACCTCTTCTGCAGCTGCTTGCCCAGGTACAAGCCCCTCACTGCCTGGGGCCGGGTGGCACCACTAGGCCGCTCCGAGTGCGGGGCCGCCAAGCCTGCGTCCACCCAGAACTCGTGCTGGCCCGTGAGCACCATGCCCAGCCCTGGTTCCCGCTGGCCCCTCTCCGTCCACACCTCCCCGCAAGCAGAGGGAGCCAGCTCCAGCCTTGGCCATCCCAGAGATGGGCTCCCACAGTGCACTGGCAGACTGAAGGGGGCTCCTCAAGCGTGGCCAGAGTGGACACCCTGTGGCCTGAGGAGGTGAGGAGAGCAAGCGAGGGCTGCTAGCACTTTGTCACCTCTCGCCATGATCCAGTCACCTCCAACCAAGCCCCCCTCCAAAACATGAGGATTAAAATTCAGCATGAGATTGGGGTGAAAACAGAGCCAAAATATATCAATGAGCAAACAAATATAAGGTTATACATCATAACTACATATCTACACAAAATTTATTTCAAAGACAAAAGAGTGGCTCAACTTAAGAAAATATATTAATTTAATGCATCATACTAATATATTAAAGTAGGAAAAAATAGAATTACATCAATGAATACAGAATAAACACCAAATAAAACAAATAGCTATTTATAATAAGACATTAAAGTACAAATAAAGAAAATGTTCCTTATCTGAGAATACTTCCTTCGAAATCAGAAGAAAGACTAGAAGACTCACTATTACCATTTCTCTTCAACATTTGTCCTGGAGATTTTTAACGTATAATATACAATAAATAATACTCATAACAATAATAATATTTTATAAGAATTGACAAGAAAGAAGTAAAACAGTCCTCATCTGTAGATGACATGATTATCTACATGGACAACTTCAAAGAATATACAAACCATATATATTAATAAGAAAACTTAGAAAATTTTCTAGATGTAGTATTAAGATGTCAAAGTTGAAATTATCTACCTTCCAGTAAAAGAAAGACACAGGATGGTTTTGAGTGATAATGGAGGCTGTACTTCCATTGTGAACTGTGTGATATTGAAGTATACATAATCCTCCCTCAGTATCAGTGGGGGATTGGTTCAGGACTTCCATGGATACCAAAATCTGCAGATTCTCCATTTCTTGGCATTAAATGGTGTAGTATTTGCATATAACTAGCTGTCCAGCTCTTAAATAAGGTGGGAGTGATTCACTGCAGTAGGCACTAAAAAGAAGACCCTTCTATTATCAATGGAAATTCTCTGGGAGAGAAAACAGCTAAGGGCAAATCTAAAGAGGTACCATTGTTACAGGCCACTGGCTACTGCCAGGTACTGCACCCATGTCCGGAACACCACCCTGTACCCATGAAGAAATGTAATGGACAGGACAAAAAGGGTTATAAAAGAATCCCTCAGGATGGTTACTAGAAAGCAACAAAACTCTTTCTCCCTGGGGCAATGCAATGAAAGATAGTTAAGCCTTTATATGACTCCTCACATTTGGGACAGGTCTCAATATACAAGTTATTTTCTCAAATCATTTAAGGAAAGAAACTATTCTACACTATAAAAAGGATGACCAGGGCCTGTGAACTCTGTGGCTGTAACAATCCAGGAAACTACTCCATACCCCTACCTGTACCCAAACCTTTACAACATTGAGGGACATACCCTGGGAAGACTGGCAAATATAATTTTTTTGTTTGCTTTTGACACAGAGTCTCACTCTGTTGCTAGGCTGAAGTGCAGTGACACAATCTCGGCTCACTGCAACCTCTGTCTCCCAGTTTCAAGTGATTCTCCTGCCTCAGCCTCCCAAATAGCTGGTATTACAAGTGCGTGTCATCAGGCCCAGCCAAGTTTTGTATTTGTAGTAGAGACGGGGTTTTAGCATGTTGGCCAGGATGGTTTCAATCTCCTGACCTCGTGATCCACCCGCCTTGGCCTCCCAAAGTGCTGGGATTACAGGCGTGAGCCACCATGCCTGGCTGGTAAATAGATTTTTATCAGATACAACCATACAGGGGCTGGAAATATTCACCAGTATTTATAGACAACTTCACCAAGTGAATTGAGGCTTTTCCCACTTTATGAGCGCCCACATTTTTACTCAATAAGATCAACTGCAAAGTTTCGATGACCTGAAAGCCTTCATAGTGACAATGGACCTACCTTCATAGCCAAAGTGACCCAGCAGCTTGCATTCAGCTTTAGGCATTACCTATCACCTTCACTCCCCCTGGAGTACTCAATCCTCAGGTAAAATAGAAAAATCTAATCATGTTTTGAAAAGACATGAGCTAAGCCATGTCAGGGGACCTCAGAGACCAGGTTCCTCTCTTAGCCATAGTCTTCATACACATAGGAATGACCCTTAAAAACCTCCAGAAAAATCCATTTGAGAGGAGTTATGTGAGGCCATTTTTAGCTTGAGGTCTCCTGCTTAATAAAGAGATACATAGTTGACTCATAAGTTGTCAACTTAGACCAGTTTAGAAAAGTCCTCCAAGCCTATGGACAAAAAGTATTGCCCCCTCTCACAAAGCAATTAACTGACCTCCTATTCAGTCATGAAACTAGTAAACATTTTGAAAGAAGCATCCCCTGACAATCAGTTACAACCAAAATAGAAGGGCCCCTATCAAGTGTTGTTGACTATTCCAGTCCTTTTAAACTTTAGAGCGTACCTAGTTGGATACAATTGTCCAAGATTAAACCTGTTTCTTTTTTTTTTTGAGATGGAGTCTCACTCTGTCACCCAGGCTGGAGTGCACTGGAGTGCAGTGTCACGATCTTGGCTCATTGCAAGCTTTGCCCCCTGGGTTCGTGCCATTCTCCTGCTTAGCCTCGTGAGTAGCTGGGACTACAGGTGTCCGCCACCATGCCCGGCTAATTTTTCTTGTATTTTTATTAGAGACAGGTTTTCACTGTGTTAGACAGGATAGTCTCAACCTCCTGACCTCGTGATCCACCCACCTCGGCCTCCCAAAGTGCTGGGATTACAGGCATGAGCCACTGCACTTGGCTTAAACCTGTTTCTTATAAGTTGCAGGCACAAATGGAGGACACTGTAACCTAAATTTTTGGAAGATCGCCACTACCTATTTAAAAGAATCAACAGTCACTCATCCAGAAGTGGCAACATGATGCTGCTGGTGGGAATAGAGGGTATTCCTACTAGGAAAGACTAAGAAAAACACAATTGAGCTCCTGAATTTTCTAGAAAAGGAAGGGTATCATTGTCAGTTTCCCAATTTTCTGGAAAGAAGGGTATTTCTCTGTTTTTCCACCTTTTAAAAATCTGTGATAGGACCCTTGACAGCTGTCTTGTTGTTACTAATTTATTTACTTGTTTGTTGAACCTTATAGTAAGCTTTGTATCTTGTAGATTATAATATTTCCAGGTGCAAACAATGCTGGCATAAGGCTTTTGAGTTATATACTGATCTGGATAATTGTGGTGTTCTGCCTTTCACCCCTTTAGCTCATGTATCCAGAGACATTTGCTTCTCTAGTGCTAGGCAAGGCCAGTGCTCATGATTCAGCAGAAAGCAGGTACACTGCATGGACCTCCTCCCTCTTGCATCCCCCTTAAGATTAAGGGAAAGTATTTAACATCTGAGTGGAGAATGAGGTTGAAGGTGGGACTCACCTCCAGGGGTAGGGCTCACGCATGATCCAGATTGAGGACTACCTAAAAAACAGGGCTTAGGCAGAAGCAGTTTTCAATCAGACATGCTCACCAGTGTGCTATGGCATTTAACATTGCTATCGCAACACCCAGGAGTTACCACCCTTCTATGGCAATGATCCAATGATTACCACCCTTTCCCTATAAATTTCTGCATTTATCAATCCATGCAATTAAAAGCAAATATAAATATGGCTGCAAGATATCCCTGAGCTGCTACTCTTTTGCTATGGCATAGCCCTGTTCTGAAAGAGGAGCCACAGGGCTGTAACACTGCCAGAGCTGTAATTCTGTCTCATCAGTTAAGCTATTTTTTTCTACCTCTGGTTTGGCATTGAATTATTTCCTGGACAAAGTCAAGAAACCAGTGGGCTTAGCTCTGCTTGGGGCTTGCCTCTCCTGCATTGTGTCTACGATTCCATTCCAAGATTTAGTAAACTATGAATTAAGCAGGTGAAGTGAATGCAATTACTTTAAATGCAAAAGTTAAAGGTCACCAGAAGAATTAAATAATCAACATAGAGAATATTTTAATGCAATGTTTTCATAATCCAAAATAATGTAATAATCATTAATAAAGTATTATATTTTTAAAGATAGCATATTATTGATTATTTTGTTTCCTGCTTCAATATTCCTTAGCATAACATTAATATTGATAATGATCTTATCTTTCTATAAAATATTTTGTTCAACTTTAAATTTTATTAATAATTATTTATGAATATTGCACTGAAATACAGATCTTAATTACTGAGCTTTTTAAATTAATAAATCTCAGTAGAGTAGTTTTACATTACAACAAAATTGAGTAGAAAGTATAGAAAGCTCCCTTACACCCTGTGCCCACATGTACAACCTTTCCCACTATCAATATTTCTGATGAGACTGGTATGTTTGTTACAGTTCATAAACCTACATCAATACATTATCACTCAATACCTGCAATTTACATTAGGGCTAACTTTTACTGTTGCACATTCTATAGGTTTTTACAAACATGTAATAAAATGTATCCAAAACTGTAGTATTATATAGAATAGTTTCACTATTGTATACTCTAATACCTGAGTTGTGCCTATTTATTACACTCTCCCTTGTAATCAATTGCAACCACTGATCTTTTTACTTCTTCAACATTTTTTTCTAGATTGTCATATATTTGAAATAATACTTGTAGCATTTTATGATTGGCTTAGTTCACTTGTAAATATACATTTAAGTTTCTTCCATGTTTTTTCATGATTTGAAAGCTCATTTTTTCAGTGCTGCACAGTATTCCATAAATATTCCATAAACCACAGTTTAACCACTTTAATATAGAACAACATCTATATGCAGATTTTGATGTAAATATGTTTTTAATTTAGTTGGATAAATTCCAAGAAGCAAGACTGCTAGATGAGATCGAAAGAGTACGTTTAATTTTGTTAAACCAAAACAAAACAAAGCCTACCATTCTTCCAAATTTGCTGTTATCAGTGCTTTCAATTTTTGCAATTTTATATTTAATTTATTATCAAATTCACAACTCCCCAGTATTATATGACGTTTATCATCCTTTCATATGCTCATTCCCTTAGTCTTAACTACTAGGGAAGCAAAGGAAGAGGATATGTGAGACTTGGAATTGGAGGCTGCAGTGAGCTATGATGGCACCACTGCATTACAGCCTGGGGACAGAGACCCTATCTCAAAAAAAAAAAAAAAAAAAGAAGAAGAAGAAAAGGAGGAAGGAAAGGAGGAAGGAAAAGAAAGAGAAGGAAAGGGAAGGGAAAAAGGAGAAGAAAAAAGGGAAAGGAAGAAGGAAGTATTAATTTGTCAGCAAAACAGTGACTCCTAAGCACGTTTTTCAGGTTTCTTCCCTAGAATTCATTACAAAGGAATTTTTTTTGTGTGTGAGTTTACTTGTTTTGTTTTGTTTTTGTTTTTGAGACAGGGTCATGCTGTATCACCCAGTCCAGAGTGCAGTGGCGTGATCTTGCCTTAGTGCAAACTCCACCTCCAGGGTTTAAGGGAATCTCCCAGCTCCCACCTGTAGCTGGGACTATAGGCCCACACCACTACTCCCAGATAAGTTTTTGTATTTTTGCTAGAGACAGGGTTTCAACATTTTGCCCAGGCTGGCCTCAAACTCCTGGTTATCTGACCCCCCTTGGCCTCCCAAAGTACTGGAATTACAGGCATGAGCCACCAAGCTGGGCCTACATATTGGGTTTTTATTTCTTTCCAAACAATTCTTGATAAATCACGGTTTTTTTAAAACTTATCTGTCATCTTATTTTCCACATCACTATCATAATAGTGCAAACATTGCTTATAATTCTTTTATGTTTCTTTCTCTTGTTAAGAGTATTTGAAACATATTTCATGTATCTCTGGCACCATAATAATTTAAATTATTTACACCAAATAAGTGGGTGTAATCGAGATAAATGGTGATAGCTTAAAACTGAGACAAAATAAATGCGTTTAAGTTATTCTATTAACTTGCCACACTGACTTACTCTTGTAATCCTACCATTGGGAAGAGGAGATGTGAGGATGGCTTGAAGTCACGAGTTGGAGACCAGTCTGCGAACATAATGAGCCCTTTAATCTATTGCCATTTTGGCGCCAGGGACCGGTTTTGTGGAAGCTATTTTTCCACAGAAAAGAGGTGGGTAGGGGGAGAAGGTGGCGAGGTGGACACACCGGGGAGATGAGGGGCTGCAGTTCCAGGAGGAACACAGGGTAGGGAGGGGCTTCGGGTCAGAGCAGTGTGACGGGGGGCAGCGGTGGGGCAGCGGAGCTGCGAGGGGGACAGGGCAGGCCAGCGGGGAATAGGGAGAATGGATTCTGGATGAAACCGTTCCACCTCAGTTCATTCAGGCATTGCATTCTTCTAAGGAGAGCGCCACCTAGATCCTCGCATGCGCAGTTCAAAGTAGGGCTCCTACTCCGGTGAGAATCCAATGCCTTTGCTGATCTGACAGGAGGCGGGGCTCAGGCGGTGCTAGCGGTTCGTCACCTGTTCTGCAGCCGGCTTCCTAACAGGCCGCGGACAGGTACCGGTTGGAGACCAGGGTTTGGGGATCCCTGATCTATTGTACATTTCAAATAACTAAAATATTGTAAAAAATGTAAAATGCTCTCCCCCAAGAAAGGATGTATTTTAATTAGCTTGATTTAATCATTTATTTAAATATTAAGCTGGGCGTGGTGGTTCACCTTTGAAATCTCATCACCTTGGTAGCATCAGGCCAGAATATCGCTTGAGACCAGGAGTTCGAGACTAGCTTGGGTACAATGGGGAAACCTGTGTCTATTAAAGAAACACACAAAAAATTGCCTGCTAGCTCTGGTAGCAAGCGCCTGTAGCTGAGACGTGGGAGGATCACTTGAGACTCGGTAGCGGAGGCTGCAGTGAGCAGTGTGCACTTTAGCAACAAGAAATTTACATCTCAAGAAAAAAATACACAAAACATCACATTGTATAGTATAAATATATAGTTTTCAAATGAAATTATTTAAATGGGGCATCCTGCGTTTTGCAGCTTAAGAAAATTACAATAGCTTTTCTCATCTCATTTTTACAAACAAGTTTTTGTCAGGTAAGTATTACAATGCAGTATTTGTCCATGAAGTCACTGCCCCTTTTGCTCTGCATGTTACAAATTTTACATATTTAAAGTAAGAAATACTAAAAATATGTCAGCCTCTGTAAGGGAATTTCACTTGAGTTTTCAACACAGTATGTAATAAAATTTTATCTTTTGGGATTATTTATTGTTATCTAAACAAGATTTTTTTTTTTCCATTTACAGCAAAATGGTGGAAGCAGATTGGCCTGGCAAACTTTTCATTGCTGGCCTCCATTTAGAAACCAATGAAAAGATGCTTAAAGCAGTATTTGGGAAATATGGTCCCATATTGGAAGGCAAGTGTTTTTTTTTAATATATGTATATAAATAAATAATCTTTTTTTAGATGACACATTCTTTCATAAACCTTGGGATATTGAAACAAATAAGTGATGTGAATACAAATATGAAGTAGATTATTGTTTGTGAAAAAGAAGATGTGCTACATTATCCTAGAATGTGTGATGGGTTAAGTTTTTTTAGGTGATTTTTTAATACTGGAAAACTTTTCAAGGAATTTGAATAATAGAATTTGTGTTTGATCCCTTAGTGGAAGGCATGTGCTCAGTAAATGTCTCAAATTTGGCATTGTGAAAGACATGGTCATTTCAGGAAAAAAAGAGATATATTTGGTTTGGGAGAAAACATCTAGAACTGAAATATAGTGGATGCAAAAACGTTTGTAAAATGTGTTTAGGTTAAATGTGACAATGTTATTGATAGGATACTTAATACTTTTAGTCTTTGGATGGAAAAGAAATAAAAGTAGAACAAGTCAAGAAACTATCTTTTTCAAAATGATGGTAGGTGGAGATCAACAGCTTCTTGGAGAAAAAGGAGCCCTTCAGGAAGTCTGAGATCTGCAAGAGGAGGTAGTGGAGGAACAAGAGTGTTTCTTCCCTCATGTGAGGGACACTTGGGTAATGTTTTCAAATACAAAGATGAAACCATAGGACTGAAAGACAGTAAGTTTGAAGATATCAAAATTTCTTAATTTTGTTTACTTCCTTTATGTACAGAAAATTAACTTACTGATAATGAGCAAAATTTTTTGTAAGTACTAAAGATATATTATAAGAATGATTGAAATAATATGAAAATTTCATTTTAAAATCTTAATTTGCATTGAAATAACACATTTAAAAGAAAATTGAGTTTATTAATATTGATTGTCTGTACTCAACAAGTTTTCTGCAGAACTCATTTATTCATTATGCTTCAGAGTTTCTTATTTTGGGGCCAAGAACTTTATATAAAATGTATTATCAAAATACGATGGAATCTTGAAAACCTTCCAACAGGAAATAAGAAGTCATTATTTTAGGATTGATCTTGCAATATTTGTTATTTGTGTATACACATGGAAATATCTATACAAATGTATTCCTTTGCCATTTTGATAGGCATGATTTGCACATCGGCCTGCCATAAAGCATTTTGTATTTAAGAAATGTGTAACTTCAGTTTCTCAAAAGAGTCTGTGACTCAGGAAAAGTCTAAAAGCCACTGCTTCACAAATATGTTAGTATCTTTCTTTGCTGGAGGATGAGTCACTGAAAATGGCATTTATGAAGGACTTACTCAATAGGAATGAGGGTCAATTTTTACTTAAAAATATTCATGTATTAAAAAAATTGGGTCAGTTGTATTATCTATTAACCAACCTTCAAAAATATAACATTTAATTTGAGTTTTAATAACCAGATGTGTAATTCATTGGATATGTTTTCTCAAGTTGAAATTGCAGTGTTTGCTCCATTTTAAGGTACATAGCTTCATGATTTTTTTTTCTCAATTGATTTTGAGGGTGAAGATTAATACTACTCTGCCATGATGAGAATATGCATTTTCTTACCTGTGACACCACCAGGTCATTAGAATATATCTACATTTTTTGTAGGTATATGAAAATATTTTTTATTATTTAATATGCAGTTCTTAAAGATTATTAAAATTGAGCATAGCCTAAGCTAAAAATTAATATTTCATAATGGATTTGTAAGAATTGAATGTTATGACACAAATTTTACAGATAATGTATTTTTCTGAGGTGTCATGTTTTGATTTTGTAAATATTTGAGTTCTTTAAATGGAATTTGGAGTACCCTTATGATATGTTTTGAAAAAACTTTCCTCATACCAGAATTATCTGAACAATAATGTATAATTTTTCTCCTAATATATTTTTCTTTATCTAGATTGTGTTTATATGTTTAACTGATAGATTTTTGCCCTCTCTTCACTATGCATTTATCCCATATCTCTCTCTCTCTCACACCAGTATAAAATTCTTTTTTTTTTTTTTTGAGACGGAGTTTCGCTCTTGTTGCCCAGGCTGGAGTGCAATGGCGTGATGTCGGCTCACCACAACCTCCGCCTCCTGGGTTCAAGCGATTCTTCTGCCTCAGCCTCCCGAGTAGCTGGGATTACAGCTAATTTTGTATTTTTAGTAGAGACGGAGTTTCTCCATGTTGGTCAGGCTGGTCTTCAACTCCCAACCTCAGGTGATCCTCCCACCTCGGCCTCCCAAAGTGCTGGGATTACACGCATCAGCCACCACGTCCGGCCTGATTCTTGTGTTATTTTTTAGGTTTTCTTTTGTTGCCAGGCTGGAATGCAGTGGTGCAACCTCAGCTCACTGCAACCTCCGCTTCCTGGGCTCAAGCGATTCTCCTGCTTCAGCCTTCCATGTAGCTGGGACCACAGTTGCACACCAAGAGGCCCAGTTAATGTTTGTATTTTTAGTAGAGATTGGGTTTCACCATGTTATCCAAGATGGTCTTGATCTCTTGACCTCATGATCTGCCCAACTCAGCCTCCCAAAGTGCTGGGATTGCAGGTGTGAGCCACCATGCCCAGCCATTTTCTAGGTTTTCTAAACGAATTTTTATTGCTTGTATTGCACTAATTTGGTATAGAAATACTAAATTGTATTAGTTTAGACACATGAATTCGTAAGATTATCATATTTAAGAAATATTTATAAACAACTAAAACTTAGCCATTTAAGACACAGTGATGTTACTTAACTAAAAAGTTGTTTTTTTTTTTGTTGTTTTTTTTTTGTTTTTTTTTTGTTTTTTTTTCGTAAACACAGAAGATGGTGGATACACTTTTGATCTCAACATGACTTCTTCTAGGGGGCCATTTCCATTTAAAAAAAGGTCCATGTTCAAGAAGTGGAGGTCCTCTTCCTAAAAAATCTGCTCCTTCTGGGCCGGCTGCGGTGGCTCACGCCTGTAATCCCAGCACTTTGCGAGGCCGAGGCGGGCAGATTACGAGGTCAGGAGATCGAGACCATCCTGGCTAACAGGGTAAAACCCCATCTCTACTAAAAATAAAAAAAAAATTAGCCAGGCATGGTGGCAGGCACCTGTAGTTCTAGGTAGTCGGGAGGCTGAGGCAGGAGAATGGCATGAACACGGGAGGTGGAGTTTGCAGGGACCCGAGATTGCGCCACTGCACTCCAGCTTGGGCGACAGAGCGAGACTCCCTTTCAAAAAAAAAATCTGCTCCTTGTATTGTGGCCAGAAGCAATAGTGGGATGGGAGGCCAAGGTAAATGCTATCTTATAGAAAGACAGTTGTTTTTGTATGACAAAAAAATGAGTTATTTTAACAGGATGCTTAACTTTTAGTTCAAGAAACAAAATAGTAGTGACATACACATGGGCATATTTACTAATTGATAGCTTTTATTGTAGTTTCCGTCTCACTAGGTTAATTTCACATTCATGATGAGGAAATACTTTAGCTTCTAATTGTAAATCAAAGAAGTGATTACACTGAGGCAAACATTAGTTTTAATCCTGTGTTTGCCAGAGAATTCCTCTTAATTTTTCTTAAAGTTCCTGGCACTATACTTTGATGGTTGGCTTCTTAATCTAATGAATTATTCCATTTCCTAGGTCCCTGGGTAGTGGTCCTCCAGTGGGTCAATCTAAAAATTGTTTGTTCAGTTTCTTTGTTGTGTTGGAGTCTTGTTCTCACCAGGTCAGAGTGTGTTGGTGAGATGATGGCTCACTACAGCCTCAAATTCCTGGGCTGAAGCAATTCTCCTGTTTCAGCCTCCTGCATTGCTGTACCTACAAGTGTGCACCACCACACATAGCTAAATTTGTTTTTCTTTTTTCTATACTTTTGTAGAGACAAGATCTCATTACATTGTCGTAGCTGATATTAAAGCCCTGGGCTCAAGCTGTCCAGCTGCCTCAGCCTTCCACACTGGCTCATGGTGTGAGCCACTGCGCTTGGCCATCCAGGTTCTAAGACCTCAATAATACTTATGTGCAAGGAATTCTTACTGGTTATGTGAGGATACTAAGAACTAAAAGAGCTTATTTTGCAAATAAGCAATCACTGGGCTTAAACAATATTTAATAATAAAATTAAGGCTTGAAAGATAGACTTGAAGGAGTCCAGCATTTTTAAGTTTAGTGCATACCACAAAAGTTCAGAGTTGTGAAATATATGGGGGTGTAAATTACTCATTAAGATTGTACAGGGATGTTGAAACCTTAACACAAGATCCTTAGTGTAGGATTTGAAATTATTTGAGAATTTAGTTCTAAGCAGCCTGAGGTGAACAGTAGGATTGAATAGAAGTAATGTTTTTGAGAAGAAGTGTAAGATTTCAGACTGAACAGAAGAAAGCAAGACAATAATATAACAGTTCTTAGCAAAGAAATTTAAGGAGAACAAATTAAAATTCTTACCTAGCCCTCCTTCCTAATATGGAGGAAATTGAAAACTGCCATTTTCAACATTTCGCATATAGAGTATCAGTGAAGTTAAATATTTATTGATATCAGAATACACAAGCCAGCACATTTCCATTAGAAGACTAGCCAGTGAACACATCATAGGAGAAAGACTGACCTCTCTGAATTACCATGTGAAGAGTATGATAAAAGAGGAAGTTTTCTGTTTTTGAAAGAGGTACAATGTTGTAATGACCCCTTTAAGAGTATTGCTAACTGCAGTAAAAGTAAATATTGGCCATGATTAGAAGAGCTGTACTAGGACATTTTAATTTGTCAACATTTAAGATAGAGCCAATCACTTAGAGATAAAGGAGCACTTTTATGTAAAAATTTAGTATGCAGTCGTTCAAAGGTAGCAGTATTTGTGTGTGTGAGATGGATTGAACAACATGGGAAAATTTACCTTCTTCAGCTGAGAAAGGACAACATATGTAAACTTTATATTCAGTGAAGAGTTTGATGGTTTTACATGCTTTCCCTGAGTCAATAGTAATCATCAGTAATTCATATGAAAAGAAAAATAATAACTAACTAGTTATTAACAATTAAAAATGAACTTTTACCTAAGAATTAATGTCTGCCTTCAGCTTCGTTAGAAGAGCTGGCCTTGTGGAGGCATGGGATTATCCAAAGCCAGAAGAAATATTTAAGTGTCATGAATGTCTAGTAATTTAGGGAAAGAAGAATAGAGTCATACAAGAAATAATTTTAAAAAGTTGTTTTACAGAAGAAAAAACAGTGTTTCAGATTTTGTGTCCTTTACATAATATTTAATCATTTTAACATTAAATATCCCATGTCACTTGGATGAGAGAATTATGGAGGTCCTCCATGCAGAGAGCCAGTCTCTTCCTGAAGAAATGACCATGTGTCACCAAGAGATGAGGGTTATGCAACTAAGGATAGGTAAAGGAAAAATGGAAAAATAGTTGACTTTTGTGTGGTGATGAAATTCAAATAACAAAATTAAACATTTAAAGGTAAATAGTTAAGTGGTGTTTAATGCATTCTGTGTGGTGCAACAACTACCACCACCTAGTTCCAAAACATTCTCATCACTCCAAACTACAGCTTCACTACCAGCTAAGCAGTTCATTTCATTTTCTCCCTTCTGTCAGCCACTAGCAAACAACAATCTGTTTTCTGCCTCTGAACTTACTTTTTCTGGGCGTTTCATGTTAATGAGCTCAAACACTACACGACTTTTTATATCTGTCTCCTTTCATTTTGCGTGATGCCATGAATGTTCATTTACATTGTAGCACTTCTTTCCTTACACAAGCTGCTAACCCATTATTTTATTTGGGTTGTTTCCACCACAGTATTTCTATATGCACATATTTGTTTGGGTACACTTATTCAATTCTCGGTATATATGAGTGGAATTTCTTGGTCCTATAAAAATTGTGTTTATTTTCTTGAGGAAGCACCACATTTCTTCATACTACCTGCATCATTTTCCATTCCATCTAGAATTGTATCAGGGTTACAGATTATCTACATCCTCTCAAACACTTGGTATTTCCTGCTTTTTAAAATTTATTTCCATTCCAGTTATGTGTGAAGTATGGTATCTCATTTTGGTTTTGAAATGCATTTTCTGAATAACTAATTATGATTATTTGTTCCATGTGCTTTTTGAGCATTTGCATATTTTATTTGGAGAAATATCTGTTCAGATGTTTGGCCTTTTATTTTGTTTAAGTTGTAAGTTATGTTTTGGATCCTAGAAGTTGATAATTTAAAATTTGTTGCTTTAACTTATGGAAGTAGAATTCATACAAGTTCCTGAGACACCAGGGATGATGCTCCACCACCTAAAGATTATGGATACCATGACTACGGTCGTTCTAGTTGGAGTGAACAATCCTCTGGAGGATATAGGTACTAAAATAATTTCTGGTTTTGTCAAAGAGATTTCTTAAGTTTTTCCTGCTGACATTAACAAACGTTTTTTAAATTTAATGACCGTGATGGCTACCAAGGGGGCTGTGGTAGAGATCATTCTGAACATCCAAGTGGAAGTTCTTACAGAGATGCATATCAGAGTTATGGTAAGTGTCTGGGTTTGATTTGTAAATTATAGTATTATATTTAATAGATGAGATCATTGCTTTAATAAAATTTTAAGGAAGATCATAAAGGAAAAATATAGCATGTTTAAACACTGAGAACTGAGAATTGTTAACAGTATAATGCATAGTGAACATGTAGATGAGAACTTCAGTTCATTTTCAGAAAATGTGACTTAACATCGTTTATTTTAAAATAAACTTTCTTATACTTCGAAATACTATTCTTATGCTTCTTTACAATAAAACCTTTTGACTGTTTCAGGCATAATAATATGCTCTCAATGAAGACAGGGGAAAGCAGATTTTTCCAAATAGTACTTTAACTGAGACATGCATTAGTGATACCATTAAAAATGTTTAAATGTAGTTCATTATAAGTTCTATATTTTATCAACCTTGCAGGGACCTCTCATGGTGCACCACCTGCACGAGGGCCTCAGATGAGTTATGGTGGAAGTATTCACTATGATTATAACTGTACATGAGATGGATATGGCAGAAGTCAGCAGAGTTACTCACGGAGGTGGTGATGTGTATTCCTGTGATCATGGGCACAGTGGCAGAAAAGAGTGAAGGAATCACCGCATATTCTCACTCATAGGTGGGAATGGAACAATGAGAACACATGGACACAGGAAGGGGAACATCACACTTTGGGGACTGTTGTGGGGTGGGGGGAGGGGGGAGGGGGGAGGGATAGCATTGGGAGATATACCTAATGCTAGATGATGAGTTAGTGGGTGCAGCACACCAGCATGGCACAGGTATACATATGTAACTAACCTGCACATTGTGCACATGTAACCTAAAACTTAAAGTATAATAATAAAAAAAGAAAAAAAAGAGTAAAGGAATCTACCTTCTGTGGATAGGGTGCACCCTGCTCCTCATGAAGGATACGATAGCTCAAGTTATGGAGCACCTACAGGAAGTGGTGGGGGAAGCCGATGTGAAAAAGGAGACTGAAGCAGATATTAAAGGAGATATTAAAAATAATACTTACCGTGGTATTCAGCAGTCTGAGGCAGGAGAATTAATTGCTTGTACCCAGAAGGCAGAGATTGCAGTGAGCCAAGATCTCATCACTGTGCTCCAGTCTGGGAAACAAAGCAAAACTGTCTCACAAAATAAAAACAAAGAAAGAAAAAAAATAAAGAAAGATAATAGTTATTGCTTACCAAACCTTGCTTGCAAAGCAAAAATTAAAATATTATTTCTGCATCATTACGTGAGTACCACTAAAACAAAATGTTGATTTTGGAGGGAGAGGTAGATCCTAACTTCCTCTATGAATTTTTTGGGTATTAAGATGAAAATGAATTTCTTTCAAAGTAATTTCATAATTGTTAATGCTATTTGAAAACTATCTGTTTAGATGATATGGGTGTATTAAAACGTTTAGAATAAAATTATACATATAATAGGTAATGCCTGATTTCATTGCTACACATGTTTAAAAGCAAATTTAATAGGAGACTAAATTGCGATGTTTGTTGAAAATTTTCTTTTGTAGCTTTGAATAAAACTAAATACAAAAGTAGGCATAGGTTACGTCTCCCTTGCAAACTGCACACATTTTCTAATTAGGCTGTGTTTCTCTTTAAAAACTTACAAGCTTTAAAAGTTTTAGAAGTCTTCAGAAAGACTACAAAACTGTCTGTCTCACCATAAGATGTTTACAATTCAGAGGAATCATGTAGGTAAAAGGAAATAATTAGATATCATTGATACTAAAGTTTAAGACATGCAGAACATTCTTCTTGAAGCATTCTGTGACTGAAAGGGGATAATGGTGATGAAAACATTTTTTTCCACCTAAACAAAAACTGAACCAGCTACGTTTCCTGAGTACATAGCTTAATGAAATTAAGTGTTCCTAATTTAAATAGTGGAAAATAAGTGTTTTTACACGGGAAGTACCCATGTTAATGAATTCCTATAATATTTGGCAATGGTTGTTGCTAAGGAATGGTTTAGCAATAAGTTCTTACAAATAGAAATTATCTAGAAGGCTTGGGATTTTATCAGAATTTTTTTTTTAAGACAGATTCTAGCTTTGTCACCCAAGCTGTGGTGCAGTGGCTGGATCTTGGCTCACTGTGACCACTGCCTTCTGGGTTCAAGCTATTCTCCTGCCTCAGCATCCTGAGTTACTGGGTTTATAGGTGTGTGCCACCACAGTTGGCTAATTTTTTTGTATTTTTAGTACAGAGAGCATTTCACCATGTTGGCCTGACTGGTCTTAAAAACCTGATTCACCCTCCTTGGCCTCCCAAAGTGCTAGGATTACAGGCATGAGCCACCAGGCTCAGACTATCAGATTTAAGTGAAGGTATGAATAGGAATGCTTTAAACCTCATGGTTTTTGGAAAGTGAAGTGTATAAAACATAAAACAACATCATAAAGTTTCAGACAAGTGATTGCTTAAAGGTTTAAGATATTTAAGATATCATCTAATGATAAAAATGAAAAGATTTGGACCCAAGTAAGTGAACCAATTAATTTTCCTGATCATACAACTTAAAGAAATGAAATATATGAAGATCCAGAATTTTACAGTCCATAATTCTTAAAATTTACAGCCTAATCTGTAAGGAGGATGTATTTTTATGAGAAAATTTTGACAAGATCATAGTTTTTATAGCGTAAGGGTGCAAATAATTTTAAAGGGAGAAGTTACCAACTTTGATTTTCAAGTGAGTTATTTATGTTATGAAGTTGTGTTTTTATTCGCCTATAATGTAGGATTGTGAAAGGATACAACTCCCTAGTCTTGTGTATCTTTACAACAGCAACACAAGAAACAGTGTCTGTCCAGGTGTGATGGCTCCAGTCTTATATCCCAGCATTTTGGGTGGCTGAGTGGGCATAGCACTTCAACTGAGGAGTTTGAAACCAGCCTGGGCAACATGGAGAAATCTTGTCTGTACAAAATAGACAAAACATTTACTGGATGTGGTAGTGCATCAGTGTAGTACCAGATTTTTGGGGGCTGAGGCGGATGATCGCTTGAGCCCATGACATCCGGGTTTCGGTGAGCCTATTTGCTCCATTGCATTTCAGCCTGCATGACAAAGCAAGACCCTGTCCAAAAAAAAAAAAAAAGGGGGGGGAAAAGGAAAAAGTATCTGTGATACTCTCTCCCTAGGATTTTTTAACCCAAATTATCTCCATGAGGCATTCTGTCATAATGATTAAAAGGTAGGGGAAACAGAAGAGTAACCTGTAACATACCATTTATCAACCTTGTAACAGGGATTCTGTTTCAGCAGGTTAGAGTAAATGGAGAAAAATCATTAAATAACAAAAGCTAAAGCCTTATTGCATCATTTTTCATAGGAACATAATGCTTATGAATGAATAATAGGATAATTTTTTTATCATATTTGTCCATATGCATTGCTATGAGAAAATACCTGGATTTGATAGTTTATAACAAACATTTCTTGTAATCCCAGAGGCTGAGAAGCCCAAGGTCAAGGCATTAGCAAATACAGGGTACAGGTGAAGGGTCACTTCCTGGATTTTATTTTTATTTTTATTTATTTATTTATATTTGAGATGTAGTCTTGCTCTGTCGCCAAGCTGAAGTACAGTGGCACAATCTCAGCTCACTGCAACCTCTTTCTCCAAGGTTCAAGTGATTCTCCTGCCTCAGCCTCCTGAGTAGATAGGTCTACAGGTGCACACCACCACACCTGGCTAATTTTTTGTATTTTAGTAGAGACAGTGCTTCACCATTTTGGCCAGGATGGTCTCGATCTCCTGATCTCATGATCCGCCTGCCTTGGCCTCCCAAAGTGCGGGGATTACAGGCGTAAGCCACCGCGCCCAGCCACTTCTTGGATTTGAAACACCCCTCTTGCTAAGTCTACACATAGTAGAAGTGGCTTGGGAACTCTATAGTCTTTTAGGAGTGCGCTAATAACATTTATGAGGGTACTGTCTTCCTGAACTGATTACTTCCCATCAAAGGCCCTTTTCCCCTTCCAGCAGGAAGCCAAGTGACACTTCCACATGTTGAGCTTAAGGATGGTGGTGTGAGGTGGCAGTGATGATGTAATGAATTCTTTGGTTTGCAGTGTTTAACGCCTCCAGTGTTGGCATCAGGTATTAAAGGCATGAAGATGATTTTTTAATTATTCAAATGTAGTCATCCACCTTCAGCTTACAAGGTTTGGGGACAACTGGGCAGTTTTACTTTTCAGTGATGCTAAATCATGAAAGGGGGATACAGTGTTGAAATTTTAGTTTGGAGAGTTGTAGCTATATATTGGATAAAATCAGAATTGAAATTGTAGACTAATAAAATATGTAAGACAACTCACATGAGTGTGTTTTAGTTTTCCATTGAAACAAAATTCTCTCTGCAGTTACTTCTCTTAACTCTTGTTCACAAAATAAGTTTGGTCTGACTAGATTTGTCCTCATTTTTTACCTAAGTGCAGTAAGAATTGTCATTGACCACAAAGACATACGTATATACATATTTTATTATATATTTTATATATATTATATAATATCTTATATCTTATATATTTTATTATATATAATTTATATATATATATATATAATTTTTTTAATTACAGACAGTGTCCAGCTCACTGCAATCTCCACCTTGTGGTCTGAAGTGATCCTCCAACCTCAGCCTCCTGAGTAGCTGAGACCATAGGCACAAACCGTTATGCTTGGCTAATTCTGTATGTTGTTTGTTTGTTTGTCTGTTTGTTTGATTTTGGAGATAGGGTTTTACCATGTTGCGCAGGCTAGTCTTGAACTTCTGGGCTGAAGTGGTTCTCCCACCTCTGCCTCTGAATTTGCTGGGATTTCAGGTGTGAGCCACCATGACCGGCCACAGAGGCCTTTCCACCTCACTTGGTGAGAACTTTATATAATTAGTTTCACATTATACTTTTTAAAGCCTTGAGACTAGAAATCAAGCCAGGAACTTGCCACCAGACTTCCCTTTCAGATTCTATACATTTGGTTGAACTCCTTTCCTCTCAGAGTCCTCAAATATCGTGAGGTTCCAGAGCTTGCCCAGAAGTAATCTTTCTCACATCGTCGGCTAGGAACTCTAACAAACTAACAGGCTGGTTTTTCCAAGAGGGCTCTATAAGTATTTTCCCCACAGTCAACTTTAGTTCTTAAAGCTGACTGGTTATCCCTGATTGTATGCAAATCATTCTTAAATGTATTTGATATTTCAGACAAGGCTTTGTAATAAAACCAGGTTCCAATTAGGTTCTGTTGAAAAGAGAACACATTCTTACTGAACTTTATAAATGACTCAGTTGCTATATAAATGTTTATAAAATCTTAAATGTCCAGTGAACATAACATAGCTTAACTAATAAATTAGTAAATCCAAGAAGGATACAAATGACAAATGTATTCTCTCTCTTTTCTTTTTTATCTTTTGAGATTGAGTCTTGCCCTCTCACCGAGGCTGGACTGCAGTGGCATGATGTCGGCTCACTGCAACCCCTGCCTCCCGAGTTCAAGCAATTCTCCTGCCTCGGCCTCCCAAGTAGCTGAGATTACAGCTGCATACTACCATTCCTGGCTAATTTTTCTATTTCTAGTAGATATGGGGTTTTGACATAATGGCCAGGCTGGTCTCAAACTCCTGACCCCAGATGATCCACCTGCCTCGGCCTCCCAATGTGTTGGGATTAAAGGCATGAGCTACCATGCCTGGCCCACAAATGTCTTTTTATACTTAATAATAACAACAATTTGTAATATGTAGCTGTTTGTATTAAACAATTTTAAAGTAATCTTAGTTACTAAATATTTGCATGAGTGATGTGAGCTTGAATACATATTTCTAGAAAGGATTGTTAGGAGTATGTAATTCACAATAGTGATCATTTATCTCTAAGCCAATTTGAATAGCTCCCTTTTAAGTGATATTAAAAATTAACTTGGTAATAATATCCAGAGATAGAAATATATCACACACACGTAGCACATATGCATAAAAATATAGAGACAAAAAGATTACGTAGCTCTCCTAAAATTTAGTCATGAATGAGGCAATAGGGTAATATAAAACTTGCTGGTTTATGTCCATTTTATATTGTGTCTAAATTGTTCTTCTGAAAAATGATACAAGGTTGCCTATTCAATAGGAGGTCTGATACCTTTTGTCTGTATTGATGAAGAAGAATTTTATGATATTATTTTGCCCTAATATTTTATCTGTGGAGCCAGAGGACTACATTTTAGGCATAGAATACATCTAGTTGCAGTCTGGATGTCTCCAAAGGCTGGGTAGATAAAATACTCAATCCCTTCTAATTAGCATTTTTCATTTCAGCTTCAGGCCAATAATTTTTTGGAGGGTGGGGAAGATACTTGAGTCACTCCAGAGCCTCTGATTTAGTGGGCCTACAATTCTGTTGACTATAAAGAGTTGAAAGGATAAAATAGGAAGGAAAAGGCTTGCTTAGGGGTAGATGGAAGAATGATGAGAGGTTTGAGGGAGGATATGTCAAAGGATTCAAGGAAGGTAAAGGGAAGATTGAAGGTAGTGAAAGGAGAAACAAGAAACATGAGTAATAAGAAGGAAGATATCAAAGAGGCACCACTGTAAGGAGATGTTAAGTTTCTCAAAGATCATGGAAGTTCCAAATTATCCTTGAAAAATGCATGCCAACAACAAGGATATAGAGTTACCAAAGCCTAAAGTCCACAAGGGTTCAAGAAAGTGGGTTTTAGTTGGCTATGAGACTTCCATTGGAGAGGCAAGAATACAAATAAAGAACAGAGAGGTTTCAAAGAGCTTCAATGAAGATTAGAGATAGAGATAATGGGATAGAAAGATAGAGATAGAGATAGAGATAGAGATAGAGATAGAGAAAGAGATAGAGATACAGATAGAGATACAGATAGAGATAGATAAAGATAGAGATTAACTTCCTGACAGGCTAGAAAGATGGGAAAATTCCCATTAAGGAAAAAAAGTCTCCAACATAGGGAATCAGGAAATAATCTCCACTCAGGAAAGAGACTAAAAAAA
This sequence comes from Homo sapiens, assembly GCF_000001405.40. NCBI lineage: Eukaryota > Metazoa > Chordata > Mammalia > Primates > Hominidae > Homo > Homo sapiens. The sequence goes on from NC_000024.10 coordinate 21,324,943, forward strand.
GGGAACCCAGCCAATGGATTCAAGGAAAACCCCACTCAGAAAGTAGCAAGGAAAAAATATGTTTAGCATAATCAGGGAAAAAAATCTTCATTGAGAATGATACCCAACAGGACAATGAAGCCAAAAATGTCAGAGAATGAACCCCTCTTGGAAGGAAGAAGGGTATACAACACAGAACATAAAGCAATAATCCCAAACATGAAGCAAAGCTGATAAAAAAAAGTTCCAGATTTGTAAATCAGGAAACAATTTCTAGTCAGATTAGAGAGCAAAGCAAGAGAGACTTGCAACCCCAGGGAGTCAGAGAATAATCATAAAAAAAAAGACAACCTGGGAAAAGAAAATGTCACCCTAGGAGACAGGGAATAATACCCAATAAAGAAAAAAAGCCAGGAAGATGAGATTTCCAAATAATGTATCAGGAAATAATCCTCAGAAAATTGGAATAATCTGTAATAAGGGAAAAAAAGTTCAGAAAAACAAAAGAAGAAAATGTTCATCTCTGGAGTCAGACAGTAATCCCTAGTAAGGGAAACACCAGGAGGAAAATACTTTTTGCACATTAGGAATAAATGTCGCTGGGGAAAGAGAGAGCCTATAAGAAGGAACTTCTACCTAAGAAAGTTACAATAATCATTATTATTTTTTAAAGAGATAGAAAGAAGGATTTAAAACAAAGTCAGGGTATAATCCCCATCAGGGAATAGAGTCAGAAAGAAGAATTTTGAGCCCAAATGTCAGAGAAAAATTTCAAATCAGGAAAAAGAGTCAGGGGTGGCAAACTTCTATCCCAGGGAGCCAGGAAATAATCTTCAATCATGAAAAGAAGTAGAAAAACACTCTTTCACCAGAGAGCTTATTTAATATTTATCTCAGAGAAAAGAACAAAGGAAAAAAAAGAGGTTCAGTCCAAGGATTCAGAGAATAATACCAGTTTAGGCAGGGAACCAAGAAGAAGTGACTTTGAACTCAGAATCACATGAGAATTATTCTCACTTAGGAGAGAGAGACAATCAAGTAGTCAGAAAATTTTACCCGTTACCAAAGAGACAAGAAAGAAGAGATATCATATGCCAGAGAGTCAGAAAAGAGAGCTAATAAGAAGTGACTTACAGCTCAGGGTGCCAGGGAATAAATTCCATTTGATAAGAGAGCCAGGAGGAATGTATTTCAAAGCAAGAAGTGAGAGAATAATTTTTACTCAAGGAAGAGGTCTGGAAAGACATGATGTCCAATCAGGAAAATAATTTCTCTTACGAAACAGAGCCAGGAAAAACAGGTTTTCACTCCAGGAGTCAGAAAATTTCTACACAGGGAATAGAGACAGGAATTTTTTTTTTTCCTGCTCAGCAAAGAAGTCCAGAAATTTCCAAACCAGGAGTCCAGTCAAAAATCTTCAGAAAAACAATCAAAAACAAGAATTTTCTACCACAGGAGGCACAGAATACCTCACATTGAAGTAAAATAGCCAGAAAAAAGAGTACTATCCCAGAAATCCGGGAATAATTTATATTCAGATAAGACATCCCCTAAAAAAAAACTTCTGTCTTGTAAAGTCTGGGATTAGTCACCAATAAAACAACAGCAATGAAAATATATGATGTTTACCACAGTCAGAGAATAATCCCTACTAGGTAAGGACAGAAAAGGTAGAAGGGACTTTCACTCCAGGAGTCAAGGAATAATTCCTACCAAGAGATGATAGCAAAAAAAGACACTTTAAGCACAGAGAGTTAGGGAATAGTCCCTATTATGAAAACAAAGCAAGAAAAAAGACAAAAAGCTTTTAACCTATGTAGTAAGAAAATAATTCCCTACTCAGGGATATCAGGAAGTCAGGATTTCCTGACTTAAGCCCAGTGAGGCAGAAAATAATTTCTACTAGCAGGAGAGTCAGGAAGAATAGATATCCAACCTACATGCAAGGAAATGGGTTTCCTATTAAGAAAGACAGCAATGAAGAGGAGACTTTCAGATCAGGAGTAAAGGTCGGTCAAATGTTCACTAAAAAAAAAAAAAAAAAAAAAAAAAAAAAACAAAAAACAGTTAAATGGAGCTGACTTTCACACCAGTCTTGGAAGAAACATTTCACACTATAGAATATATTTCCGTCTCAAAACAGAGTATCATGATGAAGAGAATTACAGCCCAGGGGAGTTGTAACCAAGGTTGTAATCCCTACTCAAAGCAAACAAACAAACAAGAATAAACCTTGTGGAGCCTAATGGGAAGGACATCAATCCCTGTGCCTTCTTCCCTGGCTTCCTTCAGTGATTAGGGAAAGCCTTTTTTTCTCTCCCCAGAAAGATGTTTGAAAGTCTTCAGAAGCGAGAAAAAAGGTCTCAACACTTCTAGTCCCTTCTTTCCTAACTTGTTTTAGTAATCTATTTGTGAAATCTCTCCCAGGAAGGAAACTAGAACAAATACTACTGAAAGCCTAAATGAGAAGAATGGCAATCACTGTGACTTCTTTCACATCCTTCAGTGTTTTCTGCAATTGTTCTCTCAAAGTAGGCTAGAGACAGACCTCTGTGAGCCAAACACAGAGAGACAGCACTGCCCAAGGCATTTTCTCTGACTGGCTCCAGCAAAATTTCCTGCAGTCTCTATCTGGAAGGAGGCAGAGAGTTGGAATACTTCCAAACCTAAATGAGAATAAAAGCACTTCCCACACTCATTTCCATGGCTTACTCTAATAGCAAATTTCTGCCATCCCTCACTAGAGAAAATCAGTGAATTAGATCTCTGAAATCTTGAATGGAAGAGAGACAGCACTTCCCTTCTGTCACCAGACATAGCATGCTTGCTTCACAGGCTTGTTCTAGCAACAAGTCGCACCTGCTATTCTCCCTGGACATCAGTAAAGTATAAATGTGACAGTGAACACCTCTCAGACCTTCTTGGCTTCTTCTCTGTCTTGCCACAGCAAGAAATCTGACTTGCAGATTCTTCCTGGAAAAAACTTGTGTGACTTTGGCAATGCAGAATGAGAAAGCAGGCATGTCTGCAATACCTTCTCCCTGGCTTGCTCTGGTGAGGAATCAAGATCTGTAGACCTTCCCTGGAAGTAGCTTCTGCAAACATCATGTGTCACAAATTTTGCAGCCTATACCTAAAGGACTTGTGCTAAATTATTTACTTCTGTAAGTGAATGGGAATTTGTATTCTGAGTCTCCTATATCACAGAGAACAAGATTGTCAAAGTTGTAAATATTCAGTGGCCATGTGTGCAGATTCAGAGTGAGCATAATGAATGACTGCACAGGGGTCAGTCATGGACACTATTCTTGGCATAGGGCAGAACTAGTTGGACATAAACTCTGAATCTAAGCTTGTCCACACGTAAAATACATCTAATCCCTTTTAGCTACATATCATGGGGCTGGCCACTATCTTGCCTATGCCAAGGGAATATTATGATTTTGCACACCATACAATCCAGAGGGGCATAAGAAGAAAGACAGTGGGTTGGTTGGACAATCACAGAACTGAGTAGCACCTGGAATCCCTGGTTGCACTGATAAGGAAATGAAATTTCCTACATAGGATGAGTTAAGGGAAACAGAGAAAGATGGTTATCTTCACTAACTTACAGAAACCAACTCATAGTCAAGAAAAATGGAGCTGGTGGTAGTGGGTACGGGAGGGCAGGGCAGTGAGGGAGTGCAGTGGAGAGGAAAATACGTTCTGAGGTAAAGAACAAAAGAAATAAACAGAATTGGACTCTGATAAAATGAAAGTGTGTAATGTCCCTGACAGGGAAATCAAAACAGAAAGCTCTAAGGTATTACCATAAGTCTGGAGAGTAATGCATTTAAAAACTGAGAAGTTTAACAAAGAGGTAGAAAATATTTCAAGGTATCAAACAGAAATCAAAGAAGTAAAAACTACAGGAACTTAAGTCAAAAATTAAATAGATGGGTTGAACAGTAAACTGGTTCAAGCAGAACAAAGGATAAGCAAAATTAAGCCAAGTGTTTGAAAATAATCAAACTGGAGGATAAAACTGAAAGAGAAAAATAAGGAATCATGAAGACAGCCTAAGGAACTTATGGAACATTTTGAAGCAGGGTGATAATGTATGGAGTACTATAAGGAGAAGACAAAGATAAAAGGAGAGAAAAATAATTGACATATATTTTTAAACAAATAAAAAATAAAAAGCCGGGCACGGTGAGTCATGCCTGTAATCCCGGCACTTTGGGAGGCCGAGGCGGGTGGATCAACTGAGGTGAGGAGTTTGAGACCAGCCTGGCCAGTTATGTGAAACCCCATCTCTACTAAAAATACCAAAAAATTAGCCAGCCTTGGTGGTGGGGGCCTGTAATACCAGCTACTTGGGAGGCTGAGAGAGAAGAATCATTTGAACCCAGAAGGTGGAGGTGGCAGTGGGCTGAGATTGCACCAATGCACTCCAGCCTGGGCGACAGATCAAGACTCCATCTTAATAAATAAATAAATAATAAAATAAACAACAACAACAAAAGGATAAAGATGACTGCTAGAGTCACTCAAGACTCACCCTAACATCCTCCACGAGGATGGTCCAAAATAGCAAATAGATAACTATGCAATGAATCGAACATCTCTGAGAGAATGCTGGAATTCAGCAGGGAAGTGACTGACTTTCTGAGACATGAAAACTGTGAATGGCAGCAGTATAGAGAGGGACCAACGCAGTCAGCTGGAATTGGCTCAAAACCAAAAGGAATTCTCTACTGTGGGGGCAAGAAAGACTGCATTTGCAACCCTAGATGCAGAGAATCCCCTTGGCCCTTTGAGGACAGCTTCTAAGCCTAATACAGAGACCTGCCTGACAACTACATTGTCCACACAACTACATTGTCCCAGAGAGGGAACTTACACAAGCCCCATGCCCACAAGGCCCACACTGCTGGTACATGGCTCAATATTGAGGGTGATAGGGCAAAAGGCTGTCTAGAACCTACATCAGAGAGCCTTTTGCCCAGGGGTCCAATATCCCCTGCATCTCCATGTCCTGGGTCCTTGCTGACATGCCCTCTTGTCCACACAGAGGTCCCAGTGTCACGATGTCAGCTGGATGCAGCAATGTGGCTGGGTCCATGGTAATAGAAATCATGCAGCATCCTATATCCCAGGGAACAGACATTCCAGCATATTTGAGAGGCTGCCTCAAAACATAGGGAACAAAAATGCGTGATCCATAGAGCATGGGAAATACCTGCCTGAGGATGCTGCCACTGAGGCACCAACTCCTCCCAACCCCTCAGCAGCAAGACAACCACACACCAGTAAGTGTCACATCAGGACCCACAACCCAGAACCTAAGGTGCTACTGCAACTATAGGCACCCATATGTACCACATGGGGGAATGAAGACTGGCCTACCTAGCCCACAGCCACTACAGTGGGCCCTTCCATGCTGCCTGGGACCCCTAAGACTGACCTGCCCAATGCTGCTGCCACAGCTTGTTTCTTCTGATGTTATCCAGGAGCCTGAGTACAGGACTGCCCAGCACACCAAACCCCAGCAATGTTTCACCACAGGCTTTAAAACAACTATAACCTAAGCCATTAAGGCACTCTCATACATTTGTGGTATTGAGAATAGCTAAAGAAATAATACGAAGACCATGCTGTGCTACTTACCCAGAAGCAAAGTCAAAGTACTCTGCCCAATCAACATTATAGATGCATGTACAGGGAATAGTTTTGTTCCAGTGCTTTCTTTTAAGCTTCAGATAATATTCTCACATGGATATGCAGATTAACAGCCAGCAGAAGGCCTGCATGAACTCTTTTGCCTCTCTGGGGTTTTCTTTTTGTGTAAGTCCTCTTTTATTTTCTGGCATTTTGTTCTACAGATTCTAGCTTTCTTGATATAGTTGAACTCTGATTTTAGTCTTCTCAATCTAGTAACACCCCCTAAGTTATGGCCTGGTGATAAGTAGGGTTCATCCTTACACTGTCTTTGTTCATCTTTTCTGAGAAATTATTGTTTGGTGCTGCCTGGAATTGAATGTAGAAAAATCTTTGGTTCATATTTCTCTCTAGTTTTATACTTATTTAACCTGGCAGGGTAAATATGGTCCCCATTACCCCATTATGGTTAGTGGCATAACAGGGGCCATGGAAGGCTTTCAGAAGTCATTTTTGAAGACTCAGTGCAAATTCGGTTTGCATAATGAACTTAGATAAAATACAGCCAAGAAAATAATGTTAGCAGAAACCAGGCCCTATAGAAATCTTTTTAGTAAGTTATTATGCTCAGACTTAAAAGAATAAAAAAACAGACCAAAGGGTAAAATATACATATTCTAACTTTAATCTGGGGTATTAAAATTATTCAGACAGTTGTGCAAATAAAATTCAAATATAGTTGAAACATTTATATAAGCTTGTCTATATACTACTTTCTGTGTCAAAGGAATACATACAGATAAACATTTCAGAAAGAACCTAAAAAGTGGCTTATTATATTCTCAAAAATTTCCACATTTATTTCATTGTATTTTACATTTTTCAAAGAGTCCGGTTCTCTGGCCCACGCTAGAGTGCAATGGCGCGATCTTGGCTCTCTGCAACCTCTACCTCCTGGAGTCAATTCTCCTGCCTCCTGAGTAGCTGGGACTACAGGCATATGCCGCCAGACCTGGCAAAATTTTTTGTATTTTTAGTAAAGCTGGGCTTTCACCATGTTGGCCTGGCTGGTCTCATTTGAGATACACCGGCCTCAGCCTCCCAAAGTGCTGGGATTACAGGTGTGAACAACTTTGTCTGGCTTAAAAAAAAAAAAGAAACACATTTTAAAATAAAATAGAATACAAATTATTATGGACATTACAATTTTTATATCTTGTATAATCACTGAAGGATGTGAAAGAAGGCACAGTGATTGCCATTCTTCTCATTTAGGCTTTCAGTAGTATTTGTTCTAGTTTCCTTCCAGGGAGAGATTTCACAAATAGATTACTAAAGCAAGTTAGGAAAGAAGGGACTAGAAGTGTTGAGACCTTTCTTCTCGCCTTCCCTGTATTGTATTGTATATAGGAATCAATTTTTCAAAATCAGAAAATGTGATTCACTTCTGGGGATTCTAGGCATATTAGATATTTTTACCAGTTGTATTTACTATGGGGAAAAGAGCTAGACAGAGAAATTCTGTGACTTAATCCAGCTAGTCTATGAGTACATAGGACAACCCCATAATCTAATAAAATTGCATTGACTTGTTACAGTAAGGTCAACCATGCCTGTGGGGCAACTAAAGTAATAAAACTAGGTACTGTAAGATTTTTGGGAAAGGTGGTGAACAGATATTTAAACAGAACAGACTTTCAATAGGTTCAAGGTAAAGTACACCTATGTATGAAAGGCCAAAATATCATGTTTAGACTGTGAGAGAACCCAGTGTCTCTTCCTTGTAGATCACAAGTTGACATTTGTGTGGAATTTTGAGTGCAAATGCTTGTTATTTGAAGCTATGCACCTAAACTGGAAATCAGTTTTTCTTCTGTGGAAAGTGACATAAATCAGCCAGGCAAGATGTCCTAAATTTTATCTTCACTGATAACATTTCAAACAGCAAATACTCTGTTTATAATTTTAGACCATAAAGTTTGTCAGTGAGTAAGAAAGCAGAAGTCATGGAGATGATAATTTTTGTGACCCTTTATATCTGTGCTCAGACATTGGCAGAAATATTGATTTCCATTAAGTCGGGAGCTGGCTTTTCAGTTCTTCTCCCCTCAGCGTGACGGATTGAGATGGTGGATTTTCACCTTCTCAGCTTCGTTTTACCTTCTATCCTGTTAGAATGTACATATCTCAGCATTATTGCTATTTCCAGTAACAAAGCTGAACTTGCTTGTTTATACTATAGACAATTTAAAGTAAAGAAAACTACCACATTAGCTTCTACATTTCAAAGTAAAACTAAGTAAAATTTGGTCATTTTTTATTACCATGTCTGTATACTTTTACTGCATTTGTATATGCAATTTGATGTAAGTAATTCAAAGTTAACATTACTATTAATGGTATTGACTATGGATGCTCTTTTTTCTATTGGCCCTTTTTTTTGTTCACACTTAGGCAATTTCCTACATTTTGCTACTAAATATTTTTTCAGATAACTTTCTTCTGCATTCCTACTTTCCTAATGTACAAGGAAACTTGTAAGTAGGGATTTTAAGTTGGTAGTCATACAGCAACACACATGTACATTTGTACGTGTTTAATATAAACAGACCAGTAAGAGAATATAAAGAGCAAAATAAAACAAGTAAATATTGCCCAGTTCTCAAATGAAGAAACCAGTCTTCATGGCAAAATCTTTAGCATGAAGTCATATGCCACTCTACAAAATAAACAATGGTCCAGAGCTTGTAACCCAGCACTTTCGGGTGTAAGTAGGGATTTTAAGTTGGTAGTCATACAGCAACACACATGTACACTTGTACATGTTTAATATAAACAGACCAGTTAGAGACTATAAAGAGCAAAATAAAACAAGTAAATATTGCCCAGTTCTCAAATGAAGAAACTAGTCTTCATGGCAAAATCTTTAGCATGAAGTCATATGCCACTCTACAAAATAAACAATGGTTCAAGCTTGTAACCCAGCACTTTCGGAGGCCGAGAAAGTCAGAGCACTGTAGATGAGGAGTTCAAGACCAGCCTGGCCAACACCAGGAAACCCCATCTCTGCCAAAAATATGAAAATTAGCCGGACATGGTGTTGCATGCCTGTAGTACCTTAACTTGGGAGGCTGAGGCGTGATAATTGTTTGAACCCAGGAGGCTGAGTCTACAGTGAGCTGAGACTGCACCATGTACCCTAGCCTGGGTGACAGAGCGAGACTTCAGCTCAAAAATAAATATGAAAGTAAACATGTATACATATGTAACAAACCTGCACATTGTACATATGTACCCTGGAACTTAAAGTATAATAAATAAATAAATATATATATATATATATAAATAAAATAGACATGGTATCCTTCACGTCAGGCTGTTATCATATTTTCTTTCTTTTTTTTTTTTTTAAGACAGTGTCTCACTCTGTTGTCCACACTGGATTGCATTGGCATCATCATAGCTCACTGCAGGCTTGAACTCCTGAGTTCAAATGCTCGGGTCTCCCATTTCAGCCTCCTTAGTAGCTGGAATTACAGGCACACACAACCATGTGCAGTGTGTGTGGGGGTTCTTTTTGTTTGTGAACTATATTTTCTTTTGAATCACATCTTTTTAGAACCCAGTCTTTATGTTCATTATTTTAGTTAAACTCTGTTTCAACTGCAATGCGCTTCTATATTAACTTTTGTTTTTTCATGGGGTAGCATGGGATACACTTTCCAAGCTCTGGTATATGTAAAGTTGTCTTTCCACTAATTTTCCATGAGTTTGAAAATTTAGGTGTATGAAATTTTGGGTCAGGCCATATTTTTTACCAAGAATTCTTTAGACATTGCCAAATATTCTGGAGTTTTTTTTATAGAACAGACATGTGAGGCCGATTTGACCAGTGACTTCTATTCAGGAAAATTCTTAATTTATTTTTATAAGATTTTTTAACACATTAAATTCAAAAATTTGACCAGGATAAGCTCAATGCCTCTCCCAGTTTATATAAGTGAGGTTAACACAAGACCATTGTGTACTCTGCTGTTTGTTTATGCCATTAATTTACCTTGCTGAATGATCACTACCTGTTGACCTGCCTCCCTCCTTGCCTCCTCATAGACTCCACTTACCTCTTCAGCCACATTAATGTTGGCTTTTTAAATGTTGTATCTTTAGCATGTTGCACAGTGCTTGATACAGCATAACTCTCAATAAATATTTGTTGAGGGGATGAGTAAGCCAGCAAATATAAACCTTTCATAAAATTCCAGAATTTGACACCATTTTTGTAAGTGAAGTTGAATGCAATCCATGGGATAGACATGTTTAAGAATGATAATTAAGAGTCTATATATTTTTAAATAAAAAATTGAAAGATGATTAAAATATTGGTGTGAAAATTAAAAACATTATTTGATGTTATTTAATAATATTTGATAGCACATTATCAAATATTATGAATGAATTCAAGTTGCCTTATCTTTAGTGCATCTATTGACTCTTTCATGGATGTTTACTTCATTATGGTAACTTTTAGTGATTTCTGATGCTATGTTTATTTCTAGTAGGCACTGTCTTTTCTGGGAGCAACCTGCATTTTGGATGCTAGTGCACACATGCGTTTCCATTTTACCTCTGAGAGGAGGCAAAATTTATTCTCAATGCAGTAGATGCCCATCCATAAAGTAAAAGTTCTAATTGAGTTGCATGTGGGTAGGCTTGTGTTCCAGTTGCTGACAGGCCTCTCTCTCCCACACTACCCCCAAGTGACATGCAGAAGGAACGCTGCCAATGCCATTTTCCAGTAGAATAACCAGATCATGTTTCACAGTTCTGAGTTTATATGGAGGTTTTGTGCCTTTCAACTTATGAGAACCTCATCTTGCACCCTTAGTTTGGAATCAGAACCCATGATATCACCCTGCAAAGTGTAAATTTGTGTTGAAAAACAGTAAGTCCACCTTGGCTTCAGCTCTAGCTTACTGCATGGGCTTTATGATCCTGCTTCATATCCCATGTGTGATTTTTTTGAGTTCTATTAAAACTATTAATATTTAATAGTTTTCATTTACACAGCATCCTTAGGTTTTTGGAGGAGAAGTTCACTCTGCTGTGTCAAATGGACATGTTTACATTTCCAGGGTCTTCCCAAATCTGTGGGACATGGTGGTGCCTCCTGAATTCACCATTAAATGAATAAAGCAAGTGTGAATATGCTATGAGAGTCATAATGCCGACGTTCATTCAGAGAGTAGACAATAGAACCCAAAACGTTTCAGGAAAAATAATAAGAAATAATGGGAAAGGGGAGAGTATAAAACAGCCGACAACCCAACACTAAGGAATAATTTCTGTGACTTGCAAAAACTTCCTGAGACCAGATTTATGTAGGAAAGTATTTTTAAAGTCACCAGAATGAACCTAGTTTTGCCATGTGATGCTTTCATTTTTTCATTTTATTAAGGTTCTATAACTCTTCACTAAATACATGCTATAAAACTTCTGCCCAATCAAAGAAAGATGTCATCAAAAATAAATAGTTTGGAATAGTGAAAATACCATCTAATGCAAATTTCTGGTAGCAAATTCCTTTCTGTAACACCCCTGGCTTGACAAATTTGGATCATGCCACACATGAATTTTTTTTTTTTTTTTTTTGGCAATAATGTTAGTTCTCTCCCAAATAGAAACTTCGTGTTGACACCTTTCCAGAAGTACCCGTGCTGGCTAATTCTTTAAAAAATGTCTTTCATTGTTCAAAGAAAAGAAAACATTGAACGTATTTCTCTGTGTATTTATTTTCCATTTGATAAAAAAATTAGTTTAACCAACTAGGACATGCATTCCATTCTCTCAGCCCCTGTGGTAACAGAGCTTTTTTTTTTCATCTGCATTTGCTAAATATATTATGAATGGCAGGACAGTAGTTGCTAGGAAAGTAGATTATAAAGATAAATGTAAGAAGCATTATGTTATTTCCCCAAAGAGTTTCAAATGTGCCTTTTTGCCTCCTATATCCCATAAAAACAAGGACAACTATACCAGCTGCTCTGTACTGTCAGAAGCATGATATTTCTTCTTCTTCTAGCACCAGCCACCACTCCCAAAGGAAAGAAAGTCTCCCAAGCCTGAAGTAAACAGGTGGAGCTTTCACCAGTGCTACAGATAAAACAATAGGACCTGATAACTCTCTGCTGACAGTGTTTTTCCATTAAAAAAAATAAATAAAGTATAAAAGACATGAAATTCAGACATTAAAAACAGTTCTTTGGATATTAAAAATTGTAGTTTTCTGATATTTTTTAACAGTTATATCTGTTTCTTTGGCAATGTTTCACTCAGCAGGAGTGAAAACAAAGAGACTTAACTCCTTACAAGACTGAATAATACATGGATTACTCGCTTCCATTAATATGAACACTTTCTTTTGTGTTATTGCATTTTTGTACAATGTAATAACACAAAGGGAACTAGTGTTATTGCATTGTACAAAATGCACTGTACAAAATACATTGTACAAAATTGTGTTATTGCATTGTACACAATTTACAATGTGTTAGTTTATGTTAAAATCAGAAACACCATTCAAGTGCCATAAAAATGTGAGATGTAAATTATTCTTTATTTTGTAGGCTTTATTATATTCTATCAAATGGTGAGATTAGACATTTTCTTTCTCTTAATAAAAACATAAGATTACACTTTCAAAAAAGCCTGAGAAGTGCTACCCTGAGGATCTTGATTTCAACGTTCTTGAATACTGGCCACAAAGTAGTAAGTTACTGTTTGATACTGGAAAAAAACATCCCAACACAACTCCCACTAAGATAGGGAAGTATATCATTCCAAGCTTGACAAATTACAATATGATGATTGCCTAAAGGGAATTCCAAATCTTATGGCAATGTTTTCTCCCTTCACACATGCTCACTTTAACACTTTGTTGAATTCCCATCATGAACTCACACATGCACACACATCCCACCCCATCACGTTCTGCAGTGGAAACACTGCTGGCTCTGTCCTGGTGAAGGGCAGAGAAATCAAAATCTATTGAGTCCCCATCAATAAGCTCATAGGCTGGTACCTCTAGACTCCTCTGAAACAGTCAGAAGAAGCTTCAGAAAAGTTTCCAAAAAAAAAAAATCTAGATTCATAATTTAGCCTTGATACTTAGGAGAGTTGGTGCTGGTATTTATTTATTTTTTAACCTTTGTTTCATTGTTTGTAAAATGACTAAAATAACCTGTGTCATTTCTTACCCAATGATTTTTATCATAAGCAGGTGAGATAACATATGTAGAAATCTGGAAATTGTTTATAAAATTTAATATTCCTATATTTGGAAGGTTTATATTTGGTATATTTAGCAAATGTGCATGCCTTTCTATGTGCCAATCTTCTAAGTGGCCTAAGTTTGTAACTCATTTAATCATCCCAATATGTGTATGAAGTATAAATGATTATCAGCCCCATTTGATATACCAGTAAACTGAGACACTGAGAGACAAAGTAATTCACTGATGCTATTAATACCTACACTATACCAGTGTTTTATGGATGTCACTGACTGAACTCATGCCATGCATATACTATCCCATGCTTAGGCTGTAAGACCAGTAGACTGGTATATAAGTTGGTTTAACTATACAATATTAAAGAGATTCCACATAGAATCCCTCAAAATACAGTGCGAGGCAGTCCTAGGACAAAGTTAGAAGAGAGAAATCAAAATATCTAAATTTTCTAAATGGAAACAACGGACTTTGGCCATGGAGGAACAAAGAATAATGATAGTGACCTGCTCCTGAACAGCCCTTAACTGCATAAGGCTGGGCCCTTCGACTGTCCTTTGTTCGTATCATTATCATAGTACTTTGTAAGCAATAGCAGAAATTTAAAATGTGGCAATGAAGTATTTGAGATATGATTCATCCTATTGGTGAGAGTAAGATGATGAAATGAAAATGTTATTAAATTAAAATGAGCAGGGGAAAGATGGGAATACAAAGAAGTAAGTATCAGCAAATTGCTCAGATAATGCAGAAAGAGCTAAAAGAATGTATCAGAGTAATTCTACCCATAATGTACTATTTGACTAGAACACCACATCCTTAAGAGCTAACCTTAAGTAGGCATGGCACCAACACTACTTTTATGCGCAAAGCAGAAATTTAGATGCATTTATAGAGTGTGTTATGGCATATATACTACTTCCCTTCAGCTACTCGATCACTCTGTTTTTTATGACTACTTTTTTAGAGATTTTAATATTGCTTCCTAGTTACCAATTACCTAATCACATAACATTAATTTCTAGCATGCACTTTAACTGCCAGAAGGAGAGATGACTGTGGTAATGGGGCAAAGCTAGTTTATTTGTGATCTCAGAAGGAGAGATGACTTTGGTAAGATGGCATAGCTAGTTTATTTGTGATCTATCACTGAGTAACAAATTTTAGCAAAACTTAGTGGCTTAAAGAAACACCGTTAGTTATTTCACAGTTTCTGTGGGTCTGGAAACTGGGCATGGTTATCAGGGTATGTCTGGCCCAAGGCTTCTCACAAAATTGCAATCAAGGTGTTAGCCAGGATTTCAGTCATTGTAAAACACGTGGGGAAGATGTGCTTCCAAGCTTGTTCACGTGGCTGTTGGCAGGATTTAGTTCTTCATGGGCTGTTGGGCTAAGGACCTCAGTTCCTAACTGGCTATTAGCTAAAGGCTGTCTCTGCTGTACTGACACATGAGTGTGCTCATAATGCAGCTCGAACATGACAGCCAGCTGTCCAGGAAAGAGCTTGGATAGGGGATGGGTAAGGTGTTCCACATGTGGGCTTCCACAGGTGAGATGTATAGGCAAGGTACTTTAAAATATTAGTAAAATAAATGGTTAAGGGGACCATGCATGCTGGCTTGTTCCTATAATTCTAGCACTTTGAGAGATCAAGGCAGGAAGATCGCTTGAGGCCAGGAGTCTGAGAGTAGCCTGGGCAACATAGCAAGACCCATCTCTACAATAAATACATAAATAAACATTTCACTTGGCATGGTAGTGTCCATCTGTTGTTCCAGCCACTTGGGAGGCTGAGATGGGAGGACCACTTGAGCCCAGGATTTCAGGACTGCAGGGAGCTATAATCACGCCACTGTGCTCCAGCCTGGGCAACAGAGTGAGGCCCTATATCAGGAAACAAAATAGTGAAGAGAAAACAGTGAAAGATGATGGCTGAACTAAAGTGTAAGAGAAGGTCTTTGGAAACTAGGAATTTCAGGAACTGGTATGATTTGGTGGGCCTTTGTGTGAATGTTAAACTCACTGTAATCATTGACAGGAATTGGAATGGACAGGAAGATTGTGAGAATAAAGGGAGTGGGTCATAAATTTAGGAAAGTGTACTTGATATGATATTAGAAAGGGAGGAAGAAGAATCTGTGACCTCACTCAGGCCTTGCAGTATATGGAGTGTGAGGGAATAAGTGGCCTCTCCTTGGGTGGGCTGCAAGAGAAGTAGTGACTTCTATGGAGAACCTGTGTTACTTCAGGCACAAAGGTTGAAGGTTATTAATTGAGGTTGTTGTGTATACAGAGGAGTTTCTTTATCATAAAGTATTAACTCTCGAATTGCCCAAACTCCCTTTCAAGCTGGCCTACTTGATAAGATGTTATAGTAAATCTTCTTCCTTCTGTATGTTGCTTTTCCTGTATCTCATATACCCCACTAAAGTACTCCATGCATGCTCTTTTATTTCAGGCTTGTTTTCTGGGGAACTCAAGCTAGGACAAAGGGAAAGGGAAATGTAATACTGTCTATTCAAAGGGGTTTATGTGTGCACATGTATCATATACATGATGTATACCAGTGAATGCTAGCAAATTATAATCAAACAAAACACTAAGATATGAATTATCCTATTTCTAGTAATTATCGTCATTATCATCACCGTCATAATTGTCACTCTCTTAAATTCACTGCAGGGTAACAAGCCATATGATTTAATCTGGGATGCTTACAGGAGGAGGCCCAGGCCAGACTGCAGGAGAGAAGGAGGATGTTTTTCTTCACCCAATTCATTAAGGATGTTTTTCTTCACCCAATTCACTGATTTCATTAAGAAGACTAAATGTGTTTTTCCCTTTAAATTTACGTATTCTGTTCAGAATCCCTGAGATTACTAGAAGTTTTAGAAGGTAAAGCAACAACTTCTATACAAAAAGTTGGAAATTACGTGTCTTTACTAGTAATGAGAAAATGTTGAAAAAGACAACAATGAGTAGATAATTTATAATCAGGGGAAAATTATAATTCTGAGAATGTATTAGGTTCCTAGAGCTGCCATAAAAATATTACCACATTTTGAATGGCTTTTAAAAACATAATTTTTTTTCTGCATTCTGGAAGCTAAAAGTCTGAAGTTAACATGTTGCCAGACCTCTCAGATTTCTAGAGGAGAATTCGTCCTTTCCCTTCCCATCTTCTGGTTGTTGCCAGCAATCCTTGGCCTTCATCAGTTTGTAGCTATATCACTTCAGCACCTACCTCTGTCTTCACATGGCTGTTTTCCCTCTGTGTGTGTCTCTGTGTCTCTAAATCTCTCTTTCTTTATAACGATACAAGACATTGAATTTAGGGCATACCCCAATCTAGTGTGACCTTACCTTAACTTGTTTATATTTGAAAAGCTTATATTTCCAAATAAGGTTACAGTGACATGTCCCCAGGGTTAACATTTCAACAGTTTATTTATTTATTTATTTAGAAAATTCAACCAACTACAGGGTTATTACCAAATAATAATTGGAATGTTGACACTAATTCCTACAAACCAAAGCTTCTACTAAAATAAATAAATAAAGATGAGGTAGCAAAGTAACAAATGTATTACTCACGTAAACCACCAAATCTCACGACCTGGCTGGAAGCAGTCATGAGATTTGGCAGTTTACCTAAGTCAATGATGCCAAAGAAATTATCTTCCTAATCACAATTAAGATAGTTCTCAGATTAGGCATATCCTTAGTCCTGCTGATGTGGTAGCTTTGCTTTGCTGTTCACAATTCTGGAGTTGAAAACTCCTTAGGGGCCTCATCCATTAAGAAAAACACAAATAAAAGGGGCAGACATCAGAGTTGTTTTCATACTTCAAATGACTGGATTCTGAGCTTCCCCGTTCTCTCAAGGTTCTCAGAGGTGGAGGGCTTAGCATCCAAACAATGTGAAAACGCATACTGTGAAACACTAAGCTTCTGTCTTACCAGAAACACCACTGGGAAGAAAAACAAAGGATTTTCTCTATATTGACAAGTAACTTTGCTACAAAGGATATGTGAAAGCAAAGAGATTTCACTCCACTCTCACAGCCTTCAGCACTGCAAATATGTGCTGTCATGCAGACCAGCTCTCAGTTCTAAAATGTAGGACCCTCTAGGAGACTGGCTATCTACAGAAAGTACAAAAGTTGAGAGTCTTTTTACATGACCTCTTTAAACACACATTAATTTTGTTGTTGATGTTTGTTTCTTAAGGCCAACATGTTTTATTAATTGTACACCAATCTGTGCAATAATTTTCAAGGAAATATGAATATGGAGTTCACTTAGTGTAATATTTATGTTACACCCTCAAAAAATTCCAAATTGCAGATGTTTTACATCTTAAATCTCTTTATCGCCTTTGGTAATGGTTTTTCTAATATATATAATATTTTATTGTTGTTAAAAAAATTCAGCCTGATTAATTTTAGGATCAATAATTTATTATTAGAATATGAATCATTTATATAAATATATGACACAATCCTGTTGTATTTTTCTTTACCCCATTCTATGGACTCACTGTATTCTCTTCATTTGCATTACTGCAGTCTTCCTCTAAAACCAAGTAAGTTTACAAACAGATAAAAAATTGTTTGTTGTGTTTATTTCCTCACAGGTGTTTTTAGCTCCATTCTTTCATCATTAGTTCATTTTGTCAACAAGGATTGTCACAAACTATGTAATTGTCACATTGAACTTTATGCCATTTTTCAACTGACGCCCCATATTCTAAACACAAACCTGAAATTCATATTTGCTTTAAAACCTGCTACTGGTCCCACAATACTCACCATTATTGAATTAGTTATCAATACTTTTGGTTTATGCATGTTTACCTTCCATTACACCTACTTGTTTTCAAAGGTCCTGTTCAGAACATATTTCTCAAATAACTTCCAAACCTAAAAATGAAAGTTCCTTCAAAATAATTTCTCCGTTTACAGCTTTGCCTTTTCTATATGACCTTCAGTTTATTTATCTATAAAATAAGTGATTAGATCATTACTATTCGAGTATACTACATCCTTTGCAGCCTTTTAAACTTGACAAAAGTCCTATATGCTAAGTGCTACTATAAATTAATATTACAAAAACTCAGTAAGAAATTACATTTGATATAAGGCTGGGCAAGGTGGCTCACGCCTGTAATCCCAGCACTTTGGGAGGCCGAGGTTGGTGGATCACGAGGTCAGGAGATAGAGACCAGCCTGGCTAACATGGTGAAACCCCATCTCTACTAAAAACACAAAAAACTAGCCAGGCGTGGTGGTGGACAACTGTAGTCCCAGCTGCCTGGGAGGCTGAGGCAGGAGAATGACTTGCACCCAGGAGGCAGAGCTTACAGTAAGCCAAGATCGCTCCGCTGCACTCCAGCCTGGGTGACAGAGCCAGACTCTGTCTCAAAAAAAAAAAAAAAAAAAACACCAGAAATAACATTTGATATAATAATATACTTATTTAATCATATTTGATAATGTTACTCGAGTATTTCAAGTAAAAAGATAATGTAAAGATAAACTTAATAGGTAAGAATACATAATTTTCCAAAAAATACATTTGAAGTCCTTTGCTTACACCATTTGACTTCATATGTTCCTGGCCTGCAACTAAGGATACAGTATTCAATTTGAATTTGTGTTAAGTCAGTAATTTTTGTTAGTTGTAATTGATGAGTGATAGGTAATTTTATTTTTAGAGCCAAATGGAAAAATAGCATCAGATTAGACAGAATCCAGGCCAAAAAAAAAAAAAAAAAAAAAAACAGAGGTTGTAATCTGTAAAAGAAGAAAATCTACAAAATGTGTTTTCTCTTTTCCTTCTATTTCCTTCTATTGCTATGTGAACAAAGGGAATCAGGGATCTCAGAGCAGAGGAGCAAAGGGGAAAGGCCCAGATATTTAGGTTGATGAGAATATGAGTAATGCTAAAAACACAATGAATAAATAAACATGGAAAACATCCATTATTAGCCTAGTGGTTGCAATAAATACTTTAAGTAATCATAATGCAGAAACTTTTTCAGCAACTGTACTACATACAATATATTGTATTTTATAATAATCTGAAACAAGAGAGTCAGTCCAAAAGTGACTCTAGTGTCAGTTTTGGAATTAATAGTGATAAATAACCAATCCATGTGTAAGTATATGAATTAGGTCTGATTAAAGCTAAAAGAGGAGAAAAAGTGAGGGAAAATATTCAGTTCTCCTTATTTACTAAGGAGAGATCTTGCTAAATAAGATTTATCTGCTTAACTTGTAACATTGCTTAAATTCAATTATTTAATTAATATACTACTTTTTTAAATAAGAAAGATGAGGTAATTAATATGTTGTGTCTCAGATACATCACTAACCCTTAATTTTTGCTATTCACATAGTGATGGTGACCACTGACAATAGTAAACAAATTTATTAATTCATTAAGTCAATCATATTGAATCAACAAAAATGTATTGTTTATCTAAATGTTGTCAGAGTTGAATCTTGAAGCATAAATAAACAATACTTATTTATTAACATGCATGGCATTCTGCTGATCATTATGACCATATCTGCCTATGTGACAGCTTATAATTTTCCACACTCATGGTATTATGGGATAATTACCCAAGCCCCTACCCATTCACGTTAAAGTCCTAACACCGTTACATCAGAATGTTACTGTATTTGAAGATAAGGACTTTAAAAAGGTAATTATGTTAAACTAAAGCTGTTGGATATGGTCTTATTCCAATCTCACTGGTGTCCTTGTAAGAAGAGGACATTTTGACACACAAGGGTACAGCAAGAATGCAAGAGCACGGAAATAAGACCACGTAAACAAACAAAGGGTGGGCCACCACCTGCAAGCCAAGGACAAAGGTATCAGAAAAAATCAAAGCTGATGACAACTTGACTTGGACTACCAGCCTCCAGAACTAGGAGACAATAAATTTCTGGGTTTTTTTGATAATGTTACCAAGTGTCACCAAGTGTGTGATGTTTTGCTATGGCACTAAACTGCATAGGTCAAGGGCTGAAACAATATAAAGGAGTTTCTTCAAAAATCTTTCCATTTACAACATTATATTGCTGGGGTTTTTAGCTCCAGGGAATGACTGAATGAGTTTTTCTTTCAGATCTTTGGTGACCCATTATACGATAATAATATGCTACCAAGGAAGGCACTTGCACTGGCTTTCCTCTACTCTGCCTTCTGGACTTCAGTTTTGTTTTCACCAGATTGATTTTCCAGCCACTACATAGGACCTCTCTGGTCAGCCAAAGCAGTGGGCATCATAGCTGAGAACTAAGGTTGCTGAACTTCATTCAGACCATCTCAGTGAGCTAGCCATCCACCAGCTGCTATGGGCTGTCCAGGGCCAGGAAAAAACTGAGCTGAGGTCCTGACAGTGAGACCTCCTGTAGTTTTCACAGCAGGCACCTTACTCTCTTCACTTGAGTTCCAGCCCTGCTGATGCCACAGCCCTCCCAAGTATTTCCTGACATTCCTTCAGAGCTTTTATAGTTTTGTGGGAAGGACACAGGAGATAGTTACAGGAGATTAGAAAAATATGTTAGCTTTGAAAATAAGTACTAAATGAATGATCGAAGTGAATTCTTCATGAGTTCAGGACATAGATTGCTTTGCCTCAATGCTATAAATAGAGCTTCAGAGAGAATGGGAAGCTTGGATGATGTATAAAATTTTCACAATGACTGGAAGCTGTTATCTTCAAATCAAACAATTTAAAAAGACAGAAAATAAGTATTATATATAATTTAGAAGCTTCAGAGAAAACATGAGTGAGAAGTCTGGCTATGCCAGTTACCAACTGTGTAGCATGGAGCAAATTACAAACTCTCTCAACTTCTATTTCCTCATGTGGTTGTTTAGATGATTAGAAATAACCTGTATAAAATGACTTACTTTTTGCCAGGCAAATGGCCTGAACTCACTAAATGGTTGTACACTTGTTAACATTGTTTAATGATTAATGCCAGTCTAACCATGATCATCTCAGCCATCCTTATTTTATCACTCCTATGAGTGAAGGATGTCAGAAATCAAAATAGACCTCAGCAATGATTTAGTCCAGTCTGCTCATTTTCTGGAGAAAATGAATGCCCAGAGAAATTAAAGGACTTGGCCTAGGATACAGAGCCAGTTGGCAGCAGAGACAGCATCAGCCACAAAACATACACTTTTTTTACTCTGGATCAGAATACTTTTCATTTTAGATTCCTTTACTGAAAGCGGTACACATATCTTAAGTATGTATTTTTAAAACCGTACGAATTACATATGAAATGTGAATGAACTGAAGTAGATGGAAAGACATTAAATCTAAGTGTTGTGGTAGTGCTACAAATTTACACATAGAACACCTGTGATGTAGCAGTACTTGAAAGTTTTTGGGTGTGATTTATCAACCTAATCTTCCTCACAAGCCCTGACCCTGACAAATTTATGGTGGAGGTTTGAAGTGGCTAATGAATAGTATCTAACATTATTGTTTGTTTGTTTGCTTTTCAGAAAAGAGCTTTGTTTTACACAGTGCCACTTATGAGTTGCAAAGTAGCAAGTGAGAATGTAGGGAGGGGCACAAGTGGAACACTTACCCTTGCAAAAGTGGAAAAGAGTTGGAAGACTCTTGATGTGACCTTTGGGCCCCTGGTTTCACCCAGATCTTCGCTGTAGGATTTCTGGTTCATTTCTGAGACTCTCATGCTCTGTAATGAGTGACAGCATAAATTTGTGACTTGTATTGGATACTTCAGGAGTTAACTGTGATCTTATTTTCAAAAATTTGAATATAAATAAATACATACATATATTAATAAATAAACCCTCTATTAGATGCCCAACTAGGCTGTTTATATGGTGGCTTCAGCACCATGACTACCTTACCTCTTGTCAGGGTAGCCCTGGGAATGCCTCCCAGCACTGCGCTGAGTTCACTTCAGTCTTTTCCAGGAGAAACGTGGGCACGTCAGAGTCCTATCCTTGCCCCCATATATAAGAGCATCTCTGAACCTTCTCTCAGCATTCTCTCTCTGCTTAACAATGCCATGTCTTCATTTTACATTTTCTGTGCCATGGGTGACCTCTGTTGCCACAAACACCACATGCTGAAGTTCTTTTTCAGAGATCAAATCACAGGTGGGCAAATTTCCTTTAACTCCACGCCTCTGACTCTGGGATTTCAGAAGAGTGGGAAAAACCTATGCTCTTTGTGTTTTACTATATTTTTTCCTTTCTTTTTGTGTGTTTTGCTCTTGTTGCCCAGGCTGGAGTACAATGGGGCCATCTCGGCTCAACACAACCTCTGCTTCCTGGGTTCAAGCGATTCTCCTGCCTCAGTCTCTGGAGTTATCTAGGATTACAGACATGCACGACAACACCCGGCTAATTTTGTATTTTTAGTAGAGATGCGGTTTCTCCATGTTGGACATCTGGTCTCAAACTCCCGACCTCAGGTGCTCCACCCGCCTCACCCTGGAAATGTGCTGGGATTACAGGCATGAGCCACTGCACCTGGCCTACTTTCTGCTTTCTTCTCCGCCATGGTTTCCTTCTTCCCAGACCTCACATGTCCATAAAAATTTTCATTACATTTCTTCTCTGTCTATCCAAAATTCCTCTTCAGTTATTATTATTTGTGCCTTCTCTGCACTTTGGCTAATGTTAACTATCTATAATTTGTGTCAGATAGGCTAGGATCTTCATATTACAATCTCAGGCTTCTATAAACTAGTGTTTAATTAGGGCAAATAATATATTGGTTTACTAGTCCACAAATTTATTTTCTCATACAATACTCACTTTCATGTAGACCTAAATGGGACTATGTGAAAAATTTCTTGAAACTATTCAAAAATGTTTCTTTTTCACTTAGAATAAAATACAAACTTTCTACCCAAACTTGAAGGGTCTGGCTTCCCCTCCTCCTGTATCTTCCGTTGTCACTTCAACCCCTTTCCCCCAGGTTCATTGTACCCTCAAACACCTATTAAATCAACTCTCCTCCCTTTAGGGTCTTTTTTCTCCTTCTATTTTTCTGAATCTTTGCACACTCAGTTTCTTCTCATCCTTTAGGTCTAGGCTGTAGAGTCACCCCCAAAGAGGAATTTCCTAAGCTTCTTGTTGAAAGACTTTGGCAATGAACTTCCACTCTCTCAAGCAAATTATTTTTCACACAGCACCACCATGATTATATTTCTCACAGTGCTTAAGACAATCTGAAATGATTTTGTTCATTAATCTGTTTGTTCATAATTTTCTGATAGTATAGAAAATACAGGGATCAAAGGTTATTCTTACATTGTTCACCATTCTATGCATAGAACTATGAAGATATAGCGCCTGAATAACTGGTGCTTAATAAATAACTAGAGACTAAATAGTCTAATGAATGGAAATATGTGAATCTACTAGGAGTTTTCATGACATGTACATTTCTTTATGTCCCTAAATTATTTATACTTTTGAGAATGCTGTGAAGACCAAAATTGTAAGAACTAAAGAAGGAGGAAAGAAACACAAAGGGTGGCTTGAGTGTCAACAAGGAGAGATTTATTTTAGAAAATAAACCTGACGGGGATTTCTTGCCAAGTTGAGTCAGAGCCACACTCTCTTACAGATTAAGACTTTTCAAGGATTCAGGACAGGACAGTTTATTACAGGCTTGGACTGCTTATATGTCTCTTTGTTGTGCTTATCTGGGAGGGAAAGTTGTGTGTCTGTTGCCATACATCTTCCTGAAGCTGCAGGCATACCCCCGAGACTGCTTTTAGCTTTCCTATCTTAGTGCACCTGAAGGGAAAGCAATGTGCTTATTAAGGCCTACTGTTTTACTGGTGCCCACTGTATGATGGTGAAGATTGGCAGTTACCCAAGAGACTTTCCTCCACCTCCCTCTGTGCCCCAGCTGTCTTATCTGTGTTTACCTGTCTGCTTTTTCTGGCTGCTTGTTGTTAGAAGACAGGTGATTTCTTTGAAGTGCATGAGGTTAGAAAGGAAGCTGGATCTTCAATTGGTGTTTTGTCCAAGATGATGGTGCCCTTGCTCTGTCATTCCACATCCTTTACTTACAAAAGAACGAGGGGCCACCTGTTCTTTCTGGCTACTTCCTGCTGATAGGGGGGTGGGGCTGAGAGTTTTTTTGATCTTGGATCCACTGCAGGAGAAACACCGTCTGTAGATATTGTTGGGTAGTTGTCTGTGAAATGGCTATGATTCTGTTGATTAAAAATTTTTGGAAAAGTTTATCGAGGCCGGGTAAGAACTCTAATCCTAGGCTTTTCAGCAGCGTTTCATATTAGGCTTGATTTGTTGAGACAGAAGCAACATTTCCCTCCAGGCAGAGGCACATGTTTGGAAAGACCCATGTGTTATTGTTTTATTAGTAACTGTTATATCTGCTATGATGATAATAATTAAACAAAATGCTACAGTAATTGAGATTCTTTGTTCTATATTTCACCCTTAGGGTGCTACAATATGTAGTCCTACTGCAAATAGGAGAGTGAGGAAAGCAATTCCCATAAGGTTGGCATAGTAAATAACTTTCGTTAAAAAACAACAACAACAAAAAAGCTTTAATATCTGGCTTAAAGGACAGGTAGGAATGACAAAAAGTATTAGGTAAAGTAGGGTCGAGATTAAGATGAGTAATTTTGACGTACTTATATTTTATGATTTTCAGGTTAAGATTTCTTATTTTTTTACACTGATATTTAGGACGTTTTTCTGGCTACTAGGGTTTATTTTCTCAGCTCTTTAAGCTTCGGCTTGAGTGTGTAGTATCTAGGAGTTGATTTCTGTAATGGATATAATTTAAACTGTAGAAAATAGTAAAAATTGAAAAACATTTGGCAGACTAGAATTTAAGAACAGGTGTGCTATAGTTTTTGAAACATAATTTTCTTTCTTCAACTTTCCATTTTTATTAAAAGAAAAATCATGGTAGGACTGCTTTCCTTTATTGTACTTGGCTTAATTAGTTGTATACAGTGCAGCAAGAATAATTATTTGCTACACAGGCCTTTTAACTAAGCTTTGACGGAAGTTTGTGTTATAGAAGGAATTTGAGATCAGATTTTTTAAAGCCAAGCCCAGCCATGGATTTGTATCCTTAAATACCTGTGAATTGGGTGAATTCCTCTCCTCTTGAAGTTTTAACATAACTTGCCTTTCCTGGCCTGTCTGAAAGTGACATTCCTTACTTGCCACAGATCAGAAGCCCTATACCAGGGCTGTGTACACAAATATGAGGCCAGATTTCCAAGGGCTTTATTGGTTACATAAGTTTGATTCCTTAAAGGAGAGCATACCATTCCTGTCCAAACCTTGGTAAAATAACCACTTTTTCCAATTGTGTTTTGTTACAAAAGAAAATAGATTCATATTGCACTGATGCAAACAACTATATTGTGGTAGTTTAAGAATACTTATAACTAGTATTCAAATTCTAGAGAAACTAAGGAGAGAAACAAACACACTTTAATTTCCACTTACTGAAGTACACTTTTTTTAGTTGTATGATTCCATATTTTTTTTTTTAGTTTCTTAAAGAAAGCCTACCTTTTATTCTGCCATTTTATACAAGAGTCTTTCTTTTTTTCTTTTTAATACTTTAAGTTTTAGGGTACATGTGCACAACATGTAGGTTTGTTACATATGTATACATGAGCAATGTTGGTGTGCTGCACCTATTAACTCATCATTTAACATTAGGTGTATCTCCTAATGCTATCCCTCCCCCATCCCCACACACTACAACAGTCCCCGGGGTGTGATGTTCCCATTCCTATGTCCATGTGTTTTCATTGTTCAATTCCCACCTATGCATGAGAACATGCAGTGTTTGTTTTTTGTCCTTGCGATAGTTTGCTGAGAATGATGGTTTCCAGCTTCATCCCTGTCCCTACAAAGGATATGAATTCATCATTTTTTATGGCTGCATAGTATTCCATGGTGTATATGTGCCACATTTTCTTAATCCAGTCTATCATTGTTGGACATTTGGGTTGGTTCCAAGTCTTTGCTATTGTGAATAGTGACACAATAAGCATACGTGTGCATGTGTCTTTATAGCAGCATGTTTTATAGTCCTCTGGGTATATACCAAGTAATGGGATTGCTGGGTCAAATGGTATTTCTAGTTCTAGATCCCTGAGGAATCGCCACATGGACTTCCACAGTGGTTGAACCAGTTTACAGTCACACCAACAGTGTAAAAGTGTTTCTATTTCTCCACAACCTCTCCAGCACCTGTTGTTTCCTGACTTTTTAATGATCGCCATTCTAACTGGTGTGAGATGGTATCTCAGTGTGGTTTTGATTTGCATTGCTCTGATGGCCAGTGATGATGAGCATTTTTTCATGTGTCTTTTGGCCGCATAAATATCTTCTTTTGAGAAGTGTTTGTTCATATCCTTTGCCCACTTTTTGATGGGGTTGTTTGTTTTTTTCTTGTAAATTTGATTGAGTTCATTGTAGATTCTGGATATTAGCCCTTTGTCAGATGAGTAGATTGCAAAAATTTTCTCCCATTCTGTAGGTTGCCTGTTCAATCTGATGGTAGTATCTTTTGCTGTGCAGAAGCTCTTTAGTTTAACTAGATCCCATTTGTCAATTTTGGCTTCTGTTGCCATTGCTTTTGGTGTTTTAGACATGAAGTCCTTGCACATGCCTATGTCCTGAATGGTATTGCCTAGGTTTTCTTTTAGGGCTTTTATGGTTTTAGGTCTAACATTTAAGTCTTTAATCCATCTTGAATTAATTTTTGTATAAGGTGTAAGGAAGGGATGCAGTTTCAGCTTTCTACATATGGCTAGCCAGTTACCCAGCACCATTTATTAAATAGGGAATCCTTTTACCATTGCTTGTTTTTGTCAGGTTTGTCAAAGACCAGATAGTTGTAGATATGCAGCATTATTTCTGAGGGCTCCGTTCTGTTCCATTGGTCTATATCGCTGTTTTGGTACCAGTAGCGTGCTCTTTTAATTACTGTAGCCTTGTAATATAGTTTGAAGTCAGGTGGGGTTATGCCTCCAGTTTTGTTCTTTTGGCTTAGGATTGACTTGGCAATGCAGGCTCTTTTTTGGTTCCATATGAACTTTAAAGTAGTTTTTTCCAATTCTGTGAAGAAAGTCATTGGTAGCTTGATGGGGATGGCATTGAATCTATAAATTATCTTGGGCAGTATGACCATTTTCACAATATTACTTCTTCTTATCCATGAGCATGGAATGTTCTTCCATTTGTTTGTATCCTCTTTTATTTCATTGAGCAGTGATTTGTAGTTCTCCTTGAAGAGGTCCTTCACATCCCTCTTAAGTTGGATTCTTAGGTATTTTATTCTCTTTGAAGCAATTGTGAATGGGAGTTCACTCAGGATTTGGCTGTCTGTTTCTCTGTTTTTGGTGTTTAAGAATGTTTGTGATTTTTGCACATTTAGTTTGTATCCTGAGACTTTGCTGAAGTTACTTATCAGCTTAAGGAGATTTTGGGCTGAGACGATGGGGTTTTGTAGATATACAATCATGTCATCTGCAAACAGGGACAATTTGACTTCCTCTTTTCCTAACTGAATACCCTTTATTTCCTTCTCCTGCCTGATTTCCCTGGCCAGAACTTCCAAAACTATGTTGAATACGAGTGGTTAGAGAGGGCATCCCCATCTCTTTGTCTCTTTCTCTCTGGTTCTCTCTCTCTCTCTCTCTGTTTCTCTCTCTCTCTGTTTCCCTCTCTTTCTGTTTCTGTTTCCCTCTCTGTTTCTCTGTTTGCTTCTCTCTCTGTGTTTCTCTCTCTCCATTTCTCTCTCTCTGTCTTTCTCCTGCTTCATGTTATATGCTAGCAAAATGATGATGCAAGGATAGAAGTTATCTAAAGACAGATATTGCCTGTTTGAAAAGCCCAACCAAAAAATAAACTAACACTGATTTTTTAAAAAGCCATATATAGCATGAGGAATGAGGACATCTTGTTTTTGTTATTACTGCTGTTTCATTCAAGAAAAGGAAAACTAGGACAAAATTTATTCCTATGTATACAGGTAACAGCAGCTCAACACAATCAATGGATATCTACACTGATTTGAGTGAAAAATGCAGGACCCCATTTAAATGGAAATATGTTATTTTAAAATCAAAAAAGCTAAAGTTTTAAGCATTCCAATTCACAATGTGAATTGTGTCTTTTTTATATAAAATGAGATAATGTAAGTAAGACACGTGTTTTAATTGTTATTGCTACTGAGGTTATCATCACTGTTCTTGTTAATGCTACTTTTAATTTTCTAATTGCTATTACTACTGAGATTATCATCACTGTTCTTTTTAATATTACTTAATTTTAATTTTCCTGTATAGGCCTTAGTCTAACACTTTTTTACCAAATGCTTGTTTGGCAAAACTATTTTTTTTTTTTTTAGGTAATGAGTATAAAAGTTAGTGTATCAATAATGCTGCCTAATTATCCATACCAAAACTTGGTGGCATTTTATAGTAAGCATGTATTTTTTGCCTTTGTAATTGCAGATGAAGAGGGATTTTTTACTCTTCTAGGCTTAGTTGGACTTGGTTTTGTCTCAGTGCACTCTAATGTGTTCTCTTTAAACGTAAAGCTAAGTTATTTTCTACTTGTAAAGAAAAGCAGGAAGGCAAGAGGGTGAGTTCAATTGCCAAACACATTTCACGACCTTCCTTGTTTCCCACGTCTGAGCATCCCATTGGCCCCTACCAGGAAGCAAGGAGCAGGAAAGCAGAATTCTGCCATGGAAAGTATGAATATGTGCTAAGCAATAGGACTATTAATTTTAAATAATAAGCTGTCAGGTGGTTTTTATTCTGTGAAGAATTAGATTGCAAGTGACTTGTACATGTTACCTTTCTACATGTACACCCAGAAAGCTTTATCCTTTGCTCCTGATTTTAAGGGTGTTCAATTGTCATGTCTTTTTCTCACTTCCACTGGCTGTATTCCTCCACTCTTCTAACCATCCTCCTACTTATTTTAGAATCAAAGTGAATTATGTCTTGCCAGTCAGAGTTTATTAATCTTGGATCCTGCAAATATAAAGATTGTTATACATCTTCCTAGTTCTTTTGGTATTATTATTATTATTGGAAAATGTATACCTTTTTTAAAATAACTAAAATGAAATAATTTTGTAACATAATCCATTTTACAATGAGAAATTCCCTCTCAAACACATGCACACATAAATATTCTACATGGCAAATTTATTATAATTCAAATTAACATGAAATATTAAATTTAATTTACATGGTTATTAGGGATTATGTTTTGTCAAATACAAGGTAAGTTGAAATGTTAAGATTTTTTCTCTTTTTGTCACAAAATTGCCAAACACACGTGCCAAAGTATTAACACACAGTATCATACATATGAGATTCCATTTAACAAATTTTGACATTAATTCATTGTTTGATTCAAAAATTTCTTCCTATTTTAATAAAGATACACATTGGAACTTTATCTGTTCTGCACCTTTTTAAGGCTTCTTTTAATAATGAACTTAAAAATTAAATTTTTAGGTGGAGCCAAGATGGCCGAATAGGAAAAGCTCCATTCTACAGCTCCCAGAATGAATGAAGCAGAAGGCGGATGATTTCTGCATTTCCAACTAAGGTACTGGGTTCATCTCACTGGGGAGTGTCAGACAGTGGGTGCAGGATGGTGGGTGCAGCGCACCGAGCATGAGCTGAAGCAGGATGAGGCATCACCTCACCCAGGAAGCACAAGGGGTCAGGGAATTCCCTTTCCTAGTCAAAGAAAGGGGTGACAGATGGCACCTGGAAAATCAGGTCACTCCCACCCTAATACTGCACTTTTCTAGCAGTCTTAGCAAATGGCATACCAGGAGGTTATATCCTGTGCCTGGCTCAGAGGGTCCTATGCCCATGGAGCCTCATTCATTGCTAGCCCAGCAGTCTGAGATCAAACTGCAAGGCAGCAGCGAGGCGGGGGGAGGGGCACCCACGATTGCTGAGGCTTGAGTAGGTAAACAAAACAGCCAGGAAGCTTGAATTGGATGGAGCCCACTGCAGCTCAAGGAGGCCTGCCTGCTTCTGTAGACTCCACCTCTGGGGGCAGGGCATAGCCAAACAAAAGGCAGCAGAAAACCCTGCAGAATTAAATGTCCCTGTCTGACAGATTTGAAGACAGCAGTGGTTCTCTCAGCATGCAGCTGGGTATCTGAGAATGGACAGACTGCCTCCTCAAGTGGGTCCCTGACCCCTGAGTAGCCTAAATGGGAGGCACCCCCCAGTAGGGGCAGACTGACACCTCACATGCCCGGGTTCTCCTCTGATACAAAACTTCCAGAAGAACATCAGGCAGCAACATTTGCTGTGCACCAATATCTGCTGTTCTGCAGCCTCTGCTGCTGATACCCAGGCAAACGGGGTCTGGAGTGGACCTCCAGGAAACTCCAACATACCTGCAGCTGAGGATCCTGACTGTTAGAAGAACTCACAAACAGAAAGGACATCCACACCAAAACTCCATCTGTATGTCACCATTATCAAAGACCAAAGGAAGATAAAACCACAAAGATGGGGAAAAAACAGAGCAGAAAAACTGGAAACTCTAAAAATCAGAGTGCCTCTCCTCCTCCAAAGGAACGCAGCTCCTCACAAGCAATGCAACAAAGCTGGATGGAGAATGACTTTGATGAGCTGAAAGAAGGCTTCACATGATCAAACTACTCCATGCTAAAGGAGGAAGTTCAAACCTACGGCAAAGAAGTTAAAAATGTTGAAAAGAAATTAGACAAATGGCTAACTAGAATAACCAATGCAGAGAAGTCCTTAAAGGACCTGATGGAGCTGAAAATCACGGCACGAGAACAATGTGATGAATGCACAAGCCTTAGTAGCTGATTCGTGCAACTGGAAGAAAGGGTATCAGTGATGGAAGATCAAATTAATGAAATGAAGTGAGAAGAGAAGTTTAGAGAAAAAAGAATAAAAAGAAACCAACAAAGCCTCCAAGAATTATGGGAGTATGTGAAAAGACCAAATCTATGTCTGACAGGTGTACCTGAAAGTGACGGGGAGAATGGAACCAAGTTGGAAAACACTCTGCAGGATATTATCCAGGGGAACTTCACCAATCTAGCAAGGCAGTCCAACATTCAAATTCAGGAAATACAGAGAATTCCACGAAGATACCCCTCGAGAAAAGCAACTCCAAGACACATAATTGTCAGACTCACCAAAGTTGAAATGAAGGAAAAAAGGTTAAGGGCAGCCAGAGAGAAAGGTCAGGTTACCCACAAAGGGAAGCCCATCAGACTAACAGCTGATGTCTTGGCAGAAACTCTACAAGCCAGAAGATAGTGGGGGTCAATGTTCAACATTCTTAAAGAAAAGAATTTTCAACACAGAATTTCATATCCAAACTAAGCTTCATAAATGAAGGAGAAATAAAGTCCTTTACACACAAGCAAATGCTGATTTTGTCACCACCAGGCCTGCCCTAAAAGAGCTCCTGAAGGAAGCCCTAAACCTGGAAAGGAACAACTAGTACCAGCCATGGCAAAAACATGCCAAATTGTAAAGACCATTGAGGCTAGGAAGAGACTGCATCAACTAATGAACAAAATAACCAGCTAACATCATAATGACAGGATCAAATTCACTGTAACAATATTAACCTTGAATGTAAATCGGCTAAATGCTCCAGTTAAAAGACATAGACTGGCAAATTTGATAAAGAGTCAAGACCCATCAGGGTGCTATGTTCAGGAAACCCATCTCACATGCAGAGACACATATACGCTCAAAATAAAAGCGATGGAGGAAGATCTGCCAAGCAAATGGAAAACAAAAAAAAAGGCAGGGGTTGCAATCCTAGTCTCTGATGAAACAGACTTTAAACCAACAAAGATCAAAAGAGACAAAGAAGCATTACATAATGGTAAAGGGATCAATTCAACAAGAAGAGCTAACTATCCTAAATACATATGCACCCAATACAGGAGCACCCAGATTCATAAAGCAAGTCCTTAGAGACCTACAAAGAGACTTAGACTCCCACACAATAATAATGGGAGAATTTAACACCCCACTGTCAACATTAGACAGATCAACGAGACAGAAAGTTAAAAAGGATACCCAGGAATTGAACTCAGCTCTGCACCAAGCAGACCTAATAGACATCTACAGAACCCCCCAACTCCAAATCAACAGAATATACATTTTTTCAGCACCACAGCACACCTATTCCAAAATTGACCACATAGTTGGAAGTAAAGCACTCCTCAGCAAATGTAAAAGAACAGAAATTATAACAAACTGTCTCTGAGACCACAGTGCAATCAAATTAGAACTCAGGATTAAGAAACTCACTCAAAACAGCTCAACTACATGGAAACTGAACAACCTGCTCCTGAATGACTACTGGGTACATAATGAAATGAAGGCAGAAATAAACATATTTTTTTGAAACCAACGAGAACAAAGACACAACATACAAGAATCTCTGGGACACATTCAAAGCAGTGTGTAGAGGGAAATTTAAAGCACTAAATGCCCACAAGAGAAAGCAGGAAAGATCTAAAATTGACACCCTAACATCACAATTAAAAGAACTAGAGAAGCAAGAACAAACACATTCAAAAGCTAGCAGAGGGCAAGAAATGTCTAAGATCAGAGCAGAACTGAAGGAAATAGAGACACAAAAAACCCTTCAAAAAATCAATGAATCCAGGAGCTGGTTTTTTGAAAGGATCAACAAAATTGATAGGCCACTAGCAAGACTAATAAAGAAGAAAAGAGAGAAGAATCAAATAGACACAATAAAAAATGACAAAGGGGATATCACCACCAATCCCACAGAAATACAAACTAACATCAGAGAACACTATAAACACCTCTACGCAAATAAACTAGAAAATCTAGAAGAAATGGACAAATTCCTCAACACATACACCCTCCAAAGACTAAACCAGGAAGAAGTTGAATCTCTGAATAGTCCAATAACAGGCTCTGAAATTGAGGCAATAATTAATAGCTTACCAACCAAAAAAAACTCCAGGACCAGATGTATTCACAGCCGAATTCTACCAGAGGTACAAGTAGGAGCTGGTACCATTCCTTTTGAAACCATTACAATCAATAGAAAAAGAAAGAATCCTCCTTAACTCATCTTATGAGGCCAGCATCATCCTGATACCAAAGCCAGGCAGAGACACACACACAAAAAGAGAATTTTAGACTAATATGCCTGATGAACATCAATGCAAAATCCTCAATAAAATACTAGCAAACCGAATCCAGCAGCACATCAAAAAGCTTATCCACCATGATCAAGTGGGCTGCATCCCTGTGATGCAAGGTTGGTTCAACATATGCAAATCAATAAGCGTAAGCCAGCATATAAACAGAACCAACGACAAAAACCACATAATTATTGCAATAGATGCAGAAAAGAACTTTGACAAAATTCAACAGCTCTTCATGCTAAAAACTCT
The DNA here is from genome assembly GCF_000001405.40 of Homo sapiens. Taxonomy (NCBI): domain Eukaryota; kingdom Metazoa; phylum Chordata; class Mammalia; order Primates; family Hominidae; genus Homo; species Homo sapiens. The sequence goes on from NC_000024.10 coordinate 21,358,360, forward strand.
CAATAAATTAGGTATTGATGGGACATATCTCAAAATAATAAGAACTGTCTATGACAAACCCACAGCCAATATCATACAGAATAGGCAAAAACTGGAAGCATTCCCTTTGAAAACTGGCACAAGACAGGGATGCCCTCTTTCACCACTGCTATTCAACAAAGTGTTGGAAGTTCTCGCAAGGGCAATAAGGCAGGAGAAGGAAATAAAGGATATTCAATTAGGAAAAGAGGAAGTCAAATTGTCCCTGTTTGCAGATAACATGATTGTATATCTACAAAACCCCACTGTCTCAGCCCAAAATCTCCTTAAGCTGATAGGCAACTTCAGCAAAGTCTCAGCATACAAAATAAATGTGCAAAAATCACAAGTATTCTTATACAACAATAACAGACAAACAGCCAAATCATGAGTGAATTCTCATTCACAATGGCTTCAAAGAGAATAAAATACCTAGGAATCCAATTTACAAGGGACTTGAAGGAACTTTTCAAGGAGAATATAAACCACTGCTCAATAAAATAAAAAAGGATACAAACAAATGGAAGAACATTCCAAGCTCATGGATAGGAGGAAGCAATATCATGTAAATGGCCATACTGCCCAAGGTAATTTATAGATTCAATGCTATCCCCGTCAAGCTACCAATGACTTTATAGAATTCAAAAAAACTACTTTAAAGTTCATATGGAACCAAAAAAGAGCCCGCATTGCCAGGTCAATCCTAAGCCAAAAGAACAAAGCTGGAGGCATCATGCTACCTGACTTCAAACGATGCTACAAGGCTGCAGTTACCAAAACAGCATGCTACTGGTACCAAAACAGAGATATAGACCAATGGAACAGAACGGAGCCATCAGAAATAATGCCACATATCTACAACTATCTGGTCTTTGACAAACCTGACAAAAACAAGAAATGGAGAAAGAATTCGCTATTTAATAAATGGTGCTGGGAAAACTGGCTAGCCATATGTAGAAAGCTGAAACTGGATCCCTTCCTTACACTTTATATAAAAATTAATTCAAGATGGATTAAAGACTTAAATGTTAGACCTAAAACCATAAAAACCCTAGAAGAAAACCTAGGCAATACCATTCAGTACATAGGCATGTGCGAGGACTTCATGTCCGAAACACCAAAAGCAACGGCAACAAATGCCAAAATTAACAAATGGGATCTAATTAAACTAAAAAGCTTCTGCACAGCAAAAGATACTACCATCAGATTGAACAGGCAACCTACAGAATGGGAGAAAATTTTTGCAATCTACTCATCTGACAAAGGTCTAATAACCAGAATCTACAATCAATCAAACAAATTTACAAGAAAAAAACAAACAACCACATCAAAAAGTGGGTGAAGGATATGAACAGACAGTTCTCAAAAGAAGACATTTATGCAGCCAAAAGACACATGAAAAAATGCTCATCACTGGCCATCAGAGAAATGCAAATCAAAACCCAATGAGATACCATCTTGCACCAGTTAGAATGACAATCATTAAAAAGTCTTGAAACAACAGGTGTTGGACAGGATGTGGAGAAATAGGAACACTTTTACACTGTTGGTGGGACTGTAAACTAGTTCATCCATTGTGGAAGTCAGTGTGGTGATTCCTCTGGGATCTAGAACTAGAGATACCATTTGACCCAGCCATCCCATTACTGGGTATATACCCAAAGGATTATAAAATACGCTGCTATAAAGACACATGCACACGTATGATTATTGCAGCACTATTCACAATAGCAAAGACTTGGAACCAACCCAAATGTCCAACAATGATAGACTGGATTAAGAAAATGTGGCACATATACACCATGGAATACTAAGCAGCCATAAAAAATGATGAGTTCATGTCCTTTGTAGGGACATGGATGAAGCTGGAAACCATCATTCTCAGCAAACTATCTCAAGGAAAAAAAACCAAACCGGGCATGTTCTCACTCATAGGTGGGAATTGAACAATGAGAACACATGGACACAGGAAGGGGAACATGACACACTGGGGCCTGTTGTTGGGTGTGGGGAGTGGTAAGGGATAGCATTAGGAGATATACCTAATGTTAAATGACGAGTTAATGGGTGCAGCAAACAAAAATGGTGCATGTATATATATGGAACAAATCTGCACATTGTGCACATGTATCCTAAAACTTAAATATAAAGAAAAAAAATTAAATGTTTATTTTTAATATTATTGCTGGCATAGTCTCATTTTTATAAATAGGTGTCCTGTTCTTTAAATGATGATGTATGATACACAGGGAGCAGGATAACCTAGAGCTTTTACATTTTATTTTATATATATTTCATATATATTTTTGAGACAGGGTCTCACTGGGTCACCCAGGCAGGAGTGCAGTGGCACAATCTCAGCTCACTGCAATCTCCTCCTTTGGGTTCAAGTGATTCTTCTTTCTCAGCCTCCTGAATAGTTGGACCAAAGACATTGACCACCATGCCCAGCTAATTTTTGTATTTGTAGTAGAAATGGGGTTTTGCCATATTACCCAGGCTGGGCTTGAACTCCTGACCTCAAGTGATCCACCCGACTCAGCCTCACAAAGTGCTTGGATTACAGATGTGAGCCATCGCGCCTGGTGTTTTGCTAATTTTGTTTTGATCTTATGTATAGTTGCTTGCAGCAAAAGAGCCAGTAATTAATCAACACATCATAGATATACACAACTAAATTTCCAAGAGGAATATGTTTCCAAGATCAAGTAAGTTACTATGGAAACTTATTAACAAAGTCCTCATTCAAGAGGATTGCAGAAACTGAACTATGCTCATCGAGATTAGTGTCATAATGTGGTACAAAGACACTGAATAAGATTATATGATTAACGTTTTGTTGCAGTTGCAGGTCGACTTTCATTGCTTAAACCACCTACAGTGCCCCACTCAAACTTGAATGGAAGTGAGGCAGTCAGAATTTGGAGGAAGGCCCAGCAAGAACAATCAGAGCCCAAGGACAGAATCCTGGATTTGCCTATGGTGCTTTATGATCTTTCACAAGGTAACTGTGAAATGATCAGTGTAGACAGCATATCTTCTGTCATAAATTAGATATTTCAACCAAATTTATTCTCTTAAATTTATCTGTCCTTACTCTAAATAGTTAAATCCACTATATTGAAGATTTAAAGTTGAATCCAAAGAGTCTTTAATGTTACAAAGAAATATGAAGTTACCTTAAGTTAAAATTGTTTACTGGATATTAAAATAACTATGGTCTGGCACAGTAGCTCATGCCTGTAATCTCAGCACTTTGGGACTCTGAGACAGGTTGATCATGAGGTCAGGAAATCAAGACCATCCTGGCTATGGTGAAACCCCATCTCTACTAAAAATACAAAAAATTAGCTGGGCGTGGTGGTGGGTCCCTGTAGTCCCAGCTAGCTGGGAGGCTGAGGCAGGAGAATGCTGTAAACTCAGGAGGCACAGCTTGCAGTGAGCTGAGATCATGCCACTGCACTCCAGCTTGGGCGACAAACCATGAGACTCCATCTGAAAATAAAAAAGAAAGAAAGAAAAAAGAAATAACTACCAACACCTCCCAAAATTCTTCTTAATGTTGACATAAATAATGTTATCTCAGGATTATATTTTAATGTGTGCTTCAATAATGATCTCTCCATTGGAAGCCTCTAGGAGAGAAGGAATCATTGAGTTTCAATCACACAAATATTTCCAGAGACAGACACACATTTGCTTTGAAAAGTGTGCTTTTTTACAGTTTTCACTGGAGGTAATGAATATCTGACAGTAAAGAACAACTTTTGTAATTCCTAAATACCTGACTAGTAGTATCATTTTTATATATAATATATTTATTTTCATTCATCAGGAATTAATCATGCACCTACCTTAATACCAACCCAGCAAAGTTAAAATCATACGGTACCTAAAAATATAAACAGTATTCTACTTAAGTAGAACTTGCTATCATGCTGATGTTGGGTTTCCATCTATTCCTCTGAAACAACAAAGAGGTTATTGCTTTCAACATATGCAGTTGCTAGTTTCTGTTACCATTGTTAAAAAAGGACTCATTTGACAATTTTTTGATACTTTCTAAACTAGAAAGCTTATTAGTTTTACTTTACACCACCATACAGCACATATTGCTACTAAATAAATGATTTGTCACCAAATAATGGAATCTGTAATTTGTAGGAAGAACAGAAACCTAGGCTCCAGGTATCCCAAAGTAGAAATCCTCCTAGGAGGTATAGTAATTTGGAGCTCTGCCATAGTTGATTAGTGATGAAGAGATCCATAAAGCTTTGTGGGAGGTACTGCATCTGTGACATTGTGTCTAGCAAGAATAAGGGATACTCAAGATACATGCTAGTTTCACTTATTTCAGTTTATACCCATGAATCAATGACACAACTCTTCAAAATGTGGTGGATCAGCTACACACAAGACAGGAAGAATAAGATATGACTGGATACTCTGTTTCACACATTATGGATTTAATCCTCAAACACATCCAAATGAATACAGTTGGAATAATGGCTATCCACTTCTGGGTAAAATAAAACGCATTGTAAACCTTAGCTTTTTAGTTAAAACGTAAGTATAGTATTAACCATTTTTGTTCATTCCATCTTTTAACTTCATTGCAATGAAGAGAATAGTGGATGACATACAGACCATCAGTTTCCTGCATTTTGAGTAAAATTATAAAGGATGATTTATTGCACTTTCTTGGAGAAGCAAATTAATTTTCACAACTTTTCTAGGTTTCTCATTGCCAGCTGATCACTTCTTATAAAGAAATAGAAGACAGTTCTGCTCTATTTAAAAAGGACATTATCAATTGGTCTCAATTTTTGTCTTCTGTTTTAACTGAAGCCTTATTCAAGGATATTCAAGATATGCATTGTCTGTTTTTGTTTTGTTTTGTTTAAGTAGGAACTATGGAGCCAGAAAAAGGTGCCTTGCTGATGAGTTAAAGTTAACAGAGGCTATACTGGTCTTACGGAAGATCCAGGGGGCAGATTGGCCAGGAAAGAAGGGCCATGGTCATGAGCCATTAAAGTGTTCCCCTCAGGGTGCATTAATAACAGCCGAGGCATTAGAGGGATTCCCTCTAGAGTCATCAGTTTTGATTATTTAAGTCTTTTTCCCCCTGTTGACATATAGACAGACACAAAGCTAGGGAACCAGTAACTCTACTCTAGTTACTGTAGGTGCTGGTGTAAAATCACAAGTCTCCAAAGCCACTTGTAAATACAGGACCCATCTGACTAAAGAGTGTTCCTCTTGGGAAATACGCTGTATTATCAAAAGGAGGAATTTTGTGAATTGATACTACAGTTTAAACTCAGTGTACTGGTTCTTCTGAAGTTCTTATAATTATAGATTGAAGTGATGATGGTTTGTTTTATTCTAACTCATTGAAGGTCCAGTTATTCCCTTCTACCACCCCCAAAAATGTATCCTAAAAACTGAAACAAAGTGATAGTACTGTTTTGGAAAAGCCCATCCCACACCAAGATTTATTTTGACAAAAATAGTTTCAGTGATTCCTCACTGATGGCAATCAAAGTATCGGCTGTAATTTTGTAAAGATTTATGAAGTTCCAATTAGATCCATCACTGCAGTTAGAAAAGCAGTCTCATCTACATTGTTGGAAAAAAAAGCAGTCTCATCTACATTTCTAGAAAGGGGAGATGGCTGGTAAGGTCCAATTGGAAAAGCATTCAGAAGACAAGAAGGTGAATTAGCAAAGTGGAAAGAGATGTTGAATGAAAAATATGCAAATTTTTTATGACAAACTGCTTGTAAATCGTAGGTTATGTATAATTTGAAACATAGAAGATTGATGGCCCTACATCAAACTTAGTGCCAGAGTAAAACAAAAGGAGACGTGTGCCACTGTGGTCTTTCCTGAAATACAAAGTTCCAAAAATAAATAAATAAATAAACAAACAAACATAGAAATAATAAACTGAGAGGCTGAGAGTGAATAAGGGATTGATGGTCAATAAGACTATCTGGAAGTCACCAAAGAAATAAGACCATAAACAAAAAATGGACCATGTTTAAAAAGCTTCAGGAACATGATCAGGTCATGCCATATGGTGCAAGTTGGGTTTGACTGGTTCAGTTGAAGCCAGAACCTACAAATAATGTATGGATAACAGAGATCCACTTCCATTTACACTTACTGCATAGCACAAATTTTGGCTTTCTTATTTAATGAAATAATGCAGTAACCGAGTTCATGCTGATGACAAGCTTTATCTTTAGCTTTTTGTGACACCTCCCTTCCTCCCTCCCTCCCTCCCTTCCTTCCTTCCCTTTCTTCCTTCCTTCATTCCCTCCTTCTTTGCTCATTTTTAACGAGAAGTCCAATTGAACCATGGCTTGTGCTTTTTTGACCTAATTTACAGGCTTTAACATGTTACTGATTGGACCATAATGTCAGGTAGCTAAGGAAAGGCAGTGAATAATTCAATTTGATTTAGTTTGTCTTTGATTTGAAACTTAAGGCCATGAAATGGTATCATCTCCAGCACCCTGAGTAGGAATAGTTCCATCACAGAAATAGATGATAATTAATTTATTTAACCACTCAGTTTTGAAGTCTTCAAGAACTTAGTTGAAATAAAGATGGTGAAGTCTCCCAATAAAATGAGCTGAGACTTTAAGATCAAGCGGAGGTAAGGCACTAAAAATGTTGAATTGGTAAAGCTGATGTTGTGTTACTAATTTTCTCTGAGAAAATGACATGGAGCAAGATTTGAGACCATCAAAAAACAAACTAAAAAAGGTACTTAATTGAATTTAAAAGAAGTTAGATGACTTCAAATTGATTTGAAGATATTTTAAAATCTATGTCTGATTTCACAAAATTAAATTAGATGTTTTATAATAAAATAAACTTGTTTTGAGTTTTAAAGTCACACAACCATACCCACACATTATTTTTGTTAATTAATGGAAAAGAACATAAGTTCTACCTATTGACATAGTGGCAAAATAATAAAAAGGAACACACAACTCAAATATTTCTACACACACACATATGCATTCTAAGTGACATACAGGGTTACTTCTATGTAAATTGCAAAAAATATTTCAGTCTTGTGTATTTTTCTTCTCTTTAAAAATAAAGAAAAAAACACAGGCAGAATAAGAACTAACCAACATGAAATAAACATTTTTTTGACAGAAGTGGAGAATAAGTCTGGACCATGTCACTGGGAAATCCATGAGGGATAAACTTGATTATATGTAACATGCTAAGAGATATGTCTTAAAGCAGTATTTGCAAAGTAAGCACAGTGTTTTCACTTACTTTACATGTGACACATTGGGCCGGTAGTGTGAGGAGAGCCACTGCTTGTCCCTTCACTGATCCTCAGTCACAGGCTATGACGGTGGTATTGAAAATTAGACAATAGGTCTGACATAGAACATTCAGATTGAGTGCAAGATAATACACATTTGCAGATATCAAGCTGAGTGCAAAGGTTCCACATTTGCAGCGACTATTGTTTTTTTGAAAAAAAGTTTTTATATGCCGGGAGCAGTAAGCTATACTATTACAGATCTGAGACATCTGGAGAGGGCAACTCATTATATGCTGCAAGTCTTGACAACTGGAACTTAAACGGTAGCTCATGCAAACATTCCCCTATGGTGACTATGGTTACCAATACTATACTGTATACTTAAAAAACTTGCTCGGAGAGTGGATCTTTATTGTTCTCCCCCAAAACAAACAAACAAACAAACAAAAAACACCCTAAACAGATAGCAAACACAATGAAATTATCTTAAAGCGTACTAGAAATAAATGACAAATTTCCCATACATGAATGGCATTTACACTAGCAAGAAGTTTCTAAAAAGCAACAATTAAACATAAAGAAGTAGGGTTTTTTCAAGCCATGATCTAAAATAATATATATTTTTAAAAACTATCATTAAAGTGTGAGTGTAAAATGAAGATACTTTATGATATACCAAACTTGAAAGGTTATAGTACAGTTTGTTTGCTGAAATAATTTCTTAAGGTTAAGTTTCAGGAAAGAAGAAATTTCACACAAAGGGAAAATTTAAGAAGTAAGATGAGTAAAGAAATTAATAAAGAAGAACATATCCCTAAGCTAGCAATAACAATGTAAACAATAACACTAACAATGAGTAATTAAGCATATAGGTAAGGTGTACCTAAAATTCTGAACAATATGATTAGAATTTAATTACAATTTAATTGACAGAGTTTATGAGAACAAACAAAATTGTGAGCCATATAAAAATGAATGTAGTAAAAAAAAACCCAAAAATTTTCAAGGAAAAGTACTAAATTTTATTGAAAGGCATAATAAATGAAAGCCAAAAAAACATAAGAAGTGTGCCAGGCCATTGTTAAAAAAATCTTCACATGATAAGACGTCTCTTTTTATATTAATGTATAAATTCAGGCAATAATAATAAAAATTACAGCAAGATGCTTCATGCACATTGACAACCTGATTCTAAATATGGAATTGAAAAGGGTGGGACTCATCTAGGCAAATTTACAGTAAGTTCAGGAGAACAATGGTATGGAAGAGGAAGATGGAAAAGAGGACTCTTTATTTATTTATTTATTTATTTTATTATTTATTTATTTATTTAATTTTTGGAGAAGGAGTTTTGCTCTTGTTGCCCAGGCTGGAGTGTAGTGATACAATCTTGGCTCACTGCAACCTCCGCCTTCCAGTTTCAAGTGACTCTCCTGCCTCAGCCTCCTGAGTAGCTGGTAATGCCTGCCACCATGCCTGGCTAGTTTTTGTATTTTTTGTTGAAATGGGTTTCACCATGTTGGCCAGGCTGTTCTCAAACTCCTGACCTTACGACCCACCCCTGCCTCAGTCTCCCAAAGTGGTGGGTTTACAGGCATGAGCCATTGCATCCAGCCGAGGACTCTGTTTAATAGTGAACACTTTTATACAGCTATTTCTAAATATTATAGTAGGGAAAAATCTATTGCAAATAGAAGTAACCTAGAAAAATACACTATTATGACAGAATTACAGTCTAAACAATGCTGAAGTAATACACTACTCAATAATAGCCTAAGAAAAAAACTGAAGGCAAATTGGCTAAACACATTTGTTAATGACATATAAAAATAAACCTTTATGTCATGGTATACACAAGACTAAATGGATGATGATTTTAAAAATACTTGTGAAAACCAAAGCTGCCAAATTGCTAGAAGAAAATATTAGAGAATAATTTATAGTATCAGAAAAATACTGTTAATAGCACCTAAAAGGCTTTCATAAAAAATAAAAATCTTAGCCAGGTGTGGTGGATCACACCTGTAATCCCAGGACTTTGGGAGGCCGAGGTGGGCAGATCATGAGGTCAAGAGAACAAGACCATCCTGGCCAACATGGTGAAACCCGTCTCTACTAAAAACACAAAAGTTAGCCGGACGTGATGTTGGGTGCCTGTACTCCCAGCTACTCAAGAGGCTGAGGCAGCAGAATCAGTTGAAGATGGGAGGTGGAGGTTGCAGTGAGCAGAGATGGTGCAACTGCACCACAGCCAGGTGACAGAGCAAGACTCCATCTCAAATAAATATAAATAAAGCAATAATAATAGAAGTAAAAATAAAAATTTTAAAAGTACACATACTAAAATAAAAATCTTTTTGACATAAGACATCATGAAAAAATAAGCTAATCATATGACTAACTGAAGAGAGCTGTAGCACAAAGCATTAGTACAAAATAAAATAACACACATAAATCGGCCAGATAAAGGGCAAAATATAGAACAAGAGTGAAGCGTATGAGCAGGCACTTCACAGAGGAAAAAATGCTGAATGTTTAACAAATACATGAAAAGAAAATTAAGACCACAATAAAAGGCCATTTTTTTAACCCATGATACTGACTAAAATTGAAAAGTCAAACATCATCAAATGTTGACAAGAGTATTGGGAAGCAGGAACCTTAGTATTTAATACACTGTTGCTGTGAATTGACATGGTAACTTCAGAGAGTTCTGTAGCCATGCTTGGTAAATTTGGAGACAAACATACCAAATTACCAGGAACTTTTATTTCTTGATATACACTACAAAAAAGCATTTTCATATGTTTATAAAAAGAAAACAGGACCAAATGTTTTGCAGTTAAGAAGACATCGTGGAAAACTTTTAACTCTCAATGGAGAGTATGTGTAAAAGATTGCTTTTCTTTCACATAATGGAATGCAATACAGTGGTTAAAATGAAAGAAATAGAACTGTCAGTATAAACATTCACAATTTCAAAACTATAATAACAAGTTTGAAAACTAAATTGCAAAGGGATATATTTGGTATAAAATATTATATACTCTTTAAATGCCTCCAAAGCAATAGTGTGTGTGTGTATATATATATCATATATATCATATATATATATGATATTTTCTCTATAAAACATATGTGTGGGAGAATTATACACAAAATTCAGGATAATGATTACTTATGGAGAGAAAGGAGGAAGAAAAGATGGAGGTGTTGTACAGCCTTCAATATCCTCATAATATTTATTTACTTTTTCAACTCCTAAGAGAAATTAACTGATACAGAAAAATGTTAACATTTAATTACTGAATTATATTTAATAAAGGCATACCTTGCTTAGTATGCAGCAGTCACTGTTATACATGCTTTACAAATATTACTTGATTTAATTTTAATGGTAAAACCTATGAGGTAGTATTATTATAATGCTC